>NC_000015.10:37822328-38125358 GCF_000001405.40 Homo sapiens | reverse complement strand
TATATACGCAGTAATGGGATTGCTGGGTTAAATGGTATTTCTGGTTCTAGATCCTTGAGAAATCATCACACTGTCTTCCACAATGGTTGAACTAAATTACACTCCCACCCACAGTGTAGAAGTGTCCCTATTTCTCCACAGCCTCACCAGCATCTGTTGTTTCCTGACATTTTAGTGATCACCATTCTAACTGGCATGAGATGGTATCTCATTGGGTTTTGATTTGTATTTCTCTAATGACCAGTGATGAAGAGTTTCTTTTCATATGTTTGTTGGCTGCATAAATGCCTTCTGTTGAGAAGTGTCTGTTTATATCCTTTGCCCACTTTTTGATGGGGTTTTTTTTTCTTGTAACTTTAAGTTCCTTGTAGATTCTGGATGTTAGCCCTTTGTCAGATGGATAGATTTGCAAAAATTTTCTCCCATTCTGTAGGTTGCCTGTTCACTCTGATGATAGTTCCTTTGCTGTGCAAAAGCTCTTTAGTTTAATTAGATCCCATTTGTCAATTTTGGCTTTTGTTGCCATTGCTTTTCGTGTTTTAGTCATGAAGTTTTTGCCCATGCCTATGTCCTAAATGGTATTGCCTAGGTTTTTTGGTTTTTCTAAGGTTTTTATGGTTTTAGGTCTTATGTTTAAGTCTTTAATCCATCTTGAGTTAATTTTTGTATAAGCTGTAAGGAAGGGTCCAGTTTCAGTTTTCTGCATATGGCTAGCCAGTTTTTCCAGCACCATTTATTAAACAGGGAATCTTTCCCCATTGCTTGTTTTTGTCAGGTTTGTCAAAGACCAAATGGTTGCAGATGTGTGGCGTTATTTCTGAGGCCTCTGTTCTGTTCTATACATCTGTTTTGGTACCAGTACCATGCTGTTTTGGCTACTGTAGCCTTGTAGTATAGTTTGAAGTCAGGTAGTGTGTTTCCTCCAGCTTTGTTCTTTTTGCCTGGAATTGTCTTGGCTATAAGGGCTCTTTTTTGGTTCCATATGAAATTTAAAGTAGTTTTTTTCCAATTCTGTGAATGGTATCTTGATGAGAATAGCATTGAATCTATAAATTACTTTGGGCAGTATGACCATTTTCAAGATATTGATTCTTCTTATTCATGAGGATGGAATGTTTTTCCATTTGTTTGCATCTTCTCTTATTTCCTTGAGTAGCATTTTACAGTTCTCCTTGAAGAGGTCCTTCACATCCCTTGTAAGTTGTATTCCTAGGTATTTTATTCTCTTTGTAGCAATAGTGAATAAGAGTTCACCTATGATTTGGCTCTCTGTTTGTCTATTATTGGCATGCAGGAATGCTTGTGATATTTGCACATTGATTTTGTATTCTGAGACTTTGCTGAAGTTGCTTATCAGCTTAAGGAGTTTTTGGGCTGAGATGATGGGGTTTCCTAAATATACAATCATGTCATCTGCAAACAGAGACAGTTTGACTTCCTCTTTTCCTAATTGAATACCCTTTATTTCTTTCTCTTGCCTGATTGCCCTGGCCAGAGCTTCCAATACTATGTTGAATAGGAGGGGTGAGAGAGGGCATCCTTGTTCTGTGCCAGTTTTCAAAGGAAATGCTTCCAGCTTTTGCCCATTTAGTATGATATTGGCTGTGGGTTTGTCATAAATAGCTCTTATTATTTTGAGATACGTTCCATGAATACCTAGTTTATTGAGAGTTTTTAACATGAAGCGGTGTTGAATTTTATCGAAGGCCTTTTCTGCATCTATTGAGATAATCATGTGGTTTTTGTCATTGGTTCTGTTTATGTGATGGATTACGTTTCTTGTTTTGCGTATGTTGAACAAGCCTTGCACCTAGGGATGAAGCCGATTTGATTGTGGTGGATAAACTTTTTGATGTGCTGCTGGATTCAGTTTGCCAGTATTTTATTGAGGATTTTCACATCGATGTTCATCAGGATATTGGCCTGAAATTTTCTTTTTGTGTGTGTGACTCTGCCAGGTTTTGGTATCAGGATGGTGCTGGCCTCATAAAATGAGTTAGGGAGGAGTCCCTCTTTTTCTATTGTTTGGAATAATTTCAGAAGGAATGGTACCAGCTCCTCTTTGTACCTCTGGTAGAATTCGGCTGTGAATCTGTCTGGTCCTGGGCTTTTTTGGCTGGTAGGCTATTAATTACTGCCCCAATTTCAGAAATTGTTATTGTCTATTCAGGGATTCGTCTTCTTCCCAGTTTAGTTTTGGGTGGGTGTATGTGTCCAGGAATTGATCGATTTCTTCTAGATTTTCTAGTTTATTTGTGTAGAGGTGTTTATAGTATTCTCTGATGGTAGTTTGCATTTCTGTTGGTTCAGTGGTGATCTCCCCTCGATCATTTTTTATTGTGTCTATCTGATTCTTCTCTCTTTTATTCTTTATTGGTCTGGCTAGTGGTCTATCTATTTTCTTAATCTTTTCAAAAAATCAGCTCCTGGATTCACTGATTTTTTTGAAGGGTTTTTTGTGTCTCTATCTCCTTCAGTTCTGCTCTGATCTTAGTTATTTCTTGCCTTCTGCTAGCTTTTGAATTTGTTTGCTCTTGCTTCTCTAGTTCTTTTAATTGTGATGTTAGGGTGTCGATTTTAGATCTTTACCGCTTTCTCCTATGGGCATTTAGTGCTATAAATTTCCCTCTAAACACTGCTTTAGCTGTGTCCCAGAGATTCTGGTACATTGTGTCTTTGTTCTCATTGATTTCAAAGAACTTATTTATTTCTGCCTTAATTTCATTATTTACCCAGAAGTTATTCAGAAGCAGATTGTTCAGTTTCCATGTAGTTGTGCAGTTTTGAGTGAGTTTCTTAATCCTGAGTTCTAATTTGATTGCACTGTGGTCTGAGAGACTGTTATGATTTCAGTTCTTTTGCATTTGCTGAGGAGTGTTTTACTTCCAAGTATCTGGTCAATTTTAGTATAAGTGTGATGTGGTGCTGAGAAGAATGTATAGTCTGTTGATTTAGGGTGGAGAGTTTTGTAGATGCCTATTAGGTCTGCTTGGTCCAGAGCTGAGTTCAAATCCTGAATATTCTTGTTAATTTTCTGTATCTTTGATTTGTCTAATATTTACAGTGGGGTGGTAAAGTCTCCCATTATTATTGTGTAGGAGTCTATGTCTCTTTGTAGGTCTCTAAGAACTTGCTTTATGAATCTGGGTGCTCCTGTATTGGTTGCATATATATTTAGGATAGTTAGCTCTTCTTGTTGCACAGATCCCTTTACCATTATGTAGTGCCTTTCTGTGTCTTTTTTGATCTTTGTTGGTTTAAAGTTTGTTTTATCAGAGTCTAGGATTGCAACCCCTGCTTTTTTTTTTTTCTTTGCTTTCCATTTGCTTGGTAAATAGTCCTCCATCCCTTTATTTTGAGCCTATGTGTGTCTTTGCACATGAGATGGGTCTTCTGAATATAGCACACTGATGGGTCAACTCTATATCTAATTTGCTTGTCCGTGCCTTTTAATTGGGACATTTAGCCTGTTTACATTTAAGGTTAATATTGTTATGTGTGAATTTGGTCCTGTCATTATGATGCTAGCTGGTTATTTTGCCCATTAGTTGATGCAGTTTCTTCATAGTGTCAATGGTCTTTACAATTTGGTATGTTTTTGCAGTGGCTGGTACTAGTTTTTCCTTTGCTTCCTTCAGGAGCTCTTGTAAGGCAGGCCTGATGGTGGCAAAATCTCTCAACATTTGCTTGTCTGTAAAGGATTTTATTTCTTCTTCGCTTATGAAGCTTAGTTTGGCTGGATATGAAATTCTGGGTTGAAAATTCTTTTCTTTAAGAATGTTGAATATTGGCCTCCACTCTCTCCTGGCTTGTAGCATTTCTGCAGAGGGATCCGCTGACAGTCTGATGGGCTTCCCTTTGTGAGTAACCCGACCTTTCTCTCTGGCCATGCTGAACATTTTTTCCTTCATTTAAACCATGGTGAATCTGATGATTATGTGTCTTGGGGTTACTCTTCTCAAGGAGTATCTTTGTGCTGTTCTCTGCATTTCCTGAATTTGAATGTTGGCCTGTCTGGTTAGGTTGGGGAAGTTCTCCTGGATAATATCCTGAAGAGTGTTTTCCAACTTGGTTCCATTCTCCCCATTACTTTCAGGTACACCAATCAAACATAGGTTCGGTCTTTTCACATAGTCCCATATTTCTTGTAGGCTTTGTTCATTCCTTTTCATTCTTTTTTCTCTAATCTTGTCTTCATGCTTTATTTCATTAAGTTGATCTTCAATCTCTGGTATCCTTTCTTCTGCTTGATCGACTGGGCTATTGATACTTGTGTATGCTTCACAAAGTTCTCGTGCTGTGTTTTTCAGTTCCATCAGGTCATTTATGTTCTTCTCTAAACTGGTTATTCTAGTCAGCAATTCTTCTAACCTTTTTTCAAGGTTCTTAGCTTTCTTGCATTGGGTTAGAACATGCTCTTTTAGCTTGGAGGAGTTTGTTATTACCCACCTTCTGAAGCCTACTTCTGTCAATTTGTCAAACTCATTCTCCATCCAGTTTTTTTTCCCTTGCTGGCGAGGAGTTGTCATCCTTTGGAGGAGAAGAGGCATTCTGGTTTTTGAAATTTTCAGTCTCTTTGCATTGTTTTATCCTCATCTTCATGGATTTATCTACCTTTGGTCTTTGATACTGGTGACCTTCGAATGGGGTTTTTGTGTGGACCTCTTATTTGTTGATGTTGATGCTATTCCTTTCTGTTTGTTAGTTTTCTTTGTAATAGTCAGGCCACTCTGCTGCAGGTCTGCTGGAGTTTGCTGGAGGTCCACTCCAGACCCTGTTTGCCTGAGTATCACCAGTGGAGACTGCAGAACAGCAAAGATTGCTGCCTGTTTTTTTTTCTCTGGAAGCTTCGTCCCAGAGGGGCACCCGCCAGATGCCAGCCAGAGCTCTCCTATATGAGGTGTCTGTCGACCCCTGCTCGGAGTTGTCTCCCAATCAGGAGGCATGGGGGTCAGGGACCCACTTGAAGAGGCAGTGTGTCATTTAGCAGAGCTCGAGTGTGGGCTGGGAGATCCGCTGCTCTCTTCAGAGCCAGCAGGCAGGAACACTTAAGTCTGCTGAAGCTGTGCCCACAGCTCCCCCTTCCCCCAGGTGCTCTGTCCCAGGGAGATGGGAGTTTTATCTATAAGCCCCTGACTGGGGCTGCTGCCTTTCTTTCAGAGATGCCCTGCCCAGAGAGGAGGAATCTAAAGAGGCAGTCTGGCTACAGTGGCTTTGCTGAGCTGTCATGGGCTCCGCCCAGTTTGAACTTCCTGGTGGCTTTGTTTACACTGTGAGGGGAAAACCAGCTACTCAAGCTTCAGTAATGGTGGACACCTCTTCCTGCACCAAGCTGGAGAGTCCCAGGTCAACTTCAGACTGTTGTGCTTGCAGCAAGAATTTCAAGCCAGTGGATCTTAGCTTGCTGGGCTCTGTGGGGGTTGGATCCGCTGAGCTAGAACACTTGGCTCCCTGGCTTCAGCCCCCTTTCCAGGGGAGTGAACGGTTCTGTCTTGCTGGCATTCCAGGCGCCAGTGGGGTATGAAAAAAAACTCCTGCAGCTAGCTCAGTGTCTGCCCAAATGGCTGCCCAGTTTTGTGCTTGAAACCCAGGGCCCTGGTAGCGTAGGCACCTGAGGGAATCTCCTGGTATGCAGATTGTGAAGACTAGGGGAAGAGCATAGTATCTGGGTCAGAATGCACCATTCCTCATGGCACAGTCCCTCATGGTTTCCCTTGGCTAGGGGAGGGAGTTCCCAGACCCCTTGCACTTCCCGGGTGAGGGGACGCCCCACCCTGCTTTGGCTCACCCTCTGTGGGCTGTACCCACTGTCTAATCAGTCCCAGTGAGAAGAGCCATGTACCTCAGTTGGAAATGCAGAAATCACCTGCCTTCTGCATTAATCTTGCTGGGATCTGCAGACCAGAGCTGTACCTATTTGGCCATCTTGCCAGCCACCCACATTCCCGTATTTTTAAGCAAGCTTTATCTCTCTAGAGCCTTTTCTACTGCCACCATCTTCTCATCAAGTAGATTTTACACTGTGTATGGAGATATTTTACACTATAGGTGGAGAATCAATAAAAACTGGCAAGAGAAGGGCATACTAAGAGAGATGCAATAACAAAATCTTAAAGTTTATGTCCCCACCAACTTTATTTTTTTATGGAATACATAAACATTTAAGAGGGACATTTTTGAAATGGCACCTGAGGCAATCTGTAAACAAAAGCTAGTACAGCAGTATTTCTCAGACTCTTCTAATGAATCTCCCACATCAACATGGGACAAGTATGCTTGCTTCAGATTCAAATTTCTGGGCTCTACCTCAGACTTACCTAATCAGAGTCAAACCGAGGGAATCTGAACTTTTTTTTTTTTTTTTTTTTTTTGACAGGGTTTCACTCTGTTGCCCAGCCTGGAGTGCAGTGGTGTGATCACAGCTCACTGCAGCCTCTGCCTCCTGGGCTCAAGCCATCCTCCCACCTCAGCCTCCTGAGTAGCTGGGACCGTAGGCGTGCACCACCATGCCGGGGTGAGTTTTGTATTTTTTATAGGAGCAGAGTTTCACCATGTTGCTGAGGCTGGTCTCGAATTTCTTGACTCAAGTGATCCACCCACCTTGGCTTCCCAAAGTGCTGGGATTACAGGCACGAGCCACCACGCCTGGCTGGGAAATCTGCATTTTTAACATGCTTTCTACGTGTAGTATGGATCATTTGGGAGCCATTGCTCTAGGACTGTGCTTAAAATACATGAGAATCATGCAATTGTAGTCAAATGAAATCACACCTGCCTCCAAATCAGTCAGTTGAAACTCTTGTGACTACTGGATGCATTATAAGGAGAAGAAGGGCATGGTGTGATGCTTAATAAGAATCAAATGGAAAAGGATCTCTTCATGATAGGGAGTAAGGACATACAGCCTTAGCCTTTTATGGTTTCAGTGGCATCAGAGCACCAGGTAGATTGTCCTTCCACCTCTGCCTATGGAAAAAGAGAGCAAAAGCCATGGAAAATAGACCACCTTGGTTATTACCCAGCAAAGCATCCTCTTCTAAAATATAAACAAACCCCACCTCAATCTACAGCATTTTGTGCTCAGCCAAAAAGGAATTCAGTGTATATTGATGGCAGTTATCATTTAGTTGAGTACAGACAATGAGAGTTGATGAAATGGTGGTTCTCAACCATTTTCTGTCCTTTGTATATATTTGAACACTAAAATTTTTGGCAGCCTGCTTGAAGGGAATAAAAATCTTGGAAGGACCAAAGCCATGTCTCAGTGTTCTAAAATGACCTCACAGCTACTGCTGTCTTCTTACCAGACTGACTTCAGTACTCTGCTACTCTGTGAGGAGGTCTCATGGCTCGATGCCTTTTCTGAGCTCTCTTATGTACTCCCTAAACAAACTACATGCACATGATGCTTCTTTGGAAAGAGTTTGACATCATGCCATGCCTCTTACTGACTGCTACACCTTGCTATGTACTGTGCCACAGGACCTGTTCAGCACAATGACATCTGACAGACATCACCATAATGCTTAGTAATAGCCAAAAAAAAAATCTCATTTGAAATTCCAAAAGGCCAGCCACTAAGAATGAAGTAGTGATGGACTCTACAATGTGGATGAACCTTGAAAACATTATGCTGAGTAAAATAAGGCAGGCACAAAAGCCACATAGTATACGATTCCATTTAAATGAAATGTCCAGAATAGACAAATCAATAGAAACAGAGAGTAGATTAGTGGCTGCTAGGGGTTAGAGGAGGAGGGCATGGCGAGCGACTGCTAATGGATATGAGATTTCCTTTTGGAGTGATGAAAATGTTCTAAAATTAGACAGACTTGATGGTTCACAACCTTTGTGGGTATACTGTAAAACATCAAATTATACATTTAAAATGGTGTATTTTATTGTATATAAATTGTATCTCAATAAAAGTGTTTTTAATCATAAAAAAATTTTGAGATGCTCCTATGAAAATTTTGGTACATAAGTATGCTGAGATAGGGAAGTTAAAATTGGGTTAAACATTGATCAAGTGATGAAGTTAATAAAGTGCTGAAGTTCTATTTAAATCTAATGCTTTTTTTTTTTTTTTTTTGAGATGGAGTCTTGCTCTGTCACCCAGGCTAGAGTGCAGTGGCGCAATCTTGGCTCACTGCCAGCTCTGCCTCCCAGGTTCACGCCATTCTCCTGCCTCAGCTTCCTGAGTAGCTGGGACTACAGGCACCTGCTACCATGCCCGGCTAATTTTTTTTTTTTTTTTTAGTAGAGATGGGGTTTCACCGTGTTAGCCAGGATGGTCTCGATCTCCTGACCTCGTGATCTGCCCACCTCGGCCTCCCAAAATGCTGGGATTACAGGCATGAGCCACCGCACCCAGCCTAAATCTAATGCTTTTAAAAAATCTTATCATATACTGGATCTCCTTGATTATATCTAACATATATAATGGGTGATTAACACTTCTAAAAAAACTTTTCACATATAACACAAGATTTGAGAGTGCTTTGATCCTAAGCAAGATTAGGCATTGCATGAGACAGATTACAATCCATAGTGATGATTAAGTTTAAATTAGAATTAGTGAGAAGGATACTAAATTATCACCAACATTCATTTCTTAAAAATTTGTTTCACAAGATATGACTTATTCTGATTGATGGTTAATTGAGTCATATAATTAAAAAGAGATTTTTTTAAAAAAAGATTAACTGGGAGAAGGAAATATGCTTATCAATATCTCATACACAGTTATGGTTTAAACTAGATTAACTATAACATATAATCATTAACTTATGGCAGAGTTAGGATTTTGGAAGAGGGCACTGAATTTACGTCAAAGATTGACTTCGTAAAATCAAGTCTTGAGGTTATAACATCTTAATGTACAGTGCTTATGGTCATTAACGGCTTTTGTTAGGTACAATATGACCTATGACAGTATGAAAGAAGCTATGGGCCCTCCCTCTAAAATGCACATGTGCTTTTCCACAATATTTTTAGAAGGTCCACTCTAAAGTTCATCCATGGACTCTTCACCCATTGCTGAGAACTCCATACCAACCTGGAGAATAGTTGAGTCCATACTAATGCTCGTTTTGGTCAATCCAAGCTATTGTCAGTAATCCTGTATTTGCTGAGATGATAAACTTTTTTTTTTCTTAATGGACTCCCACAGTGTCTTGGGCAATTGACACTCACCCTAGCACCAATTGTGTCAGTTCCTAGCACCAATTGTGTGAGTTCCAAGATTGAACTTTAATTATCACATCTTTTTGGGATATGACAATTACTTAGAGGAAGTGGGATTGTGTGGGATTATAAGGTGTTCAATCACCACTTCCTGATGAAACAGGAAGCCTCCCTTAATAGATGGCCTCTGATGTTCTTTCTACTCATGCTTTAATGATCAGCTCTACAAATAAACATTCAAGTAGAAGCTGAGAAATTTTCTAAATATGAGTGTTCTAACTCTTCAGAGCACACCTGGACCCAATTTACTGCATGAATCCAGGGAATTTGGTCAAACGCTAAGCTTTGGTTTGAATGCTCCACAAAGAAGCCTCAATGTTTTCTCTTTGTTGACCATAAGTGATATATTTAGTTATTCAGAAGTGTAGTCAATCTGTCAGGGAAAATATCCTGAAGAAAATGAAGCGGGCAATTATGTTGGGCAGACCTAGGGGTTAGTGTGGATAGGCCCTTTTTCGAACCAGATTCCTAACTCAGTCAGAAAGTCTCACGTCCATGTGTTTTTCTGGGGAGAAACTTCCAAGGCAGCAATGTGAAAACCAACAGACTGGATGAAGGGGTGTGTAGCCATCTGGTTTGCTCACAAGCAGAATTGCTCTTTTTATCAGAATTATTTTCAGATTTTTGTCTAGAGGAGTTGGCCATTTTCAATACCAAGTCAATGTTAATCCTCTTCTTAAACAATTCTATTCAAAATTCTCCTAATAAAGACACTGGGAGACCTTTCTCTTTTTTTGCCTCAAGAGAGGAAACAGAGACCTGGTGAAATTGAGTGACAAATGTCCAGGATGTGGAAGGGGACATTCATCACTGGGATTTCCCAGTGACTCCAAAGGGTTAGGAACTATGCATCCCAATGATTGGCTGCCTGAGGATGCTCTCACCTCAGACTGAGCTTTTCATTCAGGTGGAAATAAAAGTTGAGCTCTAAAAAGGTGACTCTCGGTGTCTTTAGAACTGACTTATTTTGTTGTTGCGGCCAAAGCCTCTTTCTTCTTCCCATCCCCCAGCTGAAGTAGGTGAAGGAGGCATTTGGACAATGGGTCATACAAATAGCTTTGCCTGTAATAGAGTCAAAGAGAACACAACAGCTTTGCTCCATTTTTTTTGCTCTAGTCACTCATAACACTTCCCTCCTAGAATTTTGAATATTTAACATCTATGGAGAACAGATTGCCTGTAGGTTTCTGTTGGGGACAAAAAACAGTGGTGGTGTTGGTGGTAGGAAGCTGAGTTTATTTTTCTTGCCTTTTTTTTTTTTTCTGGGACTCTTCTATATATACTCGTTCTTACTTTGAGCCAAATGGTAGGACAGGTTTCTTTTCATTTCCTGCCTAATTGGAATAAGTTTCCATAGTTGAGTCCTGGCAAGAATGCCCTAGTACGTGGGAAGGGTCACTAGAAAGTGGAAACACTTTCTCATGACCAGGAGAGCAAATTTAAGGCAGTAACTATCAGCAACTATTATAGGCACCAGCATTTTTTTCCCTTCCATGTAAAGGACAAAATTCAGAGGAAGAAGACAGGGCTCAGATTATTGTTGGAAAGTTGAATTCTGAGGGAAAACTGAAAGCAAAGAGTACTGAGTGAACTTTTCACTCTTTTTTCTACCATCTTTGCCAGTGTTGGGCTGTGCCTGATAAACCACTGGGGTGGTTACTTTTAAAAGAGCTTGCTTTTAGTTTTCTTGCAGTGTAGAGTGAGGCTTGTTGTTTGAGCAGATACATCAAATTCTGATGCTTCCTTTTAAATGGAGAATAATAATAATATAATCTTAAAATAAATCGTCTACTTAGAATGATGTGACTTTGGGTTCCAAGGATAAGTGGAGGAAAAACAAAGCATATGCTACTTTTACATTTCTGAAATTAATTTGACTCATGGCCTTATGTATACCCATTTTTCCAAATATAAGGTGAATTTTTTTGTCTCCAAAATTATTTCCCAGAAAAAAAGGAAGTCACCTTTTGTACACATCCTTATTTAGTCATCTTTTGGTGCTCTCTTGATACCAAACTTGGAATAAAAAACTACTGTTAGTGGAAGATGAATTGGGGTGAAATGATCTAAGTTAATGTCTGTTGTTGATGCTTTTGAAGATCATCTGTTAGAACTACTTAAAAAGAGAAAAAAAGAAATGTATCACTGATTTAGTAGTCATTCCTGAAGTTTTTAGCCCTGAAATGCAAGTGTTAGAATTTTTAAAAATAGTCCTTTTAGAGATCAAGTAAAACTGCAATACGCTAAGTGATACATTATGGAGATTACAAATATAGTCGTATAGGAAATGAAAAAATGACTGCATGTGATGCAAATGGGTGTTGGTGACTTGGGATAACATTTCTAGTGACAGCATTGTGCATGGACTCAGTGTTAAATCTCAAATAACTTGGAAGTGATGATGATGTGCTGGGAAAACTGTTGGATTAGTCACAAAATGGCAGTGGTGAGGAATAACATCGTTTTACAAAATGAAAGTAGAAAAATACAGTATTTTAAAAATCAACAGATTATTTTATAAATATGATTTTGAATATGTATGCATAACTAGTTAACTAAACATTTTGAGTAGATACAATGTATGTGTCCATATCCCTACATGTGTATATCTTTGTGGCCACATGGGAGGCTTCTTAGGGTTGTCATATATTTAGTCATATGAAGCAGGTAGATCAATCATAGAACTACAGATTCTTAGGAGATCATGTATTCAAGAGGCATCCTGTGGCCAAGAGGATACTTTCCCATTTTACAAATGAAGAACTAAATTATTAACTTAAGTTCACAAGGTTAGTTGGTGGCAGAAGTTAGACTTGCCCTTTCCCTTATGCTCCCTCTCTCAGGGGAGTCTTTCCTTCAGGAAATGATCAAACCCTGGCAAACAGAGAAGAAAGATGAAGAAAAATGGTCTTAAGATCCTACTTTGGTGTAGAAAGTTTTACCTGTGAGAAGCTGCTGTATTTACACACACCCACACACACACACACACACACACATGCTCTCTCTCTCTCTCTCATATGAGTGAAGCCCTTCATCCAAGCCAGGTGCTACCAATTACTGACCTCCCTCTGTGAGACTCAATTTCACAAACTGGAATTGACTCTAACACAACAGGAAATTTATAAAAGCTCCATGCCCGAGGCAGCTGCCTGCTCCGGTGGAATGTAGGGGTTATTCCCTTAAGAATTGCAGGTATTATTAAATGCATTGGCCCTCCCTGACTCTGTAGGCCAAAGAGTAGTGTTTCCTAAAATCACCTGTGGGACAGTTCTACAACAAATAAAGGATAGTCTCAAAACCATGGCATTGGCCCTTGGGTTATAAAGTCTTTACAAGATGTAACTCACAAAACAGGCAGGTGCCAAAAGCAATGGGGGAGCCCAAAGGAATATGAGAAAGAATCATCCCAAAAGGAAATGAGCCATTCCCTGGGGCTTTGGGTACGGTTAGATGAATAATTGATATGGAAGTTCCAGAGTCCCACTCACACCGAGTGCTCCTAGTTTAGAGTGACTAAAAAGGTCAAAGGATTACTTATTGAAAGGTTTTCTCCTGCCAATAACATCCTGTTGCTACCAATCAAGGACTTCAGAGTGGGAAATGGTTCAGGGATTCAAGGTAAGGACCTAGTGTTGGATGAATGGGAACAAGTCTGAGAAGCTGGCGAGAAAACACACACACACACACACACACACACACGCGCGCACGCACGTACGCACACACAGATGAACAGGCACAAGCTAGGTCATTGAGAGGGCCCCAATGCTGAAAGAAGTTGGGAGAATTAAGTGGTGATGGTTATTGTTGATTTCAGATAGAAGAAAGGACTTCACAGTCAGCCAGGGTTTCAAAAAGCAGGGGGTGGTCAAATGGATATTGTATTTAGCCGAAAATGCTTGTTCTAAAATTAGCTGGACGCTAAAGGCATTTTTACCTTCTCCAGTAGTTCTGTTGACATGTTCCTGTTATGTAGCCCACTTTTATCTGTCTGGAAAAATTTCTCTCTCTTCTCAAATAAATTATACATCTCATCATGCCAGTTTCTGTAACAATTCTCTTTCCTCAATGTTGGTTACTTCAATGTACTACCTCTCATGACTGACAATCATTCTTGAAGTAAGCATTTCTAAAACCTGTATGTATCTGATAATTTGATAGTCTTTTATCAACCAAGAGAGGCATTTTGAGGCAATATAAATTTGGAATGGAACATCTGGAGAAAGCTTCCCAAGTCAGTATTTCCCTCTCCCCTTTTCCATTTTGTTTTCTGTGGCTCTTGACATTGACAAAAACAAATCTCATTCAACCAACCAACTAGATTAAAAAGAAATCTCACCCCTCCCCTCCGGGGGAAAAACACTCGCAAAAAAGTTAAGCTTAAGCTAAAACTATGTAAGTATTCATTGTGGCTGACTGTATTTCTAGTGTCTCTTATTCTAGGTTTATTTCATGTGAAAAGCACTATTTGCCTATGTAGAGTGTACCTGCTGGGAATTCCAGACACCTGCATTCTTACTCTCTTGTTGATTTACCGAATTTCTAGGTAAATTGCCAAACTTATTCTTCTCCACTTTTTGTATAAAAAAGAGCCTGTGAAGTTGTTATTCTCTTCTATCACTGGGTGAGAAATATGGCATCAGTGATTATAAAATGCTTCTCTAATAGTTTCTTTGGGGAAGGAAAAATGGGATGATAACCAGTGGAAAGTCTTACTAGCATTGTTAAGAGCATTGAATTTGCAGAGGTACTGGCATTAGCATTCGTGGTAAAGCTTATTTTCACTCATAAGTATGGAAACCAGGTGATTTCTGTTCTGCTCATTTACTGTCTTTTCATTGGCTAGCTAATTTGAAAGTAAGCTGCTGTGGTCTCTGGTTATCTTTAGGCTTTTTATCTGTATAGGACTGCCAAAAAGTTCAAAGCAGGCATTGTGGAGCATGGCCTAAGACTAGATGGGGAAATAGGCTGAGGGACCCATCCATGGCCCTTGATTTTCAGGGATCAGAACTAATATATGAGGGCTGACTGAATAACAGGTGAGATGTTGACCTGATGTATCCCGGAGTTAATTGTTCCTTATATGCTTCCTGTGCTGGCCTTGAAACTAGCACCAGATGTTCCTCAAAAAGCACTTGTACACACATGATCATAGCAACTTTATTCATAATAGCTCCAAACTGGAAACAACCCAAATGCTCCTCAACAGCTGACTGGGTAAATACATGGTGGTACATTTATGCAGTAGAATACTACAGCAACAATAAAAAGGAATGAACAACTTTTCTTAAAGCAAATCAGAGGCCTTTGAAAATAGGACTCTGTATTAGTTTTCTATTGTTGTCTAACAAAATACCACAAATAGCAGCTTAAAAAAACACTCACATATTAACTCATGGTTCTGTTGGTCAAAAGCCCAAACATGGCATGGCTGTGTTCTCCACTCAGGCTTTTAGATGGCTGAAATAAAGGTGTTGGGCTTTCTGAAGGACATAGAGAAGAATGTGCTTTCAGGCTCATTCAGGTTGTGGGCAAATTCAGTTCCTTGCAATTATAGGCCCAAGGTACCTGTTTATTTGCTGTCAGCTGGAGGCCTATTCTCAGCTCCTAGAGCTGCCCACATCCATTGCCATGTGTCCCCCTCTATCTTCCAAGCCAGCAATGGAACATCTCTCTTTCGTCAAATCCTTCTCATGCTTCAAGTCTCTTTCTTTAGGAATAGCCCTGTCTTTTTTTTTTCCTTTTCTTTTCTTTTGAGATGGATTTTCACTCTTGTCGTCCAGGCTGGAGTGCACTGGCTCAATCTCCACTCACTGCAACATCCGCCTCCCCGGTTCAAGCGATTCTCCTGGCTCAGCCTCCTGAGTAGCTGAGATTATAGGTGTCTGCCATCACGCCCGGCTAATTTTTGTATTTTTCAGTAGAGACGGGGTTTCACCATGTTGACCAGGCTGGTCTTGAATCCCTAGCTTCAGATGATCCGCCCACCTCGGTCTCGCAAAGTGCTGGGACTACAAGCTTGAGCCACCACTCCCGGCCAGCCCTGTCTTTTTTTATGGGTTCATCTGATCAGGCCAGGCCTATTGAGGAAAATCTCCCTATCTTAAAGTCAACTGATTTGAGACCTTAATTATATATATCTGCAAAATTCCTTTACAGGAGCACCTGGATCTGTGTTTGATTGAATACCTGGGAGAAGATGTGCGTACACCAGGGTCTGGGTATCCTGAGAACCATCTTAGAATTCTGCCTACCACACTCTTAACTTCACTCCTTTCTCTGCTCTGTTAAAACATAGACCATATAAAAAAAAACTACTATCAAGGAATAGATCTCACCCACTGAGTCTAGTACCATCACTTTATGGAACCAGAAGGTAGCATAGAGGTGGATACAATTGTCAATATGATCTAATCTTTGGTGAAGGAGAGAACATTTTATAAGGAGCAATACATACATAATTTGACTAGGGGACAAAAGGGAATCATAATACTTAAAAATATTAATGATGTTTAGTCCCAGCTAGTCAGGAGGCTGAGGTGGGAGAATGGCGTGAACCTGGGAGGCAGAGCTTGCAGTGAGCCGAGATTGCGCCACTGCACTCTAGCCTGGGCGACAGAGCAAGACTCCGTCTCAAAAAAAAAAAAAAAAAAAAAAAAAAAATATATATATATATATATATATATGTATTTTCCAAATGTTCTCCAATAAGCATGCACTACTCTTGGCAATCAGATACAAAATGTTATTTTTAAAGTTCATTTATAACTCTATTACCTCTCATGGAATTATTAACCTTGATTGTATCTAAGCCATTGGTAAAATTACCCTTGAGTCTATCTACGACATTGGTCTAAGAACCTTTTTTCCATAAAGGTGATTCAGAAAATAAAGTTTATAAGCTGCATTTTAAAAACTTAATATATTTTTATTACATAAAATGTATAACTGTATTGCCTTATGCCTATAATTACCTTTTTTATTGACTACAAAAATATCAATGAGAAAATTTTGTACTTCTTTTTACTACTGACGTGTTAATAACTAGATTTTTATTTCTTTTTCTTTCTTTTTTTTTTTTTTTTTTCGAGACGGAGTCTTGCTGTCACCCAGGCTGGAGTGCAGTGGGGCGATCTTGGCTCACAGCAACCTCCACCTCCCGGGTTCAAGTGATTCTCCTGCCTCGGCCTCCAGAAACAGAAATATAGAGCTAAGTTTCTTGTCATTCAACCTTCATTTGTAGAACGCTTTAAAGTTTCTAAAATTCATGTCTATGTAACAATTCAACTTTACCTTTCAGGCTTGGTGTTATGTTACCTGGCCAAAGACACAAAGTGGCTTAGAGGCAGAAATGAGGTTAGAAACAATTCTGCTGCTGTGACATGATCCTCCCTCCCTACCTATTCTTAGGATAGAGGACAAGAGTAAGTAGAGGCAGAGTATATCTATCTTGAGTTGGGAAACTCAGGCAAGAACTTTAGGTCCTACCCATTCTTACTGCGGAAACCAAGCCTTGATAGAGCTATATATGAGATAAGTCAAAAACTTTCCTCTTTTTCTTATTTGCTCTCGTATTGGAGACCCTCTATCAAAAAGGTGCTAGAATTTACTGCAGTAATTTACATATATATATTATATGTAATATATATATTACATATATATGATATATATATAATATATATATGACATATATTATATATATATCATATATATATATTTGACACTGAGTCTCGCTCTATCACCCAGACTGGAGTACAGCGGCATGATCTCAGATCACTGCCACCTCTGCCTCCCGGGTTCAAGCGATTCTCCAGCCTCAGCCTCCTGAGTAGCTGAGATTACAGGTGTGCGCCACCATGCCCACCTAATTTTTGTATTTTTAGTAGAGACAGGGTTTCACCATGTTGGCCAGGCTGGTCTCAAACTTCTGACCTCAAGTGATCTGCTCCCCTTGGCCTCCCAAAGTGCTGGGATTACAGGTGTGAGGCACTGCACCTGGGCTTTTTTTTTTTTCCCCAAAAAATGGAGGTGCTGAAAAAGAGCTATTTAGTGATAGTGTTCAATGAATAGGTTTGTCTTCACATACATACAAGCCAATACTGGTAAAGAATCACAAATCCTTCTCTCTTGTCTTCAGACGCACCTCGTTCTTTGATTCTGGGTACACGGGTTAATGTATGCTGCTGCCATTTTTTCCCAATACTCCATGGTCAACCAAGCTAACCACATCTGCTTTGTCTATTTTGGCCATGATGTCAAGACCCTTAAAATTGCATGTCTTGATTTGGGACTGTGCCTGGTGGTGAAATCCTATACAGCTTTATTTCTTTTGTTTGCAGTTTATGGTCTTTTCTAGGAGAGGCACTGGAGCTGAGTAGGGGGAAGTTACATCAGATCCATGGTTTTCTTGATTAGATTATAGGCTCCGAAATAAACTGCCCCTTATGAAATATAGCTAAATGCTGGCAAATAGTAGGTAGTCTTTCTTCTCCAATCTCTTGAAAAATAAGAACTGAAATCTTTAGCAACTTTATTTCCAGAGAGCACACATGGTACAAATTAAATTAAGCCATCCTTTAATTTATATGAATAATCAAGAAATGGCAACTGACATTGTTCATAGATCAATTTAAATCTGTTAACATATGTAAACTTTGGGCAACAAAAGTATATCTGCTTCATGAACATACTGTCATCCTCTTTCTGATTTCAAACCCTTGCAGGATTTTGCTCCCTATGTTGTAGTCAAACACGATCAAAAGTAGATGGCCTGGAAGGCTTAGGATAATGGGGCAGGTAATGAAGGTTTCCTGAAAATACTCCATTCAACACAGTTAAGTTCAAGGAGGTGGAAATTACTTTAACTTGTAATAGCTCATTAAATTAACTCTCCAATTATAGAGGCGTCTGCAATGTGATTCTTAATTAAAGCTAGTGATTAATTCATGGTACTGATAGCAGAATGATGGCCCTTGTTTTCCTTTTTAATGAAGTTACAGATATATGCAATGGTACTTGTTTATGACCATCTTGGGGAGGATTTCTGGGCAAGGTGGTCACTATATTTGGCAACAAATGAAGTGACTTCTGATCTTGATACTCTATAAAATCTCAAAGTAACTTTCCTTTTAGAAGTCTGGTAGTATAACACTGATGGAAAATCAAAAGCAGCCATTCTTATATCCTGTGTGAAAAAAATATATCTGCAGTAAGTCCCACCTGAAAATAAAGATAATGATATTTACATCATAGAATTTGTGTGAAGATTAAGTGACATAATTTTAAATGAGTTTAAATGATGAATTGAGATAAATGAGTTCCTATAAGGCAAGTTCTCCATTCATATTAGCTAATAAAAACAATCATAATAATAATATAAATATTTATTAGCTAATGATTAATTATTCTGAAGGAAGCTTAATCCAGACAATGAACTTGAATTTGGTCTTAAAGACTGGGTAGCTGAAAAGTATGTTGGTAGGCTCAGATGGTTCAAGTTCCAGATATTCCTCTTATAAACTGTGTGTCCTTGGACAAGATACTCAAAACTTTCAGAGCCTCAGTTGTTTAAACTCGAACTAACCTTTCTCTGACTTCAAAGCTGGAATGTTTTTACTTGCTATATTAATAATATTTTAACATTTTTTCAAGTATAAACGTTTTAAATAAAATCTTTTATCAGGAATAGATTTGTGGCCGGGTGCAGTGGCTCACGCCTGTAATCCCAGCACTTTGGGAGGCCAAGGTGGGCGGATCGCGAGGTCAGGAGATTGAGACCATCCTGGCTAACATGGTGAAACCCCGTCTCTACTAAAAATACAAAAAAAAAAAAAAAAATTGTGGGGCATGGTGGCGGGTGCCTGTAGTCCCAGCTACTTGGGAGGCTGAGGGAGGAGAATGGCGTGAACCGGGAGGCGGAGCTTACAGTGAGCCAAGATTGCACCACGGCACTCCAGCCTGGGTGACAGAGCAAGACTCCATCTCAAAAAATAAATCAATGAATAAATAAATAAATAAAAGAATAGATTTGTTTCTTGAGTGATTACCTCTGTCAGTTTCTAGCCAAAAACAGATGGCAGACGCAAAGTAAGAAGATTCCAGGAGAGTTTGTTTACAAAAAGACTGTTTGTAAAGGTGTGTGTGCGGTGGGGGATGGAGCATAATGGAATCACAAGATACCATGCAGCCACCTGAGGCTACGGGCTGTGGATAAAGTGTGAAGTGTCCCTACACCTAGATCTGGAAGGGTCAGAAGAAGGAGCAGTTCCTGGGCCTGAACAAAAAATGGTGTGGAGAAGGTCACTGGGAGAGGCACACTGACCCTAGATGAAAGGACATGTCCAACCCAGGGCCACCTCACAGGGAGGAGACCAGAAGACTACACACCTTCTCTCTCTCTCTCTCTCTCTCTCTCTCTCTCTCTCGTCCCACCCTCTGATATCCTGCCAACGCTCTCACTGGCCAAAACCCAGTGGGAGGCCAGAGGGCAGGGTAGTCTTGTTTATGTGGTCCTCGTAGGTCAGCCTAGCAAGGCACAGAGTACAATGGAGAGTGGATCTGGAAGGGCAAGTAGAAGGCATCCAGCACAACACACATGAAAAATGCACTGACAGTAATTACAGACAGTTGGCTTTTTCTGTAAATAAAGATGTAATTTAGGAACACAGTTTCTCTTCAGATGTGAAGAAAGTGACTTCAAATTTGGCTTTCTTGGACCTCTCTCTGGCCACTGTGCGGCATTGAGCCTGCCTTTGGCAACTGCATCTGTTGCTGCTAGTGGAAGAGCTGTGCTCCTGTAGCGAGTCTCAGCAGGGATAGGGCAGTCGGTCACTTCATAGAAGCAAGGTCCTTCTTACACCTTGCTGAAAAAGGCAGCTTCTTTGCAAGGTCACTAGGGAAACATCTAGCTATTCTCAGCATTTCCAAGGAAAAGGCAAGTATCCATCCATTTGGGGAGGTGCCGTGGGAGTTTGATACAAAGGATTTCTTGGTATCTTTCAAAACAAAATAAACAAGAAAACTAAAAGAAAATGGAAGGAGGAATATTAACCTGTGAATATTGAAGGGTCCTGGAAGGGTCTGGGGTAGGAGGAAGAATAAAGAAAAAAAAAGGAACAAAACTCAAAAGTTACTAGTGTTCAGATTGGTTATCCAGATTTTAGTACATTTTGGAAGATATTGGCATGCCATAAACAGTATTTATAATTTCATATATTTACAAATCTTTCTCTCCCACTAAATAGCTATAAGCCATTTCTGATAATAAATTAATTATATTTTAGTTTCTTATAAATGTACAGTGTTCCAGATTGAATTGTTTCTTCCTGTTTCTTTTTCTTCTTTTGATAGTATGCATTAATGCTGTGCTAAGTTATATTCTGAACTCTTTTTTATTGATACATAATAATTGTACAAATTTGTGGGGTTATATGTGATACTTTGATACATGCATACAATGTGCAATAATCAAATCAAGGTAATTGGGATATCTATCACCTCAAACATTTATTATTTATTTGCATTGGGAGCATTCCAAATCTTCTCTACTAGCTATTTTGAAATACACGATAAATTATTGTTGACTATAGACACCTTCCTGTGCTGTTAAACACCTTATTTCTTGTAACTGTATTTTTGAAACCAATTAACCAACTTCTTTTCATTCCACTGTGCCCCCAACCCTTTCCACACTCTGGTAATCACCATTTTACCCTCTACCTCCATGAGATCAGCTTTTTTTTTAGGTCCCACAATGTATGAGAGCATGTGATATTTATCTTTCTGTGCCTGGCTTATTTCACTTAACATAATGTCCTACAGTTCCCTCGACGTTGCTGCAAATGACAGGATTTCATTATTTTATATGGATGAATAATATTTCATTGTATATATATATATATATATATTTCTACATTTTCTTTATGCATTCATGTGTTGATAGACGCTTAAGTTGATTCCATATCTTGGTTATTGCGAATAGTGCTGCAATAGACACAGGAGTGCAAATACTATACTCTGAACTCTTATGTAGGTACAACCTTCAGCATATTTGCTGTCCCAGAGAATCTTTTATACTGTGTTCAGTTTCTCTCTTTCTAAAAGTTCATTACCATAGTCTTTGTAGTTGTAGTCCACCTACCTGCTTTTAGTTTTAGTTTTTGTTTTTTTTAACTTTTAGCCATGTTGATACACAAATCTTCTGTATACAGTATTCAGAAAGCAGGTATTATAGAATCTTCTCCTTCATCTGCTAATTCTTCTAGCAGAGGCTAATTGTTGTACCTGGGAGTTCCACTATAAAGAAGAAAGGGCAGTCCTGTTATATTGAATTCACAAACTATGGGTAGGAAGTTGAATGTGAGGCAGTAAGTGACTCATCCTAATTATATATTAAGTTCAAGGTCCAGCGAGGACCACAACCTGGAGTCTCAGCACAATGCTTTTTAAAAATTATTATTTATATTTTTCTTAGCATATTTTTCACCTAAGTGGTGAAATTGATGATAACCAAGTTATAGTTTCCTTGCATGAGTCTTCTGTTCTTACCAAATTCATTTCTCATTCCCCATGCCTTCTCTATGTTTTCTATATTCTCGCCTGGAATTCCCTTCTCTCAAAAGTTTTGCAAATTCTGTGAAATTTAAGTCCTACATGTTTAGTGAAACCTGCCTTCACTTTCTTGGTGAAGGAGATTTTTCTCAATTTTGAATACCTGCAGTGGTTAGCTATATATCACTTCCTTTCACTTAATCATATATAGTACCTAATTAGGACTTTATGATATTTTTAAAATTTGTGTTAATTTGTTTAAGGGTTTTCTAATGTATATGTATAAAGTAATTATATATATATTATACCTTCTTGTATTTCTTATTATCCCCTGGCATATACTCATACTGAGAGAATATTAGTCATTAACAAAGCATGGCGGAAAGAGGACCAAGGCATCTGCAGTCAACATGGTGGGTGAAACACATGAATCATCTCCCCCAACTCAACTAAATTGACAGTAAAGAAGTGACAAAGATTTAAACTCATCCAACAGAGAAACAAGATGTGAAGTGTAAAAGAGATTTCATCAAAATTTAAAAGACATTATGACTTAGTAAAGGAGGGAAAGCCAAAAAATTAAGTGCACTTGTAGGACGTGGGATGAAAGGAAACAAGTGGATTCTTGCTGATGAACCTAAGAAAAACTCAGGAATTGGGTCAGCGCGGTGGTTCACGCCTGTAATCCCAGCCCTTTGGGAGGTCGAGATGGGCAGATCACGAGGTCAGGAGATCGAGACCATCCTGGTTAACACGGTGAAACCCCTTCTGTACTGAAAATACAAAAAAATTAGCCAGGTGTGGTGGCGGGCGCCTGTAGTCCCAGCTACTGGGGAGGCTGAGGCGGGAGAATGGCGTGAACCCGGGAGGCGGAGCTTGCAGTGAGCCGAGATCCCGCCACTGCACTCCAGCCTGGGCGACAGAGCGAGACTCCGTCTCAAAAAAAAAAAAAAAAAAAAGAAAAACTCAGGAAGTGGACGCAAGATACTCTGGAAGTGGGTATGAGTGGAGCTGAAAATTGGGTTCTATAAAGGAAGAATTAGATTTCCTGATTCCTCCTCAAATCAGTTCAGCTGTGACTCCTCCATCTCCTCTGGCAGAAAGTTGAAATAAAGCATACCTTTTAAAGAGGTTTAACCAGCAGGGTTTGGGATTAAATAACCCAAGACGCATATGAGAATATGTGTGAGAAACAGTATTGAAAGTTGAGGGATTAATGACGATCTGCGGCCTGAGGAGTGTGAACCTGAGTTTCCTTTCCTTACATGGCGGATAGAACACTTGCAGCCAGGCAGGCAATAGAGGGATTTATCTGGAAAATCTGACTGGCTTAGGAAAAAAAAACCTACAGGCACTAACAGTTGGCATACCCAGTAAATATTCCTGGTCATACTACAGTAAGGCCAAGCAGTTATCAAACTCTGACCAAACATATGAATTACCCAAAATGCTTTTTATCAGCTCTTTAGTGCCTTGTTTAAATATAAACAGAGAATGAAGGCTTACCAGATTCTTCTAATATAAAAAAGAGACTAAATCCAACAAATATTTTTTGAAAAGAGAATTTAGCAAGTAGAAACTTTCAGGAAAAAAAATCCTCAGAAAAATAAAGAAGAAAATGCATTATGAGAACTTTAAGGAACAAGGAAACTTGTTTGTAAGTTAAAGTATGAGAGCAGAAGTAAAAACATTCAAAATAAGGATTGGAAGATAAAGTTGAAGAAACCTAAAAGAAGTGATAAAAAATGAGAAGGAAAAGATAAAATGATTAGAGTATTCATCCACAAGATCTAGCCTCAACCAAAATAAATGTCACAAGAAGAGAACAGAAAATGAAGAAGAAGGGATTATCAAAGAAATAATATGAGAGAACTTTCCACAACTGAAAGATACAAGTCTCTAGGTTGAAAGGGTCTACCAAGTTCCCAGAACAGTAAATTTTTTTTCAACTGTTTTTATTTTTATTTTTTAAATTTATTATTATTTTATTTTAAGTTCTGGGATACAAGTGCAGAATGTGTAGGTTTGTCACATAGATATATGTGTGCCATAGTGATTTGCTGCACCTATCAACCAGTCATCTAGGTTTTAAGCCCCATATGTGTTAGGTATTTGTCCTAATGCTCTTCCTCCCCTCGCCCCCCACCCACCGACTGACCCTGATATGTGACGTTCCCCTCCCTGTGTTCATGTGTTCCCACTGTTCAATTCCCACTTATGAGTGAGAACATGTGGTGTTTGGTTTTCTGTTCCTGTGTTAGTTTGCTAAGGATGATGGCTTCCAGCTTCATCCATGTCCCTGCAAAGGAAATGATCTCATTCCTTTTTATGGCTGCATAGTATTCCGTGGTGTATGTATACCACATTTGCTTTATCCAGTCTGTCATTCATGGGCATTTGGGTTGGTTCCACGTCTTTGCTATTGTAAATAGTGCTGCAATAAACATACATGCATGTGTCTTTATAGTAGAATGATTAGAATGGTTTATATTCCTTTGGGTACATAACTAGTAATGAGATTGCTGCATCAAATGGTATTTCTGGTTCTAGATCCTTGAGGAATTGCCACACTGTCATCCACAGTGGTTGAACTAATTTACATCCCCACCAACCATATAATAGCATTCCTGTTTCTCCACAGCCTTGCCAGTATCTATTGTTTTTTGACTTTTTAATAATTTCCATTCTGACTGGGGTGAGATGGTATCTCATTGTGGTTTTGATTCTCATTTCTCTAATGATCAGTGATGTTGAGCTTTTTTTCATGTCTGTTGGTCTAATAAATGTTTTATTTTTAGAGCTGTTCATATCCTTTGCCCACTTTTTGATGGTGCTTTTTTTTCTTGTAAATTTGTTTAAGTTCCTTGTAAATTCCAGATATTAGACCTTTGTCAGATGGGTAAATTGCAAAAAATGTTCTCCCATTCTGTAGGTTGCCTGTTCACTCTGATGATAGTTTCTTTTGCTGTGCGAAAGCTCTTTAGTTTAATTACATCCCATTTGTCAATTTGACTTTTGTTGCAATTGCTTTTGGCATTTTCTCATGAAGTCTTTGTCCTTGCCTATGTCCTGCATGGTATTGCCTAGGTTTTCTTCTAGGGTTTTTATGGTTTTAGGTCTTATGTTTAAGTCTTTAATCCATCTTGAGTTAATTTTTTTATATGATATAAGGAAGGGGTCCAGTTTCAGTTTTCTGCATATGGCTAGCCACTTTTCCCAGCACCATTTATTAATAGGGAATTCTTTCCCCCTTGCTTGTTTTTGTCCAGCTTGTCAAAGATCACATGGTTGTAGATGTGTGGTGTTATTTCTGAGGTCTTTGTTCTGTTCCATTGGTCTCTATATCTGTTTTGGTTACTATGCTGTTTTGGTTACTGTGGCCTTGTAGTATAGTTTGAAGTCAGGTAGCATGATGCGTCTAGCTTTGTTCGTTTTGCTTAGGATTATCTTGGCTATAGGGGCTCTTTTATGGTTCCCTGTGAAATTTAAAGTAGTTTTTTCTAATTCTGTGAATAATATCTTGATGAGAATAGCATTGAAGCTATAAATTACTTTGGGCAGCATGGCCATTTTCAAGATACTGATTCTTTTTATTCATGAGGATGGAATGTTTTTCCATTTGTTTGTGTTTTCTCTTATTTCCTTGAGCAGTGGTTTGTAGTTCTCCTTGAAGAGGTCCTTAACATCCCTTGTTAGCTGTATTCCTAGGTGTTTTATTCTCTTTGTAGCAATTGTGAATGAGAGTTCATTCATGATTTGGCTCTCTGCTTGTCTGTTGTTGGTGTATAGGAATGCTTGTGATTTTTGCACATCAATTTTGTATCTTGAGACTGCTGAAGTTGCGTATCAGCTTAAGGAGTTTTGGGGCTGAGATGATGGGGTTTTCTAAATATAGAATGTCACCTGCCATCAGAGACAATTTGGCTTCCTCTCCTCCTATTTGAATACCCTTTATTTCTTTCTCTTGCCTGATTGCCCTGGCCAGAACTTCCAATACTACGTTGAATAGGAGTAGTGAGAGAGGACATCCTTGTCTTGCACCAGTTTTCAAAGGGAATGCCTCCAGTTTTTCCCCATTTAGTATGATATTGGCTGTGGGTGTGTCATAAATAGCTCTTATTATTTTGAGATACATACCATCAGTACCTAGTTTATTGAGAGTTTTTAACATGAAGGGATGTTGAATTTTATCAGAGGCCTTTTCTGCATCTATTGAGATGACCATGTGGTTTTTGTCATTGGTTCTGTTATGTGATGGATTACATTTATTGATTTGCTATGTTGAACCAGCCTTGTATCCCAGGGATGATGCTGACTTGATCATGGTGGATAAGCTTTTTGATGTGTTGCTGGATTTGGTTTGCCAGTATTTTATTGAGGATGTTTGCATAGATGTTCATCAGGGATATTGGCCTGAAGATTTCTTTTTTTGTTCTGCCTCTGCCAGGTTTTGGTATCAGGATGATGCTGGCCTCATAAAATGAGTTAGGAAGGAGCCTCCTTTTCAATTGTTTGGAATAATTTCACAAGGAATGGTACCAGCGACTCTTTGTATCTTTGGTAGAATTCAGCAGTGACTCTGTCTGGTCCTGGGCTCTTTTTGGTTGGTAGGCTATTACTGCCTTAATTTCAGAACTTGTTATTGCTCTATTCAGGAATTCAGCTTCTTCCTGGTTTAGTCTTGGGTGGGTGTATGTGTCCAGGAATTTATCCATTTCTTCTGGGTTTTCTAGTTTATTTGCGTAGAGGTGTTTATAGTATTCTCTAATGGTAGTTTGTATTTCTCTGGGGTCAGTAGTGACCACTTTGTCATTTTTTATTGTGTCTATTTGATTCTTGTCTCTTTTCTTCTTTATTAATCTAACTAGCAGTCTATCTATTTTGTTAATCTTTTCAAAAAACCAGCTTCTGGTTTCATAGACTTATTTATTTATTTAATTTTTTTTGATGGAGTCTCACTCTGTCACCAGGCTGGAGTGCAGTGGCACGATCTCAGCTCACTGCAACCTCTGACACCCTGGTTCAAGTGATTTTCCTGCCTCAGCCTCCCAAGTAGCTGGGATTACAGGCACGCACCACCATGCCCAGATAATTTTTGTATTTTTAGTAGAGACAGAGTTTCACCATGTTGGCCAGGATGGTCTCGATCTCCTGACCTCATGATCTGCCTGCCTCTGCCTCCCAAAGCGCTGGGATTACAGGTGTGAGCCAAAGCGCCCAGCCCCAAACTCTTCTTACACATCAGAATCAGGCCAGATTCACTGATTTCATGAGTGGTTTTTCATGTCTCTATCTCCTTCAGTTATGCTCCGATATTAGTTATTTCTTGTCTTCTGCTAGCTTTTGGATTTGTTTGCTCTTTCTTCTATAGCTCTTTTAATTGTGATGTTAGGGTGTCAGTTTGAAATCTTTCTAGCTTTCTGATATGGGCATTTAGTGCTATAAATTTCCCTCTGAACACTGCTTTAGCTGTGTCCCAGAGATTCTGGTACATTGTCTCTCTGTTCTCATTGGTTGCAAATAACTTCTTGATTTCTGACTTAATTTCATTATTTACCCAGTAGTCATTCAGGAGCAGGCTGTTCAATTTCCATGTAGTTGTGTGGTTTTGAGTGAGTTTCTAATTTGATGCACTGTTCTGATTGCACTGAGTTCTAATTTGATTGCACTGTTGTCCGAGAGACTGTTTGTTATGATTTCTGTTCTTTTGCATTGGCTGAGGAATGTTTTACTTTCAATTATGTGGTCAATTTTAGAATAAGTGCCATGTAGCTACTCAGAAGAATGTATATTCTGTTGAAGGTATATTTTATTGTGGAGAGTTCTGTAGATGTCCATTAGATCCTCTTGATCCAGAGCTGAGTTTAAGTCCTGAATATCCTTGTTAATTTTCTGTCTCGTTGATCTGTCTAATATTGACAGTGGGGTGGTAAAGTCTCCCATTATTATTGTGTGTGATTCTAAATCTTTTTGTAGGTCTCTAATAACTTGTTTTTTGAATCTTAGTGCTCCTGTATTGAGTGCACATATATTTAGGATAGTTAGCTCTTCTTGTTTAATTGATCCCTTTACCATTATGTAATGCCCTTCTTTGTCTTTTTTTATCTTTGTTGGTTTAAAGTCTCTTTTTTCAGAGGCTAGGATTGCAACCACTGCCTTTTTTTTCTTTTTGCTTTCCATTTGCTTGGTAAGTTTTTTTTCCCATCCCTTTATTTTGAGCTTAAATGTGTCTTTGCATGTGAGCTGGGTCTCCTGAATACAGCACACTGATGGGTCTTGACTGTTTACCCAATTTACCAGTCTGTGTCTTTTAATTGGGGCATTTAGCCCATTTACATTTAAGGTTAATATTGTTATGTATGAATCTGATCTTGTCATCATGATGACATCTGGTTATTTTGCACGCTAGTTGATGCATTTTCTTCGTAGTGTCATTGGTCTTTATATTTTGGTGTGTTTCTGCAGTGGCTGGTAGCAGCTTTTTCTTTCCATATTTAGTGCTTCTTTCAGGAGCTCTTGCAAGGCAGGTCTGGTGGTGACATAATCCCTCTGCATTTGCTTGTCTGGAAAGGATTTTATTTCTCCTACACTTATGAAGCTTAGTTTGGCTGGATATAAAATTCTGGGTTGAAAATTCTTTTCTTATGACCAGTTAGTGGGTGCAGTGCACCAGCATGGCACATGTATACATATGTAACTAACCTGCACAATGTGCACATGTACCCTAAAACTTGAAGTATAATTAAAAAAAAAAAAGAAAAAAGAAAATTCTTTTCTTTAAGAATGTTAAATATTAGCCTCCACTCTCTTCTGGTTTGTAGTGTTTCGCTGAGAGGTCCACTGTCAGTCTGATGGGCTTCCCCTGGTAGGTGATCTGGCCCTTCTCTGTGGCTGCCCTTACCATTTATTCCTTCATTTCGACTTTGGAGAATGTGACAATTATGTGTCTTGGAGTTGATCTTCTCATGGAGTATCTTAGTGGTGTTTTCTGTGTTTCCTGAATTTGAATGTTGGCCTGTCTTGCTAGGTTGGAGATGTTCTCCTGGATAATATCCTGAAGTGTGTTTTCCAATTTGGTTCCATTCTCCCTGTCTCTTTCAGGTACTCCATTCAATCATAGGTTTGGTCTTTTTACATAGTCCCATATTTCTCAAAGGTTTTAGAACTGTAAATTTTTTTAAAAACCCATATCATTGTAACATTTCTGAACTTTAGTGTCAAATAGGAAATCTAGACTTTCCGGTGAAAAGGGAACAAAAGTCACAGAAAGGATTGAAGGTTAGATTATTTTAAGACTTCTCAATAGCAACATTGTAAACCAGAAATCAATGGTGCAATCCTTTCAAATTTCTGCATAAAACCTTTTTCCAGATTAGATATCTATACCCAACCAAACTATCAATCAAGTATGTAGATAGAGAAAAACATTTTAGACCTGCATGTGTCATTTACCTACCATGCAACCTCTCTGAGAAACTTACTGGAATAAAGGCTGCATTAAAAATAGGTAATACAACTAATAAAAAGAACACATGAGATTCAGAAAAAAAAATGGGATTCAACACAGAAGAAAAGTAAAGGGCATTTTCAGAATGATGGTGATGGAAAGTCTCAGGATGGCAGTTTTGTAGTAGGCCTCAAGAGGAAATGGTTCAGATTGGAGCTAGAGGGAAGAGGGCTTCAAAAGGGGTTGATTCAAGGGAGAAGGAGGAAGGAATTTACGGACTATGTGATGGGTAATAACAACTTGATTGAATTGAAATGGGTAATAACAACTTGATTGAATTGAAGGATGCAAAGCATTGATCCTGGGTGTGTCTGTGAGGGTGTTGCCAAAGGGGATTAACATTTGAGTCAGTGGGCTGGGGAAGGCAGACTCAACCTTAATCTGGTGGGCACAATCTAATTAGCTGCCAGCGAATATAAACAGCAGAAAAAAATGAAAAGGCAAGACGGGCATAGCATCGCAGCCCACACCTTTCTCCCATGCTGGATGTTTCCTGCCCTCGAACATGGGACTCCAAGTTCTTCAGTTTTGAGACTCAGACGCTCTCCTTGCTCCTCAAGCTTGCAGACAGCCTATTGTGGGACCTTGTCATCATGTAAATTAATACTTAATATATTTTATGTAATATATATATATATATATATATATTCTGTCCCTCTAGGGAACCCTGACTAATACAGACTACATGGTGTATTTGATTAATTGAAAAAGTTTCATAACTAACAGAAAGTTGGGCATGGATTAGTGATAGGTACACAGAAAATCAAAGTAATGACAATCATTAGCTCAAGAAAAAACAGAAGTTTTATATGAAAGAAAATGCAATCAAAGTACATTATGTGTCTTATCTATGAATTATATTCATACAGTTAGAATAACATAAATACCAACAAGTGATTTAATAAAAAACTCAATATTGGGAAAATGGGAAATATATGTATGTACTTGGTGAGGAGTTTATGTAAGAGTATTAAATTCCATGTTGTCCCATAAGAAGGCAATAGATCAAATACAGAGGAGAAAAACTAAATTAAGAAATAACAGTATAAGAGGGCCAAGCATGGTGGCTCAAACGCTTATAATCCCAGCACTTTGGGAGGCCAAAGTGGGTGGATCATTTGAGGTCACGAGTTTGAAACCAGCCTGACCAACATAGTGAAACCCTGTCTCTGCTAAAAATACAAAAACTAGCTGGGTGTGGTGGTGCATGCCTATAATCCCAGGGAGGCTGAGGCAAGAGAATCACTTGAACCTGGAGACGGAGTTTGCAGTGAGCCAAGGGAGTGCCACTGCACTCTGTCCTGGGTGACAGAGCGAGACTCCATCTCAAAATAAATAAATAAATAAATGAATAAATAAATAAATCAAAAGAAAGAGAGAAAGAAATAACAGTAGAAGAGAATTATCTAGAAATATGAGGTAAGAAACAGAAGAAATAGTTAAAAGGGTAGAAAGTGGTTGCCTCTGGGCAGAAATGAGACAGGAGACTGCTATTCTTTATTATAAGATTTTTGGTACCATTTGACCTTTTATATGACCTGATACATGCACATATGTTTTTTAGAAAATGGAATCTGAATATTCAATCAAAGTTTTAAAAAGAAAAAAAATGAAGAAAATTTTAAAAGGAAAAAAATGAAAAAAATGAAGGCCACACACACACACACACACACACACACACACACATCTATAAGGAGTGGGAAAGAGACCAGAGGGCAGTTTTAGTGGATGGCTGAAGGAAAGTATGAATCTCCTCGTCTTCCACTGCATCGTCACGAGTTCAAGTTCATTGGTGCGTACCAGTTCATCAAAGTTTAAGAATACTGGGTCCATATCTGATGTAAACTGCAGCATAAGGAAAGTGAGCGTAGGGAGGCCTGAATGGAAAGGGGGAGGTTCTTACTGAAAGGCTTATTCATTTTCATACTCAGGCTTTGGCACTAGGTAGGGTTGCGGTTAAATGGCATCTCCAGGGAACATGATAACAATGCTGGTTACTGCTACGAATCAGATTTCATGTGATGGGTGTGTGGCAAAAATGTAAAAGATAACAATGATAATAGTCTGTTATAAACTACAGAGTAAAAATCACCCTCCTGCTCATTATTCTAGACTTGCTGAGTTCTCCAAATGACCCCTGAATGCAATTAGGAGCTATAACAGTTTTTCGTCTTCTAGATATTGCTTTACTGCATCTGAAGCTATGAAAATTCTATATTATTTCTGCTCAAGCTGAAAAACTCCATCAGAGTTTGTCATGAGGGGCCTAGTCCTGAGATGGGATTGCAATATGAATGGCACACCTTTGGTAGAATCTTGTTCATTTTTTGTATTTAAACTTACCAGATTTTCAGAATTGGAATTCTTCTGTTAAGTAATTCTGGGATATGATCAGCTAGTATGTATGTGTATGTATGTATATATATTTATGTATACATACACAAAGAGAGAGAAAGAAGGAGAAAGTCGAATTGACTATTAATTTTTCTTTCTTTTGTATGATATTGGTAATTTATCATTTAAAGAATATAAACAAGTCCTTTAAGGAAAATCATACAGCATGTTACACAGGCTTATTGGTACAGGATTCTTTTTTTTTTTTTTTTTTTGAGATGGAGTCTCACTCTGTCACCCAGGCTGGAGTGCAATGGCGTGATCTCGACTCACTGCAACCTCTGCCTCCCAGGTTCAAGCGAGTCTCCTGCCGCAGCTTCCCAAGTAGCTGGGACTACAGGTGCCTGCCACCATGGCCAGCTAATTTTTGTATTTTTAGTAGAGATGGGGTTTCACCATGTTAGCCAGGATTGCCTTGATCTCCTGACCTCATGATCCGCCTGCCTTGGCCTCCTAAAGTGCTGAGATAACAAGTGTGAGCCACCGTGCCCAGCCCTGGTATAGGATTCTTTTTTTTTTTTTTTTTTGAGATGGAGTCTCGCTCTGCCACTCAGGCTGGAGGGCAGTGGCACTATCTTGGCTCACTGCAAGCTCCGCCATTCTCCCGGGTTCACGCCATTCTCCCGGGTTCACACCATTCTCCCGCCTCAGCCTCCCGAGTAGCTGGGAGTACAGGCGCCCGCCACCACACCTGGCTAATTTTTGTTTCTTTTGTATTTTTAGTGAAGACAGGGTTTCACCATGTTAGACAGGATAGTCTCGATCTCCTGACCTTGTGATCTGCCCGCCTCAGCCTCCCAAAGTACTGAGATTACAGGTGTGAGCCACGGCACCCAGCCTGGTATAGGATTCTTAATGAGGGATTATCACTTGGGTAATAAACCAGTGTGAGAGATTCTGAGATGGAGTCTTGCTGTGTCACCCAGGCTGGAGTGCAGTGGCATGATCTCAGCTCACTGCAACCTCCACCTTCCCCCCACACCTGGCTTCAAGTGATTCTCCTGCCTCAGCCTCCCAAGTAGCTGGGATTACAGGTGTGCACCACCATGCCCAGCTAATTTTTGTAATTTTAGTAGAGATGGGGTTTCATCATGTTGGCCAGGCTGTTCTTGAACTCCTGACCTCAAGCCTCAAGTGATCCACCTGCCTCAGCCTCCCAAAGTGTTGGTATTACAGGCGTGAGCCACCACATCTGGCTGTCTTGTCCTTTCATTGGTTAAATTACTTTTTATTAAAGATAAAGTTTAAAATTATTTAGTTCTGTTTGTGTCACATAGTGATTGTAAAGGATCAATAATAAATGTGAAAAATACTTTGAGATCATGAGGAAAATTTATAATTAAATTGAATAAAAAATAAGTCATATGAACATATTTTTAAAATTTTTCAGGCATCTGTCTTTCTTTTTTTTTTTTTTTTTTTTGAGACGGAGTTTTGCTCTTGTTGCCCAGGCTGGAGTGTAATGGCATGATCTTGGCTCACCGCAACCTCTGCCTCCCAGGTTCAAGCGATTCTCCTGCCTCAGCCTCCAGAGTAGCTGGGATTACAGGCATGCCCCGGCTAATTTTGTATTTTTAGTAGAGACGGGGTTTCTGCATGTTGGTCAGGCTGGTCGCAAACTCCTAACCTCAGGTGATCTGCCCCCTTGGCCTCCCAAAGTGCTGGGATTACAGGCGTGAGTCACCGTGCCCAGCCCAGCATCTTTCTTTCTCTCTCTCCCTCTCTCTTTTTTTTTTTTTTTGGCACATTTGATTCAACTGAAGAAAAGAAGGAAAAACATACATCTATTGGTCACTTATTATGTGACAGGTATGTGTGCTCAATAAGTTGTATACATTACAATGGAACATATGACTAGCCTTGCTTTTTCTTGGTAGTCATAGTATTTCTTTGGGTGAGAGGCCATTTGTAAGATAATATTTCTAGTAGTGAAATCCCTAATTGACTTTTGTAAGTATCTTCAATAGCAAAGTATTGAAGTATTGAAAATGTATTCAAAGTATTGAAAACATATTCAAGAAAAGAAAGTATGGTTGGCCTGGTGGATGTCAAACTTCCCTGATTTATTATCAGTCTTGTAAAATAGGCACCCACTTTCCTTTTAGAGCGGAAACTTGTGATAGAGATATCTTCTTTCCTATCTGATTGATCCAGCCCAGTTCAAAAGCCATACTCAGCAGTTCTAATGGGAAAGGATGTGATGTCGAAGGTGTGGCTGGCCTGCTGAGCAACTGCTTTTTGATAATGTTGGTGGTGGTGGTCAAAAGCTTATTGATTTGCATCAGAGGAAATGAGTTAGCAGGCTTCAAGATGCTCTCTTTCTATGTTTAATGCTCTTCCACTATCACTCTTGCATGAATTCCCAGAGCAGAACTTAATAAGGCCTAGGGCACTATCATGGGGATTATTTTGAATGCGCATTGGAATTTAAGTGACACACAAAAAAATGCCCCATTTAGCAGGAGTATGTTTGAATGCCCTGGAGGTTAATTTTGTTGGTGAATATAAGGTAAATTAATTCACTTTTAATATTCCAATTCCTTTAGAGACTTCCATAATTGGCACCCAAACAGTTTAAAAGAGTGAATAAAGCTACCAACAGCAAGCAATTTACCCCATGAATTCTAATCTCCAGAGTTCCAAAGCACTAAGCACAAAATCAAACAAGACATAGACCTGGCTGATCTCTGCGTTGAATAAATATTTCTCCAAAAGGCACTGTGCAAGTCAGATGGCCTTTTTTCTACATAGTTATCATGACAGCAGATGTTAAAACCTCCGAAGAATTAGAACGTCAGAGCTGGAAAGGGCCTTAGAGTTTGGCATAGGGCAAGGAAAGCCCCAAAGCAGTGGAGAAGGGAGTAAAGTTACTCATTGCTAGTTAGTGGTGGAGCCTGAGTCTCCTGAACCTTCTCAGTCTAGCAGACCAAAAAAGAGTCTTTTTATTGTTTATATGTATATATTTGTTTTTTCCCCCAAGAAAGAGCACTAAAGGATATTTTATAAGTTCTCATGTTAGTGGAAAACAACTAGGGAAAGAATTCCCAAAGGTTTAGGCTAATAGTTTTTCCATTTGTCAATTTGTTGACCTTTACATTTAAAAAATATTTTTTCAGGAAGACGGATAATTAATATTTTCCCAGCCAAAAAGGACTCTCTTTTCTAGGCGACTTGCCTCCTCCCCTCTGGGAGTGGAGCCCAAGATGTTGATGTTTATCGTATAAGACCCTGACCCTATGTACCTCAACTGACTCAGAGAGAGAGAGCACACCCAGGATGGGCCAATCCAATTGTCTTTCGGAAGCTTGCCACTGAACTTCTGGTCAGACTGTGCTGTTTGAGAGGTGGTCTTTTGTAGCTTGGGCTGGGAGAAGCAAGAAAGTGCTTCTGTTGAGAGTTAAAAGGAGGCAAATCCTCAGAAACAGAGAAGGGAGGGACAGGGAGGGAGAGATAGAAACACACAGGGAAAGAGAGAGACAGAATGAAGCGGGGGAGAGAGAGAGAGAAAGAAAATGAATTGCTGCCTTAGTTCTGGAGAATTTTCTCCTGTGTCGCCCTGCTCCTTCTAGGCCTGTTCTCCCTGCTCTTGGGATCCATGAGATTGCCTTAATAACCCCTGTTTTCACTAAGATGGTTCAAGTAGGCTCCTGTTAATTGCAACCAACGAGACTTGTTAAAACAAAAACTGCTGTAAGATATTTGTTAACTTCCTAGCAGATAGTTCAAGGCTACAGTTTTTAAGGGTACCAGAATTTCAAGTGAATTTCACTCTGAGGCTTTGGTCAGCATGTCGATTTCTAATAAGTGACGGTAGCTTTTCTTGGTGAAAGGACGTCAGATTCATCTTTTAGATCTTAGACTGTAATTTTAATGCCTGGAATCAACATTCAGCTTTTCTGCAATGAATTTCATAAAAAATGTGATTAGCCTTTTAGACTATTATATTTTCACTCTGTGGAAGATTATTTAGGTTAGTCTGACCCCAAGTCTAATTGTTCTAAACCAAAACATTTGTTTGGTGACAATGTCTTTGTAGTTCACTTTTAGGGGTGGTATTTGGCTTTTGTAAAAGTGATGTTACTCTGGTTTTGGTGACAACAAAAACATTTGGAGATTGGGTTAGGGTATAATGAGTAGATCAATATTGAGAGTGGAGTTCATTTTCAGTTAGAGGGGCTAAGAAATTGGTATTTTTTAGGTATCCTAGAGAAAGTAAAGTGACCATTCAAATGAAGGCAAAGCATTTGCTATATTGTGGGCTCTAAAGAGTATTTGTGGGTGGATATTTCCTTGTTTTCTGAGGCTACTGTCATTATATTTTCCACATTGGTTTCCAAGATTTTCATCAGAAAAACAGAGCTGGCTATTCTAGGTCAGGTAAACTAGCCACGAATGTCCTGTCCACAAGGGCAGAATGAAGGTTGTTAGTTCTTAGCATTCCAGACTTAAAATATCATTCTGAGGAGAGAAACTTATGGAAGTTAGCATTCCTCTGGGTTTCAAGAGTCAATACTGTGTTAAAAACAAAGAGGTGATGGAATGCATAGTTTTCCTCTCTTGCCTTACTTTGGCAAGACCAACCTAATAAGTGGAATTTCAAGTGACCTACTGGGAAGGTTCTACAGGATTTTTAGCAAATCTTTCACAAAGTTTTGAGCAGAACAGCAAGCCCAATATTAGGTGAGATAGTTACTCACTGGTGTATTTGGAGGAAACCCAGCTAGGCTCCCTTCTTCCAAAATATCTTCCTGACCAGCAATGTAGCTGTAGTTACATAATTAGAGATTCAGTTGTTTATATGTTTGTTTGTTTGTTTTTTGAGATTGCGTCTCGCTCTGTCACCCAGGCTGGAGTGCAGTGGCAAGATCTCATCTAACTGCAACCTCCACCTCTTGGGTTCAAGCAATTCTTCTGCCTCAGCCTCCTAAGTAGCTGGGACTACAGGTGCGCGCCACCACACCCAGCTAATTTTTGTATTTTTAGTAGAAATGGGGTTTCACCATGTAGGCCAGGATGGTCTCGATCTCTTGACCTCGCGATCCACCCACCTCGGCCTCCCAAAGTGCTGGGATTACAGGCATGAGTTACTGGGCCCAGCCAAGATTCAGTTTTGGTTTAAAAAATTGCCCCATTGACATACAAATACCCCTGGAAAATTGACTATGAAATTAATAGATAGCTAATCAAATGACTCTCAAAGAGGTCACTCAAAGACTACATATCGAAATTGAGGATTCTTTCAAACTACATGCTTCATCCTCCTTAAAATTCTGAAACAGTCCCCCTTTTCTCCCCCTTTTCTCCCCCTTTTCTCCCCCTTTTCTCCTCCTTTTCCCCACTATTCCATGTGTCTTAGCTTCCAGGCATGCTGGTTTGGGACAAGATGGAGAACTACTGATGTAATCCTTGGTGTGATTTTTTGGAATTGCCTTCTTTAGTTACAGCTAAATAAGACTGAAATATTAAGACACTAAACATTTGGATGGGGAAGGGAGGAAGAAGGTATAATTTTGATGCTGGGTGCAGCAATTTTGAATAGTTTTGTTCTGTTTTTTTTTTTTTTAGATGGTGTCTCACTCTGTTGCCCAGGTTGGAGTGCAGAGGCATGATCTCAGCTCACTGCATCCTCTGCCTCACGAGTTTAAGCGATTCTCCCTTCTCAGACTGCCTGGTAGCTGGGATTACAGGCATATGCCACTATGCCCCGCTAATTTTTTATGTATTTTTTTTAGTAGAGATGGGCTTTCACCATGTTGGCCAGACTGGTCTTGAACTCCTGACCTCAAATGATCCGGCTGCTTGAATAGTTTTAAACATTCTTCATGGTAGGCAGTCATGGGAGGGTGCTGCAGAATTCCTGCTCCCTTCCAATGTCAATTTTGGGTACTCCAGGGCACAGACACGGAGTTCGGTTTCCAGCATAACACCTGGCAGTAAGAGGATGAGAAAGGCTTGGAAAGTGGAGATTAGAAAGACCTGAACACAAGTTTAAGGTACTTAACAATTATGCCTGGGGCTCTTCTTGCTTTTAGGTGAATGAAAAAGATGAGACTATTATAATGCTGACACAGATTTGTTTTGCTCTTGGATATTATTTTCCATCCTGGATGCTAACAGGGCATATTGATCTCTGTAGAGGGAACAAGCAGGACGCTTTTAGACAAATGGTTTTGATATTTGCTAATTGAATTCACCCGTGCAAACCATATTGGTTTTCTCAGTATCATCTTCCTGGATCTGGCCACACTGCTGCTGAATCAATGTGGGGAACTGTGGACCTGTTGGTGCAATGAATTTGAGAAGCTTCTGTGCTGCAGAGCTCCAAGGCTGGTCCTGGTAGACTGGTGCTACCCCAAGGATGTCCCATCTTGAATGCACGTATATTCTGGAGCAAGACTTCTAAGGAAGCTACAGAAAACAGTGAGCCTGAGAGAATCACAGAGTCAATGAACAAATGTTTAAACAGTCACTTAATGGCTACTAAACTGATAGAAACTAACAACCAGTTGTCTACAGTGTTTCCTAATTTGGGCTGATCAGATTCATCTGTGAAACTTAAAAAATACAAAAATATTAAAGGAAGGAATTCTTATGGTGACCAAAGTATAAAAGTTCATAAACATAAAAAGTTCGTCTCCTCTCTCCCACCCCCAAATATCTTGATCCCTAAATGTAACTATCAAAAAAACAAAGTTCCTTGGGAAATTTGCTGTTAATAAACAAAGCAGATAGACAGATACATATAGATAAAATGATATCATGCTCTTCATATTATTCTGCAACTTGTTTTTCACTTGAGCAATCAGAATATACAGATCTATTTTTATCTGGTGGTCTGAATTGAAGGACGCTCACATGGCTTTGACTGTCTTTTCCTGCTGGAGATGTGTGGGTGAGACAAAGGCATAGAAGCCACTGGTCCTCTAACTTTACCTGGAGGGCATGTTCAAGTGAGATTACTACTCACATCCTCCCCATTCCGCCCAAAGTTTCTGATTTTAGAAACCTGTCAATAGAGAATTTTAAATAAGACATATACCTTTTATTTTATACATGTTTCCAGGAAGGCATCACTGTGATGCATTATAAACAAGCTGAAACTGCAGTGGGCAGTTTTCCATGGTGGGATATGGAAACACATTCTCTGAAATGTGATTCTTCCTATATCTTCTCTTTCTTACAGTTGGTTCTAAGCAAGAACAGATCTACTGAATGGTGAGAAAATGGACAGGGAGTCTTCAAACTTCCTCCTTGTCTGTGCTCCCAACCTCTTTCTGTGTCCTTTTGCAATCCCTTCAGTAGTTTCTCCATGTGACTACATTTTACTGCTTTTGTCCTTCTTACCAGTCCTTCCTCTTGCTACCAAACTCTTCCTCCTCCTCACTTTAAGAAGGCACTCTTAAAAAGTTGAAGCTTCTAGTCCACCCAGAAACAAATTGAGATAAGCTTTTTGAGAGGCTGCTTTATAGGCTGTTTCAATTCAGAGAGATTAAACAGGATGACCTCACTGAAAAAGAAACCACACTTAATAGCTTTAAATGGGACTGCTCTTAGCTGGGTCACCCTGAACCACTGCATACACTTCTTGTTTCAAGTGAATGTGGTGGTTTGGGCCAGAGTGAGTTGTCCGTGAGATAGTTTAAATGCCTTTGCTTTCAGAAATGAGCCAACACCTTACAATGTAAGCAGAGGGAGGGAATATGTAGGTTTGTCTGATATTCAATCCCAAACCCTGAATCCTATTCCTGAGACATCTTGGGAAACTGGCATTCTCTTTCTCTGCTTCTCTCAATGAGAAATTTGTGGAATGCAAGTTCTTCAGAATAGAGACTCCATCCATGTCTCACCCACGTTTATCCTAAATTAGGGACTTCAGATGAACACAGTTTAAGGTAACAGCAAAGAGCATCTCCTTTAAATCAGAAAGACCAGATCTCCACTCCCAGCTTCACTATCAGGGCTGTTGTTGGGGTCAAATAATAAGTTCATACAAGAGCTTATCACAATACTTAGAACACAGTAAATATTTAACACATTTTAATTATTTGTTAGTTTTTATCTTGAAATGGAAGCTGCCTCTATCAACAGCCAACATAAAGAACTCTGGGCTCTGTCCCAAAATATGTGGCCCAAATTTTAACTAAATCAAGACTTCTAGAAAGCTTTTCCTAAATCTCTTTGACTTCGTGAGGGATACTAACTTTTAGTAGCTTGCTCTCTCAGTCTTCTAAAGGGGAAACAGATTTTGCCAACATTAGGAAGTCTTCATTATTAATAGACATTGTTTTGAGTTCCCCCTGGCCAAGTTGCTGACTCAATACTTCTTGTTTTAGAAAAAGGAAGTAGCTGAAAGGCACCTGTTAATGAGACTAAAGTACCACAGTGTCTGTGTGTGTGGGTGGGTGTGGGTGTGTGAGCGCGCACACGTGCGAGAGAGGTGGGGAGAGACAATGAGAGAGAGAGAGAAGAGAGTTAAATCCCATTCTTCGAGTGAATATGAAAACCATCATATAGAAAGATGAGGTTCACGGTATATCAATTTTCTTGAAATGTCTAACTTTTATTTTCCCTTAAACATGCTTTTTAATTTTTGCCCTTAAGAAGTGTACAATAGACAAACCAATTGTTACTGTAATGGAAAGATTTTATTTCCTATAGCTTTCTTGATAAATAAAATTATTAAATTGGAATTGCCATTAACTTAGTTATAGAGTTCTGCAGTGTTACATCAAGTTATGTATTAAAGAAATTTAAAGAGGGTTTTGTAAGATGAGTGAAGGATGTACTTCATTCTAACTCAGTCCTTTTTCTTAGAACAGCCTTTTCTAATACAGCAGGACAAGACCTGTGGCCTTAAAGAGAGGTTTCAAACAAGGCACGTTACTTTCCTCTTTTATTAATTGATTCAAGCTTATCATGGAAACACATTTATTACATGTCTCCTATATGCCAAGGTTTGTGCTAGGGGTTGAAGATACAATCTAGGGAAAAGCAAACATAAAGAGGTAGAACATTGAGACTTACAAATTCTGTTGAAAAGAAAATAAAAAAGTAAAAGAGGTAGAACAGGATAAATTCTCCAGTAGAGGTAAGAACAGAGAGCTGTAGGGATGGAGGAAGCAATGACTAATTGCCTGTGGTCAAGGAAGGCTCAACCAGAGGAACTGACTCTATACCATGTAAAAACAGCACACTTTGTGGTATAACACCAGCCAGCTTCCTGCATTTTGATTTCTGACTGACCCAACTTTTGCTTTTGATCATTTCCTTTGGTTGGTCAGTCTGCCTGAAGCTCATATTCTACTCATACTCTATTTTTCTATATATTTCTAGAATCTAGACAGGATATGTGTTTGGCATATAATAGGTGCCTAATCAATGTTCAGCTGAAACGATGATGGCTCATGGCTTCAATAAGCTTCCATCCTCATTCCTTTATGCATAGAATGGATCTTCCTTTTTGTATTTAATCCCACATTTCTCCTCAATTTTAACTTTCATGATAAATTATTTGTTGGAGCTTTTGATTCCCCACTTCTAGCCAGAGTTCTGTACATAATCAATTGATGCTGGGCTCCTGCGGCCTGTTGTGTCCTCATGATATCTGGCATAGTGCTACATTCCCTTCATTGCCCTGAGGCTGTGGGTTTATCCCTTAAGATGCCAAGTATGTCCTTAGAATATCCTTGCAATGTCCAGGGATTTTCAGACTACTTCAGAATTATAATAGATATCTATTGACTTACCTCCAAAGTGATGGTAAAAAAGATCTGCTGAATTTTAGGGTCCTGGATGTGTAATCCTATACTGTAAGAATTTGCTTAGGTGGAGTTTTAAGCTAAAGGCTGATCACATTGCTTTATGAGCTAATCATTTCAAACAGCTCCAGACAAGAGTAGGAACACTCTTGTTGAACCCTAATCTAGCTTAATAATGAGACTCTCCATTGAAAACCAAGGTTGAAGGCATATGGCAGGAAAAGGGAGATGAAGTTCCCTAGAGGAGTAAAAATAATCACTGATGTATTCAGGGTTTTCTTTTTCTATTCTCACTTTTTTTCAGTTGAGGCAGGGTCTTGCTATGTTGCCCCAGCTGGTTTTGAACTCCTGACCTAAAGGGATCCTCTGCCTCACCCTTCCAATGTGTTGAGATTAGAGGTGTGAATCACCATGCCCAGGCATGGGTTTTTAAAATATATACAATGTATCTGGCTGGGTGCGGTGGCTCACGCCTGTAATCCCAGCACTTTGGGAGGTGGAGGTGGGTGGATCACCCGAGGTCAGGAAGTTTGAGACCAGCCTGGCCAACATGGTGAAACCCTGTCTCTACTAAAAATACAAAAATTACCTGGGCGTGGTGGCAGGCACCTATAATCCCAGCTACTCGGGAGGCTGAGGCAGGAGAATTGCTTGAACCTGGGAGGCAGAGGTTGCAGTGAGTCGAGATCATACCATTGCACTCCAGCCTGGGTGACAAGAGCAAAACTGCGTCTCAAAATAGTAAAATAAAATAAAATATATACAATGTATCATGCACTGTGCTATTTTCTAATCATATTTTCTTTAATCTTTGACAATCAAGACTAAGAATTTTCACGATGTATTCAATAGAAGAAATTTCTCAGTAGGCTCACAACTTCAGTATAAAAGCCCTAATATTGTCCAGGTTTCCTTAACATTTGATGTGTTTACCATTCTTTCTGAAGTCTCCTCTTCTATCTACTAGAACATGAGTTTCTTGAAGGCAGGGAGCGCCTTAGTCACTTACTGTTATCAATGTTCAGCACCTAAAAAAGAACAAAGTGTATACAGGTGCTCAATAAATACTTGTGTAATGTGTATCTGCCTGCTAAATTGCTGATCTTAGAAATCTGAAATTCTTTATTCCTCCAAAGATAATAAACTCAATTCAGATTAAGATGTCCTGAATAGATGATGATGAGTATAGTGATAATGCTGAAGACAGTTGAATTTACTAAGTCAGTTTACTAGTTTATCACAGCAGTAAACAAGGAATGGCTCCCAATGAGTTGTGAACTTGTATCTACAGCTTGTGTAGTGTACTCCTAGAGTCATGCAGAGCTTGACCGTGTGACTTGCTTTGCCTAATAGGACATCAGTGAACATGATGCACGCAGAAGCCTAACAAAGCTCCTATGCTTTGTCTTCTTGGAATACTGCTACTGGTGAGCAAGCCCAGGCTAACCTCCTTTAGAATGAGGTACCACACATATATATAAAGAGAGAACATTTGGAAAATAGAAAGAGGCCATTCAGTCATTCTGACCTTTCCAAATATCCCACCTGAGTCCCCAGATATGTGAATAAGGCCATTCAGGACCATTCTGGCCCAGCCAACATGTCAAAAGACTGTAATCACATGAGTGAGTCCAGTCATTGCCATGTGGAGACAAAAAAAAAAAAAAAAAAAAACGGGCTGGGCGCAGTGGCTCACACCTGTAATCCCAGCACTTTGGGAGGCCGAGGCGGGCAGATCATGAGGTCAGGAGATCGAGACCATCCTGGCTAACATGGCGAAACCCCGTCTCTACTAAAAATACAAAAAATTAGCCAGGCATGGTGTTTCGCGCCTATAGTCCCAGCTACTTGGGGGGCTGAGGCAGGAGAATGGCGTGAACCCGGGAGGCGGAGCTTGCAGTGAGCCGAGATTGCGCCACTGTACTCCAGCCTGGGCGACAGAGCGAGACTCCACCTCAAAAAACAAAAAACAAAAAACAAAAAACAAAAAACAAAAACAAACAAGCAAAAAAACTGCCCAGATGAGCCCAGCCCTAATCACCAATCCACAGAATCATGAGCAAATAAATAGTTGTTGCTTTATGCCATTAAGTTTTAGCATGACTTGCCATGCAATAATAAGTAACTGATGCAGTTTACTATGTTTGAGGGACTGAGATAATTAATTTATTGTCTCATTTTACTCACAGGATAACGCTTTAAGGTGTGCACCATTATTATTACTACCTTACAGAGAGGGAATCTAACATTTAAAAAGGTTAAATAATTTGCCCAAGCTAGCAAAGCTGGTAACAATGGGGGAGGGATGCAAACCCAGGTCTACCTGATTCTAGAGTCTGGTTCTTTATATTGCTTTTGTGATGAATTTTGCCAGTCTGACCACATCTGGGGTCTATCATCTTTTGCTTCTTTAGATGTACCTAGCCTACACTTGGTTCTTTATGGGGCTTTGCTGGCTGCAATAAAAAATTATCAATCTTTGATACTTCAGGTATTGTTTTTGTATAGATCTAACTGAGATGAAGTATTGGATATTGCCAGAGAGGGAATAAAGAATTTAGTTTTCTCTTATTTTGTAGTATTTTCTAAAATTGTTCTTAGTTGGTAATAGAGTATTTATTAAATACCAGAGGCAAACGAGATATTATAAAGTAAATTGAATCATACCAAAACAAATGACAGATTTTACAATTCAGCAAAATATGAAATATTTCTGTCTTAATGTTTTCAATGTGCCTATTAGCAACATAAATTGTGGTCTAAAAAGGCCATGCAGTCTTGCAACATTTGCTTGCTATCAGCATCTTAGAGGAAGTAAAGAAGCTGGGATTGTTCATCTTTCTGAAATGTATTGGGGGTAGGTTGATATTCTATCCGTATAAAAATTTTATTTCAAAAACCAGGATGTTGTTTCAAGGACTATGTGGGGGCATATCACAGGCTTCCTTATCAGGGAGGCACACAAATTCTTCTAAGACTCTTACTAATCTTTTAAATAAGATAAGTGTAGTATTGAATTTCAAAATATGGGCTCTTTCAGGGATAAAAGCAAAGTCATCATTTCTAAAACTGTGAAGGCAATGGAAATCTTTGTAAAACTATCTCTCGGTAGGGACCTATAGATCAATAGAAGCAGTTTAGTCCTTGAAAGCTATTATTTGGGGACTTTCTCAAATGTGGGAAAGGCAAGGTTTCTGGAAGCCATCTGGAAAGGTTTTGGCTTTGGCAATGATTATTAAGAAGAAATAATTACATGTGTACTAGTTTTCATCCAACAATTTTTTTTTTTTGAGTCAAGTCTTGCTCTGTTATCCAGGCTGGAATGCAGTGGCACAATCTCAGCTCACTGCAGCCTCTGCCTCCCAGGTTCAAGCGATCCTCTCACCTCAACCTCCTGAGTAACCGGGGTTACAAGCTTGTACCACCACACTTGGCTAACTTTTGTATTTTTAGTAAAGACGGGGTTTTACTGTGTTGTCCAGGCTGGTCTTGAACTCCTGACCTCAGGTGATTTGCCTGCCTTGGCCTCCAAAGTGCTGGGATTACAGGCATAAGCCACCCGTGCCCAATTAGAAAGGACCTTTAATAAGCAGGCAGGTTTTTCAGAGAATGACAACAGTGGAAATTACCTTAGGAGAAACAAAGATTAATGTGATCCTTTGACAATCTGTGTGAGAAGTTGAAGTCACATATTCTACCTTGCATTTTGGGTGTCAGGGAATCAGTAGCACCTTAAAAATAACTGCAACAGGATAAAGGGTGAGAGGAAAAAATAAACACTGTTGACAAATAGTTTATTAAGGAAGGAAGTAAAATGAAGCACACTGAACTAGTCATCTGCAGAATAAATATAGACAAGTACACTTCCAGAGATACACTAGAAAAAAAAAACTCCAACCCAAATACACTGAAAGGAGCCCAAGGATAGAGATAATAGCTAAGTGGGCTAAGATATTAGCTATTGTTTAGAAGGAAGAACCTCACATAGAAGGATAAATGTTGAAAATAGAACTGAGCATTACGTGGGGGAAGAAACCACTTTGACCAAAATATGTATATATATATAGCATTAGATGAGGCTCTTAACATTCTAAAGTGGTATGGGAAGGCAAACCATACTTTTTAAAGATGAATTTTCAAAGTGCATTAGAAAAGGAGTTACTACTTCTTATTACAGTTGCCAGGAACAGACAATTTAAAAGTTTAAGAAACAATTGTTTATCTAAATAAGTTTTGAATTGCTCTTTTTTTTCTGGGTAAAGGTACAGACATTCTTTGAGCCACAGGTCTAAAAGATTTTGTAATTGTTTATGTAATGTTTCCAACAGACATCAGCCCTCATGCTCCTTTAGACCAGCTTCAGCGAACCTTTTCCATAAAGGGCCAGAGAGTAAATATTTTAGGCTTTGCAGGCCATATGGCCTTTGTGGCAGCTCCCCAACTCTGTCACTGTGGCACAAAAATGGCCATAGAGAATACATAAGCGAATGTGTGTGGCTGCATTCCAATAAAACTTTATTTACAAAAACAGGTGGAAGGCTGCACTTGGCCCACGGCTGTAGTGTGCCAATCCCCGGCCCAGACCATAGGTTGCTTCCACGTGGTAAAATAATTGATTCCTGCTTTCTATTCTGTCCATCTTTTTTCTTATGACCATTTTCATTAAATTTGACCAAATTCTTTATGCTGTACTGATGTGATAAGTCACATTTGGGTTTTTATGTTTTCAGAAATGGCAGAGTTGAAGGTTTCTTTGATAGGCTTCTTCTATTCAGGAATGCTCTGTTTTAAGAAAACATAATATAGAAGACCCCAAATTTCAAAATAGTAAATAAAGGGGATGGTTATTCACCTAACAAGAATTTTCTTGCTTTGCAAAATAACTCCTTGAAGGGTTTCTCTAAAATGCTTCTGTCCTTCCCTGACACCACACTATTTATTTACAGACAATATCTTACTAAACAACATAGGAGGAAGCTGGGGAGAGAAAAACTGGCTAAATTATCAAAAAAGACTGTTAATTGAAGATCAACCTAATACAATGTATTTAAAGCAAAAATGCAATGAAAAGGAAAACAATATTTATGTACTTTTCAGACACACAATTACCATCTGAAAAAAGACAGTGGTATTTTCAGCTCTCTGCTTCCACTCCAGATTCCATGGCCACTTCGTTTATCAGTGCTAGTTTGGGTCCTGGTTCTGTGTGAAGTGAAATAATAAATATCTTGTATGTTAGCAACGATGGGCAGTCTACTGTTCACAGCAACAGGAAGTGTTCATTTTTAGATTGTAACATTATCTCTAAAAGATCAAGAATGGATAAAATAAGATTTGCTATTCAAGCTGACTAGACCCTGTATCCTGTAATTTCCTTTGACCACTAGAACTCTGCAGAAAGTTTCATATTTGAAAGACTTGAAAAAATTCATTGCAAAGGATTATTTCATTTTATTATTGTCTTTTCCACTCAAACATCTGTTTTTAGGAAACCAACATTAATTTTGATTAACTGAAGAAAAAAGCAAAGCAACTAATGCATGGAAAAAGTATTATTTCTATTAAGAAATATTTTCATTCTTTTGATTTTATCCATGTTTGGTGAACAGATGCACATTTGTGATAAACCAGTGAATTTTGAAAAAATAAATAATTTAAAATAAGTTAAAAGGAAATGTAACTAAAATCTCAAACACTTCAAAAAGAAAAGAAAAATATAATATTCTCCCTGGTAATGCTTCCCTTTTTCTTCATCAAACTAACTTATGGATAACGGGGTTTCTCTCGACTCAGTGATTTGCAGTGCATCTTTGTTTCTTACAACTTGGAAGTCGCATCATTTACGTAATGATCTTGAGGAAGAAAGAAAATGCAAAGGGAAGTATGAAATAGCTATAAATTTGTTTCCTTTTAGAGTAGACAAAAATTCGTAAATTCTAAATGATCTTTGTTATTTTTTAAAATTCCAGATTTACATAAGACAGGATCATACATCTAATGTCCTGCTAAAACCATGCAAGGTGAAAAGCTGGAAAAGATGAGCTCTTTATACGGGCAGAAACGTTGTGTTTCTGGTTGGTAGGGTAAAAATTCCAAGAGGAAAAGCTTGTACTAGTTAAATATGTGCTGAACGCCATCCCCTTCCATCGTCCCTGTCTTGTATCTTCAACTTCTACCTTGAAATCTTCCTCTCACTCTACAAACGTATTCACACCTCTCCCACTAGGGAAAATAGCCTCATGAATCCTGAATTCCAACTTAACCTGTTATCCTCCTGTCTTTTCTCTTTTCCTCTCAGCTAAGCTTCTTGAGAGAATAGTGTTTATTTCGTCTCCATTACCTTACCTCCTCAATTCACTGCATCTTTCATCCCCTAGCCTAGGAATTTTTTACTTAATTGCTAAATCTAGTGGGCCCTTTTAGTTTCCTTTTCTGTTAAGATAGAGGCATGCGTTGCCTTTTTTATTAAAATTTTCATATTGCCAGGCTTGATTCATTATTTGCATGTGTATCTCTTTCGGTAGAATGGGTGTCCCAGGAGGGCTGAGATGTTATTTAATTTGAAACCTTAAGATGAACACAATGCCTGGCCTATGAAGGTTCTTAATAAATGTTTCTTAAACAGGTTTTTCCCAATTGGACTGCAATGATTTTTAGAAATGCGCAAGTACCAGGGTATTTATACAAACTTGTATTCTTGTTGGTTTGTTTAAATCATGTGGCCTATCTTTCCACATGGTTTGGGTTTGAGGGGCTCGTTTCCTGTTTGTTTTAAAAGGTTTCTTGCTTTGAAACCATTTTGCTCTGAAACACCCCTGCGAGTTTAGTCCGCTCTCTCGGAGGAGGTCTGGGGCCTGCAGCGGGCCTCCCAGTCAGGTCTGGTGATGAAGCACGACATCGCATTGTTGGCTTAGCCGCCCGGGTGGTTGCCTGTTTGTGGGGAGAGGAAGTAGCTACATGAAAACCCTGGGGATGCCAAATGTGGCCTCTACATCCAGGCAACTGGGGCTGGCTCCAGTGCAACAATGGCCGGGTACTTCTGAAAGTGCAGCTGTGACACAGCTTTCCCAGCTCACATTCTCATCAGATGTGTCCTTTATGCAACTTTTTTTTTTTTACATCATTATAAACCAATCTCATCATATTCTAAAATTTTGGAAGATTCAAGAAAAAAACATTCCTATTATCTGCACACATTGATACTTTGAGGTTGTATTTGACATTCCTTTTTGCCAGCATTTAAAAAAAATTTGATTGTCATTGTAGGGTCCACTTTTTTCACTTACTGGATCATAAGCAGTCTGTTGCTATGTGGTTGTATAGTCATTTAAAATCAGGCCACTTTTATGCTACATTTTGTAAATAGGGAAATCTTGAGACATATATACCGTCCTGAACAATATTCCTGAAGAATTGAATTCCACTGTCGTCCATGAAACACAAAGGCCAGGTAATTCCCATAACTCCAGGTGATGCTGTTTCTCTTCAGCAGCTACTCCCTTTGTGTGGTCTTTCTACAAGTAGAGGTAAAGACACGGGTCAGGGTGCTTTTCTGGAGCAAAATTTGCACAATTTTACTGAGTGATTCCAGTCTCCGGAGACAATTATATACGCAGAGAGAGATTTTATGTACCAGAATATTTATTTTAGTGCTTCTTTTTATACGTATGATTTTTAAAAATTAGTAACAATCTACAATGCCCAACAATCGAGGAATGATCAGATAAGAATAGGATAGGATAATTTGAGTCTGAAGTTAAGCAGAAGTCAAAAAAGAGAGAAGTTGATCGGCATTTCTACACAGGTCAGTCAATGAACAAAGTATGTATCGTATTAACTCCAGATGAGCTTTGAATTGCTCAGAAAACACCAAAACAAAGGCAAGTTCGTTTGGGAAATATTGAGGAGAGGTTAAGAATCATTTCCATAAGACACAGCTGGGCAAATCTGATGTGAGAGAAAATGAAAATGTCAGTGATGTTTCCTGTCACTCCAGCATCTTTCCTACAGACTTTCTTAGTTCTGTGGTCAAAATTTGCTTTTGCTTTTATTTGAATATTTCCTGCTCCCTCCCACAATGATCTTCAAGTTGGGTATGCCAAAGCAGACCATTTTCCTTAAGACTTTATTTTCATTTTTTCCTCTTCTGGGATGGTGGAGCTCATAAGAAGCAAGAGAACGCCTTTGTAGCCTGGTGCAGCCAGAAGCTCTTGTTGAATCTTGTCATGACACGCATGACTCCTGAGATTACAGAGCCTTCCACATGAGAGCTGCTCTAAAGTCTCATGGACTAGCTATAAAATAGGAAGTTATAAAAAAGGACTGGTATTCGCCATTCATCGGAAGAAGAGCAGTGTTTATTGAGCGTCATGGTCATCACTAGGGCTGGTTACCATGCATTTTTAGTCCTTCTTGTCCCCTATTCTGGGCACAGGGCTGGAATTCATTTCCTGGACTTATCGTAGTTGAGGTGGTGTATTAGTTTTGACTAATGAGTTATGGGGGAAAAGTGATGTGTGTCAATTATAGGCTGCACATTTTATTAGCAGTATAATTAAGCACTGTCTTGTCCCCTTTGCCGTGACAACTAGCAAGGTTTGACACGATTGTTTACAGAGCATTGTTTAAAAGATAAAATCACAAGACCGCTCAGAATAGGGAGTGACTGAATTCACACTCTTTTGCTTTCTCAAAAGAGAGTTTCGGTGTGAAATTAGCAGGTCCTCACATGGCCTTCTTTCTTTCCAAGTGGGGTAGGATGAGGCAGATTCTCCCTCCTGTGGCCTTCAGGCATGCCATTGTAGCCCCTCCCTTGCTGAAACACAAAAACCTATGTCTTGGCTGGAGCTTTCCTGGCTTCCAAGTCTAGACCTCTGTGTCCAGTGTGTCCCCACGTGTTTGTGCCTCAAGTATCAGTGAAGCCTAGCGTGAAAGAGATCAGGCCCAGGAGTCACATTGTGTGACTTGGCCATTTAACATCTGTGTGACCTTGATAAAGTTAAAATTAACCCCTCTCAGCTTTGGTCTGTTTTCTGTAAAATGGGGGTAGTAATAGCATCTTCCTCATAGGCTATTGTGAGCATTCAATGAGGGAATGCGTGTAAAGTGCTTAGTATGGTACTTGGTATATGACAAGCACTCCTCTCTCTCTATCTGTGTGTATACTGATTCATTTTGTACATTTAGAAATAACCCATGCAAAGTAATCCTATCTCCATTTTAAGATTGTGAAGGTTTTTTCCTGCAGGACGAAAGAAGTCTTGGAGTAGCAAGTAACCAGTTTTTATTTCGTTGTATTTTTTAGCCACACCAAGGATGCAATACAGTCGGCCCTCTGTATCCGTCAGTTCTGCATCCATGGACTCAACCAACCGCAGATAAAAAATATTCAGAAAATAAATTCCACAAAGTTCCAAAAAGCAAACCTTGAATTTGTCCCACGCCAAGTACTACATTGAATCCAGGAGAATCAAGTGATGTGTAGGCATTGTTTAAGGCATCGTAAGTTAATTTAGAGACGAAGTAAAGTATAAGGGTGGATGTGCATAGGTTATATGCAAATATGTTGCATTTTATATACGGGACTTCAGCACCCAGGGTTTGGGTTATGGGTGGGGATGTGTCCTGGAACCAATCCCAACGGATACGGGGGAATGACTGTACTTTGAAGAGAGAGAGTAGCAATGTTCAAAATGCAGGAAGTGAAAGAAACACAGAGAGCATTCTTTGGAAAGATACTTGAAGGTTTTTTTCTAATCCTCAGCTCAAACCTGGGTTCCCACCCTTTTCCCACCAACTCAGAGAAAACTTTTTCTGACACAAAGGGAGAAAAGAAAACATATTTTTGAACAACACTTTTTTCTTGGAGGCTTTCTTTTTGAAAATTATTTTTAAGTTTGTTTGAGGCAATTTTTACTGGGATGAACCAGCTTCTTTTGGAGGGCGGACAAGTCTCTTCCCCTCTTAGATCTTATCTGCTTCTTATCTGTAAAATGAATGCATTAGGGTTGATAAGTCTTCCTATATCTGGTGTTCTTTGATTCTGCCATTCCCTGTTTAAGCCAGAGCCTAGGAATCTAGATCTGGAGGCTGTTTCTGTTTTAGATTGTGCACTAGAAATTAAGCACACACCGCCCCAACTCCCCCAGCTGCCTGAGACTTAAGAAAAAGTGAGACTGCAGTCCTTTGATTTGGCGTTAGAGCTCTCCGTGGCATTAACCTGTTGTTGGTCTAACCTGTGGGGCCAGAAGAAGTGTGCTCGAAATCTGTGAACATGGTTGCTGAACAAACGCGTTTTGGTTTCTTTCTTTTCCTTTTTTCCTTTTTCCCAGGAGTGAGGAGGGGGAGGAAAAAACTGGTCTTTGTTGTGAAGCCACGGTCCCAAACTTGAACCTAGAGGAATGTTAAAGCTCTGAAAAAAAGTTAGGGAGCAGCCTTGCAATTATGCACTCAGTCACAACAAGAGGGTAAGAACTTTCAAGGCACTGGATTGAAGAGACACAAAAGTCAGGAAATGACCCTTTCGTCGGGATTTCAGAGGCCGCAGAGGAGAAACAAAGTCCTCTCACAACTCGGGAAACTTCGGACCGTACCATCCCGAGGGGGCAAGGGTGGGGGAGGCCGGGAGAGGGCAGTGGAAATTGACATCTTCGTTCTCAACAAGCCGTGAGTAAACTGAGGATTTCCCGGCTGAAAGGACTCAGTGTCTGCCTGTCCCCGGCCCAGAAATGAAAGCGAGTTTCAGCCGATCCTCATTGTGGGGCCTGCTGAAAAAGCAGCCCGGGTCGCCCCGGCCAGCCCCGGCGTCCTGAATCGGAGCCCTGTGCGCGCCAGGCCGGGCCGCGCGCCCGGGTTGCAGGATGGCGTGCCCAGGCCAGCCCATCTGCGGCCGCGGGCCGGCGGGGAGGAAGCGTCCCTGGGGATGAATGGGGCTTTGTTCGTAGGCAGCCGCGGCTACCCTCTGCAGGCCCGGCCCGCACAACAGAGGCTGTATGCGAGAGGAATGGAAATGAGCCTCAGGCCCTGCCGAAGGAGCCCCATCCCCTTCCCCGCGCGGGGCTGAGGAATGCTGGCCAGCCGGAAAGGAACCCTCGCTGGGAACGCCGCTCTCGCGCCTCTGAAACCCCATTGAGAAGAACCCTTTGATGCAATTAAAGCGCATTTCATTGCAGGCCTGGGAGGAGGGAACGACCGGCAAGCTTTTTTCTGTCTCGGACGTGTGTATGCACCTTTGTGGGCCGGGTTACTTAGAGACCAGGCGGGAACTTGAGCTCCCTCTCTCGCAGACGTTCTGTAACATCAGAAAAGCGTACCCATAAACAGATTGGTTTTCACCAGGGGTGGAACTCAATTTGGACACGATCCAGGCTGACCTGCAGGCCGGGGTTCCTACTTTGAAAGGCTCTTTGGTGCGCCTTACACCCACCTTCCCTGCTGTAAAGGTTTAGGCGGAAAAGAAATTGCGTTTGCAGGAGGAAGTTGTTTCTGAGGTTACTGCTCAGCATTTTCCATTTTCTCAGTGGTGGGGTGGGCCGTGTCGCATATCCAGAAGTGATGTCACAGCCAGACCTGCAAAATGATGTAACCTGCAAGTGTTGAAGGACGACGATGGGACAGCTATTTTGATACTCGTATTATTTTATAACATTTCCCTGCTTTTTCCATTGAGACAACTGTGTGACCTCAGAAAATCCACATAGCCTCTCTGAACTTAGTATTTTTGTGTGTGTGTTAAAATGAGTATCACAAAGCCGGAGAACGAATGTGATGAAGTTCTGGGTGCTTGTGGAATTCTTTCTAAGTTGGAGGTGGACACTTTATCTACCTGCACAGGTGGAAGATATGTGGGTCTGGAACTCCGGTAAACAAAAAGATCCTATTGGGACCTCTATTTGGTTGACTTTGTGTCACTTTTTACTAGGGCTAATTGTCTAATGTCTCTTTCCACTAGTGTATGCCTCCTTGAGAACATGAACCTTTAAACAACAACAACAACAATAACAACACGAAGACAAAGTCCTGTCTGCTCTCCCAGGCTAGAGTGCAGCGTGCAATCGTGCAATCGCAGCCTACAGTAAGGTAGAATTCCTGGCCTCAAGCTATCCTCCTGCCCCACCGTGGCCTCCTGAAGGGCTCCGATTACAGGAGGGAGCCACTGCACCCAGCCAAACCTGTCTTTTATTCTGTATCTCCTGTGCCCAGAGCAGTCCCTGGCCCTGATAAGGGTTCAACAAATATGTTGAGTGAATGAACAAATACATTCAGGAGTGTAGGGATTGATACTAACTTGTTGGCTGTTTTCTGTTCCTTATAAATCTAAATAAGAAATAGGGAGAGCATGGTAGGTATTTGGGGTCCTCGGCGAGGCGTAAGTTCAGGAGAAGTTTGAAGGAAAGGGTAGGAAAACATTTTTGAGAGCACAAACATGCTACAAGTGTTTCCTGAAATGCCCCAAAGAAGAGTGCAGCACTCAGGTGGAGGAGTCATTTTTTCCAACTGAGTGGATGGTTAATACTGGCAAACATGAATCATGTTTTATATTCATAAGGAGTGTGCCTAGTCAATCACTGATTCTTTAAACACCCCAGAGAAGCAGGGCGGGAAGAGTAATGGCCATGCATGATGGACATCATTGTTTCTTATACGTTGCTCTAAATGTGTCCCCATGGTTCTTGTTATTTTGGGCCTGGTTTAGACTTCTATTTGGTTGTTTTCCTCTGAGGTCTGGAATACACGAATATGTTTTCCACTCAGAAAATCCAATACACTTTTGCATCCCAATCAGGAAGTTGATAAACATGAGATAGTAGAGTACTTGCTACCTTAAATATACCTCCACATGTCTGCAGGAAATACCATTCAAGTAATGCCTAGGTAAGCAAATGCCTGCTCCTGTCTTTTTCCCTCACTCTTACACCACACACACACACACACACACACACACACTGATCAGATGGTGAGTAATATAAAGTCTGTTTAAAGATGGGACCTCCATAATTCCTTGTTTGTGTCAGGGGCAATATGCGAAACACACGGCTGCCCACAACATTGTTTCTTGTCCTGTGGGTCCGTTTGGCTTTTTGTCTTGATGTGGGCATCAACCCTGAGAGTGGAGACTGTTTTTCAGACTGTCCCATTCGTGTCTATTTAACCAGGTGAGTACAACCCACTTAAAAATCTCACATGTGAGGTGATTCCAGGATAGAACAAAAGTTGTACAACAGTAACAGTTGTGGTTTCCCTCCCTTTACAGAACTAGTGAGTTTTCATCAAATCATTGGGTATTTCTGTTTCTTTCTGATTTACAATATGCTTTTGTAGAGCACCTTTATCCTCATTTCAGATTGGTCATTACTAGGCAGTGACTTGAGTCGATCTACCTGACACTAGCAAATAATCAATGATTCAGAAGGGATTAGTGAAAGCAAGGATCAAAGGTTCTTGTCTGATTACCTCCATAAAGTCAAAAATCTCAAGTGATCATGTTTTATAAATTTTGATTAACTTGTTTTTTTAAAAAGACTATACCTATTTATCTGGAAATACAATTCATTAGCACCTTTTATCTTAAAAACCTAGAACTCCACATGCTTGAGAATTGTGGATGAGGATGAAGTTTGCAGAGACAGGTCCCAGAAGAGAAAAAAACAAGGATGGTCATTCCGTACTGCCAATTAAGAAATAACCTCAGAGAGGTAAAGTGGCTTGTCTGTTGTCACAAACGGTGGAATTAGAGTTGGATCTCTATTCTCCTGATTTCCAAGACTGTCCTCAAGGCCTCTAGTGCTTTAATGCCAAGGAAGCCTGCTATTTAGATAGAGACCAGACTCTGCATCCCAAGGGACATAAGAAAGCTGCCTCGTCTGATTTGATAAGATTGAGATAGCCATATTGCATACTGCTTTTCCATTTTTGGAAGGTATACATTATTAGCTCAACTTCCCTTTTCTTCTGCCTTATTTGTCCAGAAGCCAGAAACGTGAAGAGAAGACCTCGCCTTGATTTGCCAGATGACCCCTGGCCTTTTTAGTCAAGTTCCTGGAGAAGTTAGGGTGGAGACTTATTTGTCCTGTGTTTGGGGCAATAAAAGGGGAGGGGCCGCCTCCTCCAGCCTGTTCTAAAAAGCCAAAAAGCAAGGCTATTTACTCAGACCTGGGCTACTAAGTGCTGGGGTGGCCCATGTTGACTTAAATGAGCCCTTGCAGTTAGGTGGGGCTCTCTGGAGCTGTTAGTCATGTGAGGTTGCCAGGGCAACTTAATGTCTTATGAGTTGGAATGCTTCAAGAAGTACAAAGAGGAGACTGCAAGAGTGCATTACAACTTACAGTCATATGTTCAATAACATGTCATCTTTCCTAATGGGGCTTTTATTTTTATTTTATTTTGTGGGATTGAAAGATCAGAAGCCGGAAATTATCTGGAGAGGATAAAGAAAAGGAAAAATTAAAGGAGGGGGCTATTTCTGTTCCTTATGTGGGCAGCGATTAAACAAGGAGAACATCTGGTCCTGGAGCGGGTCTCTGCAGCACTGCTTTTAATTACCCCGTCATTTGGTCTCATGCTAAATTAGTGACTGTGGGAGCAGCTTAGATCTCCAAACTGACAGCCCCGAAGAGCTCAACTCAGCCTGCCACATAGTCAGAGGGGAAACACGGAGCTTCCGGTTTCATATTTAAACCAGGGATTGACTCATAATTGTAGCTGTCAGGAGGGTGATGGAGACATTATGTAATCTGGTTCTTATGGCGATGTGTGTTTAAGGTTTCTGCTCTGTAAATTCCAGAGGAAATTTTGTGTCCATTGAGGGAGAGCTTGCTGGCTGCTCTGTGGTGTGCCCTGCAGGGTAATTACAGTGCTATTAAAGGTTCCTAAATCTGCCTGAATCCAAACATGAATGAATTTCCCCCTGAAAGGCCCTCCTGTTTTTCCATAGACTTTTAAATGTGGATGAGGTTAGGCGAAATCTGGCAAACTGCAAAGAGGCAGTATGCTGGCCCAATAGGGAAATGTAATAATGGCAAGCCATTCAGGTCCACAACTATTTTTTTTCTGGACCACATAGCTTCCCTTACTATTTCCCATCATTTCCAGTCTCAGAGATTCTGAAAGCGGACACCAGTTGCTTCTGGAAACAAAGGATGAAGCTGTGGATCATTAGTTCCATTTTCATGCTGCTTGTTACTTGCCTCTCAGAGGTTTCAGCACCTCTGTGGACTGGTGTAAGTTTGCAGGGCAGCCAGGGAAGGCTTGAGGCAGATCCAGTGTTTGCTGCCATCAAAAAAAAAAAAAAAAAAGAAAAAAAAAAAAAGAAAAAGAAAGTCAGATGAGGCTGTTTAATTTTAAACTAAAAAGAATGTGCTTTTAACTATTTTGCTTCAGGGAGACTTGTGGTATGATGTGATTGTTCTCTGTACCCAAGTAATATAAGTTTTGGCTGCATGATAAGAAGGATTCATTCATAGAGAATAGTGCTGATATTAGAAGAATAACAGTAAAGACAAAATAGAATTTTAAAGGGTGAATGGGAGTTATGGTGGTGGAGTGATGAGGACTGAAACCCTCAGACACCCCCTGATTGCTGATCTGGCTGACCCAGAGTTCTTGCATCTGTTTCTGTACTTTTCCTCTCTTTCTTAAAAAATCCCCAGTCCACCAGTACTTGGAGTGCTATACTTGGCCTTTTCATGACATCGCAGAAGACAATGGAATATAAAAAGTAGTTTTAGTCAAAATTAATAGCTACATGTGTAAAAATATGTCATCAAAATGCTGGCTATCATAGTCATCATCAATCAATCAATCATCATCATCTATATTGTAATTGATTGCAGTTAGGTGGTCTCTGTTGTAATCTCTATTTTTCTAGAAAAATGAACAATTGGGAGAATTGGATATTTGCCCGTTGGTCTTTGAAACATGGTACTGGGAGTGAGCAATGTTCACTTAGCAAGAAGATGGAAAGATCAGCACTTGCTTTCCTACCACGCCTTGGAAATTTTTATGTAAGGTCATCCTATAAGTAGAATGGCTTGTCTTACTATGGTGGACCACATTTGCATTTTAGCTTTGCTTACCTAGCTCCAGATATTCACCTGATATGAGAAAGTTATTTTAATGAAAATAATATATTTAATATGCTTGTGTATTTATACACATAGAAATGTATATTTAAAGGAACGATTAAAAATTACCCTTATTCTTTCACAACCTCAGGCTGTAAAATCTTTATTAGGAAATAGTGACAGTGTAACAACTTGATTTATTTTCTCCCACCAGGCTGAAGTTTTATATGAATATTATCCAGTCACTATAGCTTGGGACCTTATCATCTGACTGATGGATGATGCAGGGATGGATAATTTCATAAGTTGTCTAGCCAGAGTTTATTCATTTTTCTAGTCATTGAAATGAGAAGACTTGATATGACTCCTATTGAGATACTTTCAAAGGCAACCATCCTTGTAATGGATTTTCTCTGTCAGAAAATTAGGTATTGATTTGCCTATTTTTTTTTCCCTGTACTAGAACTTACCGACGGACTAAGGATTCCTCTTCCAATTAACCCATTCATGCCTGAGGTTGCAATTTTTGGAATTTTTGGAATCAGACCTTGGTGATGACCTTGAGCAGTAGGATATAAATAATTCCCACGTGCTTAGCATTCCAATAATGGAACACCAGGCTTAAATAGGTGAAGGGCCATTAGCTTATAGAAAACGATAATCGAAGACAACAAAACAGTATTATCCTGGGGGCTTAAAGAAATTAAACTGAGCATTGGATGCGGTCATCAATAGGACATTTCCCTTTCTTGTCTTTTCTGACTTCTCTATCCAACCACAGGCTTTCATCATTGAGAATGAAGTAGCCAGAAGGGATAATTACCAGAGATAATAACTTATCTTTGATTTTAAAACATTAAGGAATTTTTATTAAGATTTATTAATAAATACATTTAATTTAGTTTGATTAGAATTATAGCTTTAGCTTGGCCTAAAACTGCCCCACCTTTCTGGGATCCTCCCTTCAGTTTTCTGACTCTTGGGCCACATGTGTATTTAGTTCTGTGACAAAGAGCCCTGGCTCCTTCAGGCACGATGCCCACATCATCAAGGTTAGAGGCGATTATAACTGATATGGGTTGCAGTCTGTTCCTGTCCTTGTAAATTCCGGATTGTACTTGCTCACTCCTACTTTCTATCTTATCTTCTCTTCCTGAAGACCCATGCTGTGGACTTCAAGCTCCAGCATCAGGCACAAAGACAACAGCCTTACAAAGACTTTTTAACCAGCCCCCATTGTGTAAGTTCAAATCTCCATAATAAATCCACTCCTCCCAAGCAAAACACACACACACACACACACACACACACACACACACACTTCCTAATGGTTTTGCTTCTCCGATTGAATTAATATTACTAATATTAATGTTGTTATGCAGATATCAAAGACCTAGGTAGGATTGTCTCAAGCTCTATTCATTCCCTGTAGAAGTCCAAAGTCCTCCCTAAGTTTTCTCCAAATTCTGTGAAGTCCACATTTTCACGGTCATTTTTGGCACATCTAATTTGCACAAAAGACCCTACAAAGCACTTGTGAGTATAATGTATTTATTAAAACTTTTGGTGGCATGAGGAGACAGAAGTGCAGTTCATGTTGAAACAAAAATAATTTCAAATTTAACTTGACTCATCTTTATTTGTAAAATGTTTCTCCACTATCCCATCCTTAGCGAATAGATACCCTTCCCTCATCCTATAAAATCCCCAGCTTCACAACAGCTCCTCGGTGCCTCTCTCCTTCCCCTTTTTCTCTTCTGCTTTCTGTTTCTCCCAATACTCCCATCCTCTTGTTTTCAAGTGCAGAGAAGCTTAACTATCTCTCTTTTCTTTTATGCTAAGATTATTGTGGATGTACGTCCATGTCCTCAGGATCTAACCTTCTATTCCCGATGGCTATTGTTCCAAGTCAAATACTGTTGCAATAGTTAAGAAAACAAAAATGTTGCCTGGTTACAATGGTAACAGGAGCAGGAAGCATACATTTAGTGCTTACTATGATCCAAACTCCAAGGGCTCTTTATGTCTTGTCTCGTGAGATTCCTACAAAAATTCAGTGAAGCCTGGCATTATGAGTCCCATTTTAACAATCTTGAAATTAGATCATAGAAAGTAAAAAAAACACAAAAGCAACTACAAAACCTAATATTTATTGAGTTCTTATACATCAGGCACTGTTTTAAGCACTAAATGTGTTTTGTTTTTAAATTGACTCTTCACAACTCTACTAGTTAAAAAAATTATCCCCATTTTACAGATAAAGAAACTGAGACACAAAATTAGGCAATTTTCTCACAATAAATAAAAAGTGGTACTGTGTATGGAAACCAGGCTGCTTGAATCTGGAACTCAGAATACCGTCTGACAAGGTAAGAAGGTGTTTAAATGTTTCTCATGTAGTCAGTTTCCTAACTCAACTTCATGACACCTTTCCTGGCTGACCGAATATTTCAACCATCCTTACGTTTTATATTTTTCATCGCTGTTTAATTTTTTCTCCATGGTACTTAATACTGACACATATTTTACTTATTTATTTTTTTTAAATTTTCTGTCCCCACTACCAGGATGTAAACTCCGTGAGGGCAGGGACATTTCTGTCTGTTTTACTCACGATTGCATCTCCAGGGCTGATAGGAATGCCTTTCACATAGTAGATGCTCAATAAGTAGTTACTGAATGAATCAATAAATGAATATATGCATGTATGAAAAGCTGCTTACACAGAGGACAGGGCCTTCTTATTAGGTTTTGCAGATACGTCAGGAAAACCCCCTTTGAATGGAGTTTGAAAAAGCTCTAAATTGGTGGGCTTTAAATGTGATCAAACTCATGTTGGGAGACCTTCAAATACTGTGCTCATTTTCAGGCCACCTCATGTTCCCGTCTCTTCTCTGCCTCCCCTAGGTGTATGTGTTTAAATCTCTCCATCCTGGTTTAACAGCCTTCTCTGTGGGCCTATTCTCTAGAAAATTCTTTGACTTGCCAGTTTACTTTTCCCATTTATAAGATGGAGATAATTTTACTTCTAACAACTTCAGCAGGATTTGGAAGAGATCATTGAGATGATAGGAAACCAAACAAAGTATTGAATCTTGGGAAGACTCTGGCTATAGAAACATAAATGAAAATTAAGATAAAATCCTTTTAAAAAATTATTGTTAGAAATTACCTAGCATGTAAATTTAGAATTTTTTTGTGTTTGTTTAATGAGGAAGTTACTTTTTCAGTTTGATTTTCTATTTAGGTTGGTAAAATGTATTAAAATTGTATCATGAATTAACAGCAAAGATAATATCTACTTATTAATTCAACAAACATTATCAAACATTTTTTATGCCAGACACCATTTTAGTATTAAAACAGCAAAAATGTCAGTGAGAAAAACAGAACCCTGGATTCTTGTATCATTCACAGAGAGATGTTTTTTAGAGATTGGTTATTGTATTAGCTTGTTAGGGTTGCCATAACAAAGTACCACAGACTGGGTGCCTTAAACAACAAAAACTTAGTTTCTCACAATTTTAAAGGCCAGCCATCTGAGATCAAGTTGTCATCAGGGTTGGTTTCTCCCGAGGCTTCTCTCTTAGGCTTGTAGGCGGCCATCTTCTTTTTCTGTCTTAATGTGATCTTTCCTCTGGGCCCATCTATGTCCAGATTTCCTCTTCTTATAAGGATATCAGTCGTTGAATTAGAGCCTCACCTCAATGACTTTGTTTTAACTTCATCGCCTCTTTAAAGCCCTATCTCCGAATACGGTCACATTCTGAGGTACTGGACATTAGGGCTTCAATATATGAATTTTTGTGAGGACACAGTTTAGCCCATAGCACTTCTTGTATTGCCAAACTTTTTGGGTTTCATTTTACTTGTTTAAAATAACAGTGGTGCTTTCTATACATACCTGTTATTAACACATCACTTAGTGGTTTTCTTTCTTTATGAGTATTGCAACCAGGTGGAAATAAACCTAGCTTTGGGAGTGACAGTAATATTATCAGAGGTCCTAGATGGACCAGACTTTGATCAGCATTACACAAACCCACCTAAATGGACAAGGGAACTGTTTTCTAAGATTTAAGCTTTTTGGAAAATGAGTATTGTACAGCTGAGCATTTCTTAAAGGGACTACTATAATTATTGGACCATACTAAACTTTTGACTAGATGGAATTCAAAGTTAATTTTCCTCTGGCCAACCAATGTGTAGAAACTCGGAAGACAAGTTACAGGCAAAATAGAGGAGTTAGATCCCAGCACCATCATTATTGTTGTCAACATCATTTTTACCATGTCACAGTGGGTGCTTTTACTGTCTTTTCCTCTCCTTGTTCTACTTTCTTCCCAACAAGTTTGTGAGCTGCTTGTGGGTAGGAAGTAGTTTAAGACTGTTGTCCATGTCCATTTATGCTTTGCATGATGCTGGGCACAGAGCCGGGGCTTGGTAAGCACTCATTGACCAACTGCAAGCTGTTTGCTGAGCCTGACAGTCAGAGGAATGGTGGTGGAAGAAGGATAGTAGGGAAGGGCATAGTTGACTGGCATGGCACAGCGAAGAGTGAATCCGTAGGTGGTTATGGCACTCTTGGCCTTGATCCAGCTATTGATGGATGTCACTATGGAGTTCTGATGAGAAGAAAGAGATGATTTTGTAGCTGCATGAAAAATGAGCTTCAGAGCAGGATTTCTCCAGTTTTATGAAATACAGACTTGTCATGATCTGCAAAGGATGTGAATTATTAGTTTCTCCTCAGCTTTAATCCACACATCACCATAGAAAACGCAAATGGTGGCGAGTGGGTAGGGAGAGAAGTGGGATCAAAACCGAGTTTCCACTTATTTCCTCTGACAATGGTTATAGTAAAACATTCTGACTAGGAAAAGATTAATCTCCGTTTGCAAAATTAAAAAGAAAACAAAAAACATGTGGAAAATATTATGTTGATGCATGTTTTGCTGAACAGATGGTGACGGTCCACAAACTTCTCAAGGATTTCCCTTCGAGGATGAAAGGAGAGCATTTTAATTTGGCTGAGTAACCTAGAGTCACTGAATCTGTTATGATCTTGTCTGTCTCTTCTTACGGAAATCCTTTTTATTGCCAAATTATGGATTTTTCTTCCAATAATTTTTAACAAATTACTTTAATCTGGAATACCCAATTAGCACACAAATGTGATGTTTCTTTTTCTGCTAGTTTAGTGTTTTTCTACAGGGAACACCTTATCTTTGTATTTTTACATATTTATGATTCTCATTTTGAGTCCCTGAAAGCACATCAGCTATAATGTGGACTGGCCACTTATTCAAATATTTGTTTTACAGCTGGGGAAACCGAGGGCTGGAGGCTTCTGTGACCCTCCTCAACATTTCACAATGAGTCACAGCTGAAGAAACATTAGAAATGGATTTCTTGACTCTGAAGTCATTGACCTTTCACTAGCCTTTTTAGAAACTGTGATTCTTGATGTACTTGAACCTATTTACTTGTGTATTTTCTTTTTTTGTGCTCTCTCTCCTTTTTGAAGAGTCTAAAGAAGACATAGGGAAGAGATTTTCCTGTAGAGATCCCCCTGATTGCTGGTTTCCTTTGAAATGAAACCACAGCTTTTCAAGTAGAACTTCGCAGAGGTTTATAAGAGGAGTCTGCTACACAGCTGGAGGAGGAAGAGGAATGATTGGTTATTAATTTAGCACTGTCCTTATGTCATCAGTCATTTCTTCTATCGGGACATTTTCTTCACTAGAAAAGAAAAAAAACGTTAAAATTAAGGACAGCAAGCAGCGGCTGTTTACCATTGATTGAGGTTTGGAGACAGGTGTTTAGGATTTTATTTACTCTGCTGCTCCCTAATGACTGCGCTCCTGTTTCTTCTTTTTCTGAAAAAACTTTTTTTTTTTTTTTATTTTTCTGAGACAGCATCTCATTCTGTCACCCAGTGCTGGAGTGCAGTGGTGTGATCACAGCTCACTACAGCCTTGACCTCCTAAGCTCAAGCGATCTTCCCACCTCAGCCTCCTGAGTAGCTGGGACAAGAGGCATGCACCACCACACCCACCTAATTTATTTTTATTTTAATTTTTTTTGTAGAGATGGAGGTCGCACTGTGTTGCTCAGGCTGGTCTCAAACTCTGGGCTCAAGCTATCCTCCTGCTGCGACCTCCCAAAGTGCTGGGATTACAGGCTAGAGCCACCGCACTGGGCCTAAAAAACAAAAAACAAAAACAAAAATCTTAACGTATCTGTCCTCTATCTAGACTCATCTAGACTGCCTCCATGAGATAGGCGGCCTTACAGCGATCCAAGTGAATCTGGGCCGGTCTTGTTGATGCTGAGGTTCGGTACCTGGTGCTGATCAGGGAGAGATGACTTTAATCTGCATTGATTTGTAATTCCAATGTACTCCAAACCTCTGAATAGGCCTGGAGACTGTCACCTGGAGCTGCACTAGCTGGCTGATTCTTCTTTCCCTTATTTAATGATCCTTATGGATAATTGGAAGGTTGTCCTAAATACAATGGCCACTCTTCAATTATTGTACACATCCCTTTGGTCTTTATTTTCTGTTTTTATTTCTTCTCTCAAATATTCTTGCATACATTCACACTTTACTCCTATAGTCTCTACTGCAATTCATTGCTTAAAGCTTTCTAACACCAGGAGTAAAAGAAGAAAGAAATGTTCTGCTGCTATTAACATGAGCAGCTCAAAATAAATTTGGAGTGTGAGTGTATTAAAATCCAAACACTCTTATGAATCTCTCTTTCCGTCTCCAATTTAGAGTGAAATATCAGGAAGAAACGAGGAGAAAAGTAGTTGATTTATTAAGTAGTTCAGTAATGCAAGGTGGTTTGCACAGATCATCTCATTTAATCCTCACAACCCTGTGAAGTGATTACTATTATTAGCCTCATTTTGCAGACGAAGGGACTATTAGCTTGTCAGCTCTACTGAGGCAGTACTCTCATCTTTGTATCCCAGGGCCTGGCATGTGATCCTTAGCTCAGTGTTTAATAAGTAATTAATGAATGAGTGGCTGAATTCTCCCCAAATTTATCCATTTTGACCCCTGGATCTTTATCACACCTAGCTTTTCTTTTCCACCTTGTCTTTGAAGTCTTTCTTTCCTCCTTCACTATTTTCCGTTTCTCACCTCTTGCCAAAAAGAGCTTGAGGTGATTCGCAAATATATACATATGTATAAATATACATGTATTATTCAACACTATAAAAAAGAAATGAGGCAATCAGGGAGAGTTTGCACATGTTATTTTTTCGTCTCAGATTTAGCTTCACTTGCCTTGACAAAGAAATATCATTCAAGGTTTTTACTGCGGATTTTCTTACATTTAGACTAAATATATAAGTTGGTTTTCAAAGGTGCTGGCCACATATACTGTTCCCTTGTGTTGATATTTCAATGTCTTATGTCACCTGAGATGGCTTTGGTGAAACATTTCTAGCTGTCCTTCATACTACCCAGTTGCCAGTCAAAAATTAAGCAACTTATATGGGGTCAAAGTTTCAGGTAATTTACCCATCAGATGGTTGTATATTTTCAAACTGTGCTCCAAAGATCTCTGAAAGTTCCATAGAGTTAAGTCAGGACAAACTTGGAGGATAAATTAAGCTCAGACATTGAATAGGGCTCTGGGTTCCATGTCTTTACTTCAAGCAGAGAATCTTTATTTTTATCCTTTTTGTATTTGGGTTCTCTTTTGAAAATTTATTTTCAAAATAAGGATAAAAAGCCACAACTCTACCACTTTATTCCATTTTTATTCATGTCTCATTAAATGTCCAAATCATTAGACTAAGTCCAACATCATGTATTACCTAGTTCTGTTTTCTTTAGAAGCTTTGAAAAATCCATTTCATCCTCTTCCCTTTTATCCAGTATTCAAATATATGCTGACTCTGTAATTTTTCTGTGTCATCTTTTTAATGCCTGGCTTAAAAAAAAGAAGACATGCAAGTGAAATCAAGAAATGACTCAGAGGCCAACATTTATTTAAGGAATTCCTGAGAATGTACTATGTGGTCTGCAGAGACATATGCACATTATACATAATGCACTTGGACTCTCTAAGGTAACTGGAGGTCTTAAAGGCGTAAAATCTAAATATCTTGAAATTAAAACAAAACTCCAGAGCTGCTCCACTTTTAGGTATCAATGGCTCCTGTCTGAAAGGAATTGAATTTGAGTGCTTTTGTGTTGGTCCTGAGGACGAAGGTATTGGTTTCTTAGAAAGTCCATCTATGGTAAAGTATCGCTTCCCTCCCTCTGATCGACAGTCTTGTGTCTCAGTCCTCTTTGTCTCAGGTAATTGATTAGGTTGTCAGTACTTTGCAAATATCTTGCTTAGCCCCAAATACCAACTGCTCTCCACTTGTTTCCTTCCATTTAATTCTCTCGTCTTAAACAACCAACATAGTTTAATTAACCTCATCTTGACTTGCGACAAACTATAAATAAGCTATATTTTCCATGGGTTCCTAGAAGGTCCAGGGCAATAGACTTAGGGACACCCCTGGGAATTTTATAGCAAGATAACCTGGAACCTGTGAGGACAAACAAAAAACAAAAACCAAACTCCATGGTGAGAATAACTAGATTCGGGGAAAACAAAAACAACAAAACAAAACTCCAGAGGGATATGAACTTGCAGCCTGTTTGGGCAACAGGTTCCTAGTTACACATTTTTCAAAACTGTAAAAATTAAGCAAGAAACTCCTTCCACATTGTGGACTATATATACTAGCAAAACCAGCTGTAAAAGCATTCTGAAACTTAGGTTTGGGGTGGAGAGAGAGAAGAGTGTGTGTGCACACGCGAGGGTGTGTGCGGGTGTGCGTGCGAGTGTGCGTGTGAGCATGTGTGAGGTGGATTACGAGAGGAGTGAGAGAGAAGACGGTGATAACTTTTAAGAGGATGATTTGGAAAGTGGCCTGCATGTTAATTAATCTTTAGAAAAGTGCTGAGCCCTGGAAAGTCCCAGACAGTGGAATCTAGCTAAGTTTAGCAATTCAAAGGGCAGCTGTGAAAGGGAAAGGGGGTTCCCAAAGGTCAAAATGCAGACTGAGGAATGTGGAGAAAAAGAACCCTCTCCATTTGTTTTAGGGCTTGGGGAAGGATGAAATATTAAGGTCTATTTAAAATGTACAGATAGTGGCAGGACGTGGTGACTCACACCTGTAATCCCAGCACTTTGGGAGGCTGACGCGGGTGGATCACCTGAGGTCAGGAGTTCGAGACCAGCCTGGCCAACATGGTGAAATCCTGTCTCTACTGAAAATACAAAAATTAGCTTGGCGTGCTGGCACATGCTTGTAATCCCAGCTACTTGGGAGGCTGAGGCACAAGAATTGCTTAAACTTGGGAAATCGAGGCTGCAGTGAGCCAAGATCATGCCACTGCACTCCAGCCTGGGCGACAGAGCAAGACTCTGCCTAAAAAAAAAAAAAAAAAAAAAAAAAGTACAGATACCCAGGTTGTGTTTAGCTTCTCTTGACTCTCTGGCCCTTTTGGTGACATTCCTGTCCACTAGTATCTGCTTGTGTCTCCACCCCTCATCCGTGTGGTACTGGCTTCATAAAACATAAGGGGCATGGTCACCTCTCAATTCTTGTCTTAGGATGGGCAGCTTAGCCTATATGCCAGGCTTACTTGATCAGTAAGCCACAGATATGTGTTTAGCATATGTATTCATATGCCAGGCCCAGTACATGGACTATGAAATGCAACCAGCCTCTGCTGGTGACTTTGGACTGATAATCTTTAAATATCTGTTTTAACTATTATTTAACTGGGGCCATGGAATTGCTTGTGTGATGGGCAGAATTCCAAGGTGGCTCCAATACGCTTGCCCCCGGTATCACTGTGCTTGTTATGTTAGTTTATGTGGCAAAAGAGATTTTGCAGGTATAATTATGGTTATTTATCAGTAGACCATAGAAGAGATTATCAGGGTGGGTCTAATCTAACCATATTACAACTTAGAGTGTTCTCCAGCTGGTCATGGGAAAAAAGTCAGAAATTCGAAGCAAAAGAAGGATGTAAATGCCACTGTGGGCTTTGAAGATGAGGGAGGCGAATGCAAGGAGCAGAGATCAGCCTTTAGGAGCTGTGAGCAACTCCCCACTGAGAGCAAGGAAGGCAGGGACCTCAGTCCTACCAATCATAAGGAAATAAACTCTGCCAACAACTTGAATGAGCTTGTAAGTGGATTCTTCCCCAGAGCCAAGCTTTGATTTTAACCTCCTGAGATTCTATCTAGAGAAACCAGTAGAGACCCTCTGGACTTCTGACTTACAGACTGTGAGATAGTAAATGAGTATTGTTTTAAGATGCTAAGTCTGTAGTAGTTTGTTATGCAGCAGTAGAAAATGAATATAAGGCCGGGTGTGGTGGCTCATACTTGCAATCCTGGAACTTTGGGAGGCCAAGATGGGCAGATTACCTGGGGCCAGATGTTCAAGACCAGCTTGGGCAACATGGCAAAACCTTGTCTCTACAAAAAAAAAAAAAAAAAAAAAAAAGATACTAGCCAGGCATGGTGGCCTGTAGTCTCAGTCTCAGCTACTGGGGAGGCTGAGGTGGGAGGATCACTTGAGCCCAAGAGGTCGAGGCTGCAGTGAGCCGAGATCGTGCCACTGCACTCTAGCCTGGGCAATAGAGCGAGACCCTGTGTCAAAAAAAGACAGTCAGACAAAAAGTCAGACAGACAGAGAGAGAGAGAGAGAAAGAAAGAGAGAAAGAAAGAAAGAAAGAAAAGAAAGAGAAAAAGAGAGAAAAGAGAGAGAAAAGAAAGAAAAGAGAGAAAGAAAGAAAGAAAGAAGGAAAATGAGTATAGCTCATTTCCAGAGTTTCAGTGCAGCCCATAGTTGTACTGTGCAATTTGCAGTGTCATGAGAAAAGGTTTATGAGGAGGTTTTATTTGTTTTTAGTTTAATTTTTTTTTGTTTTGAGGCAAGTTCTTGCTCTGTCACCCGGGCTGGAGTGCAGTGATGCGATCACAGCTCACTGCAGCCTCAATTTCCTGGGCTCAGGTGATCGTCCCACCTCTCAGCCTCTCGAGTAGCTGGGATCACAGGCATGAGCCACCACACCTGGCTAAGTTTTTGTAGTGTGTGTGTGTGTGTGGAGAGAGAGAGAGAGACAGAGAGAGAGGGATGGTGTTTTGCCATGTTGCCCAGGCTGGTCTTGAACTCCTGGGCTCAAGTGATCCTCCCGCCTCGGCCTTCCAAAGTGCTGCGATGACAGGAGTGAGCCACCACGCCCAGCCTTAGCTTAAGTTTTAAAACTTCCATTTGGGCTCTTGTCAGTTTTGTTGGGGGCAGTCTACGGCAGACACCGTTGGCTAAGTATTCCTTGCTTAAGGGACCCTAACTTTTTTCCCCCAGTGCAGATCCTTTGATTCCATGGAAGGTATGCCCAAGTCTAAGGTGAGCAGGCTTCTTATCCAATTCTGGCCAATGAGATTTAAGTAAAAGGCTGTTGAGGGGCTTTGGGAAAAATTTTACTTCTTGATATAAGAGACAGAGGCTGAGAAGAAAAGCTCTGCATCACACTACCACCTGCTTCCTGCCTTCCAAGGTGATGTGATGATGTGCTGCAACCATCTCGTGACTATGAGCAGGAGGCCACGAGAATCACAGAGATGCTGACTTAGGGCCTTGATGCCTTGGAACCAATGCTACTACTCACACCTAGATTTCTGTTAGAGAAAAATATTTTTATTTGTTTCATCTGTAGTTCATTGAGTTTTAATGGTTTATAGCTGAAAGCATATCTAACTGATAGAGAATTTGGGTCCTGGAAGTGGAATACTGCAAGAAACACACTTTTTGTTAGGTCAGAGTGGAGGTTGCGGACTCAACTGTCAGGCAGGAAAACCTTCGGTATAGCAAAATATTTAAGCAACCATTGGCCTGATCTGTCTTATAATGCAGACCACAGGTTGACTAAGGTTAGAGTGGCATGGGAAATGAAAGGAAAAATTCAGGATGTTCCTGTGTGTTGGGTTACTTTAATGGCTGTTAGCAAAAAAAGTCTTACTATGAGAGGCAAACTTAAATTAGATAGGTAATCTCTAATCAGAGAGGGAAGAAAGTATGACTGCTGAGAGAGATGCTTTCTAACTGTGACCTCCAGTCTAAATGAACAGAATTCCATACTTTGTAGGGTTGGAGAAGGTGTCTTTGATATCTCAAGTTAAAACAAGCAGAGGTGGGAAAGTGGCATCTTTAAGACTGATAAAACTGGAGATTTTTTAGCACAAAAACCTGATTGTGTGAGTTAAATACCGAGAGGATTTAGAAGAGCACAGGATCTAGCTGCAGAGAGACAAGGATTCTTAGCCTCAAAGACTGTCTAGACGAGATCTTTAGCTGTGGTTACTAATGCAAGGAATTGACCAGACACAAATAGACGGAATCTACTGAGTTTTTGAGAGGAACTTTATTGCTTAAAGATACTCCAAGCCTCACCAACAACTGCATGTAATTATTGAACCCCAAAGGCAATCTTTAGGTATCTGAATTTGTACGAACACGCAGAGGTTGCTAACATTTGAGAAATTTCTCTTGAATGCTCATTTCAGAAACAGGCATTAAAAATAGTGATTAAGGCATATCTTACTAGAGGGAAGAACCAGAGGCTATGGAAGAAAAATCAGGAGAGTTTCGTCAAGAATAGAACCAGGAATTGTCAGATTGACTAATCAAAGACTGTCTCCATTGAGAGGGCAGGCATTTCTCACTATGTCTTTCTAACAGGATGAAGTATATGCTAGCAAATATTAAAGATTAGTCTTTTCCAACAATTGTATATTAGATATGTTGGAAGCAGGAAACCTGATTTTTGGAGAAAATTTCCACACCTGAAAGAACTTATCTCTGGACCAAATGAAGATCGAACATTGTCTAGAGATACTAGATTTGGATGTGAATGTAGTAGTTAGAGGAATGTCATAGTTTTCCTTCCTTAGGGAGAAGGGTGAGTACACCTAAAAACTGCATGTGTAGGAAGAAGGATGTGTGTGGATGTCAGATTGCCAAAGGGCTGGACTGTGACAGACACTGTGAGCTGGCTACATAAAAGCACTACTTACCCAGCTTTCTTCTATATTAATGATCTTAGTCATCCACCTCCACACTCCCTGCTCCCCACCCCAGCACTTTTTGGACAGAATTCCCTTGATTTCAGGAACAGTGTACTTAGTCATAAAACCTGGTGTGGGCATGTGATCCAAATCTAACCAATAATACAAAAGAAGATGCCTTCTAGAAGTTTCTGAAGGTAAATGGTCCCACTTTTGACATGTTATTAAATTGCTAAACTTACAACAGCAATCACCTAAGTCTAAATTTGTTATGTGAGATGAAATAAATCCTTATTTATTTAAGTCACTATTTTTGTTTATTCTTATTTCTTGTAGGCAAATATTTGTTACAATTATAAATTTACATTTTTATCGTTATGTAAATCAGGGAGTTGCCAACTTATAGTGTGTGGGTCCAGTCCAGTCCACTGCCTGTTTTTGTAAACAGTTTTGATAGAATATAGCCATTCCCATTCATCTATATAGTTGATGGCTGCTTTCACACTACCGCAACAAATTGAGTAGTTGCAACAGAAACCACACAGCCTGCAGAACCTAAACAAATTCCATCTGACCCATTATAGAAAAATTTGTCAACTCCTGCTCTAAAGAGTCACATATAGAAATCAGTTTAAGTGGGATAAAATATCACTTATTTTAATAATATTTTAGTACAGTCTCTCCCAAACTTGCCAAGCATATGAATCAGCTGTAGCCTTTGTCATACTTACGTATTTCAAGATCCTGAACTAAGTCTACTGAATCAAAATATTCAGTGGCGAAATCTGGGAATCTGTATTATTAACAATTTCCCCACAAGAATCTTTTGACCAGGCAAGTTTGGAAAATGCTGTTATAGATTGGTGTCATGGGCAGCTGCTTATCTGGCCCGCCATTGAATTTATAACTAGCTCCTGCCTGTAATTCACTGAAAGAGTGCTGGTATGACCAGGAGACTGAATAAAGATTCTCTGAGATCACAGAGGCTTGCTTATGAAATGAAATACAGTGAATAGGAAGATTTTGATGTAGTAAAAGTTGCATCAGCTCTGGAAATGAGAAACCTGGGTTCAGGTTCTAAATCAGCCTCTAATTAATTATTTGATCTTGGGCAAGTTTCTCTCTAGAATCTAAGATTCTCAACTGTAAAAACCTCAGTAGGAGGGGATGTCTCCAAGTTGCCTTTTTAGATATATGAATGTCAGACTCAGAAAGTAGGAAGTGCCTAAGGAAGAAAGACAAATATAGTTTCTCTGTTTCTTGAAATTCTTGTCTTCTTGATCAGGGTTCCTCAATCCTGGTTGAACATTAGACTCACTATAGAGCTTTAAAAACACGAGTGCTGTAGGTCTTACCCAGAGAGTCTGATTTCATCAGCTGGGAGGAGAGCCTAGCCATTAAAATAAAAGCTTTCTAGATGATTCCATGTGTTCAGTCAGATGGAGAACCACCATCTAGACGATAATGGATTCTTTTTTTCTATTTCCTAGTCAAGGGTTATGTGTACATACTAGTTTCACCATTTGGGAAACACAGTAAGTAAGAAGAGAAAACAAGATCAGTAGTTCTCAAATACTGGTGAGTCAGGAAGGCTGCAAAAAATTATGAGGAGAGCCTGCTAAAAAATATAGCTCTGTAGGCTCCACCATTAGATTCTGCTATAGCAGCTCCAGGGCCAGGAAATCTATATATTTTTTAATTCCTCAGGTCCTCCTAATACACAACTGGTTTGGGAACCATCGGGCCCAGTGATCTCTGATGCTCCTTCCAACTTGTAGGATGTGAATTTCTGTGCTTAGTTATATAAGAGGTAAGTCACAATTTTAAGAATATTTTAAAAAGGCAATTGGTACTTCAAGATTAAGATATTATAAAAGGAATGTTATCAGCCAATAGGAATGGGCCTCAGTCAGGTGCTCGTTGATAAAAATTTGCTTACCTGTTTTACCCTCTCAGAAAGAGACATAATGATGTGCCCAAACAGTTTAATTATTTGCCCTCGGGAGTACTTGAAAAGGTTCTTCCTTTGGCCTCTTTATTTGCAACTGTAAGTTCTAGTTGAAAAGAACTAAAACGCTTCTCTCAAATGAGTTAGATGTAGTTTATCAAACTATGTATTATATACAGCAAATTGCAAATGAAATAAAGTATGGTCACAATCTGGTCTTGTATTTACTATTAATCCCTTTAAATTCTGGTGTTAATAATTCCATGCACTCATTCATTCTTTTGTTCATTTAGTCATTCACTCAGTAACGAATTTAAAGTTCTAACTATGAGCCAGGAACTGTTCTAGGCCCTGGGGATGGGGACACAGCAGCGAACATGAGTCTCCTTCCTTTCAAAGCTTACATTCTACTTGGGAAAGTTGGTAATAAATAACTAAAGTATTACATGATGTTAATTGTTAAGGAACATAAGACAATGTAAGGTGATAGAAAGTGGCAGGAGCTGGATGACAGTGTTATTTTTTATAGGTAATCAGGGAATGCTGCTCTGTTATGGTAATATGTTAGCAGAGACCTGAAGAAAGTTAGAGAAAAGTCATGGTGATATCTGGGGAAAGCGTATTATACAGAGGAAACAGCCAGTGCAAAAGTCCTGTGGCAGGAAGGTACTGGGTATGATCTAGGATCAGCAAGTGGCTACAGTGGCTTGCATGGAGTGAGTAAGGGTGGGATGTTGGAGATGGGTCAGAGAGTAGCAAGCCGTCATCATGGGGGCTTGACAGGCCAATTTTAAAGGCTTTGTATTTAACTCTGAGAATCAAGGGTGGATCCAGGATTTGTAGGGTTTGAAGCTTATAATCCTGAGGCTTTCTATAAGTAAAAGAATACAAAATTAGCTACGAACCTAATACTTATTTGGAATGAAAAAAATCATAATAATATCAGTTTTAAAAGATACTACACATACCACAAAATCCAAAAAAAAAACCCAAACCGTAATAATTTTACTAACTGTGACACCTCTCTGTATTACTTTTTTCTCCTTTTTTTTCTTTAAAGGTATAAACAAAGTTAGTTGCATTACTTTTTCCCTCTTCATTAGTTTACACTGAAATAACTGATTATTCATATTATTTTCTAACATCATTTTCTATAGGAAGAACTGAAGATAATTCAGTCTTTAGCTTGTTGGGACAAAATTTATCTTTTTATTGTTGATTTCATGGAAAAAACCTTCTTTAATTTTATAACTCATTACTGCTAATGCTATGTATGTTTTTTAGAATTGTCGTCAATTTGAGAAAACTTTTCTCAACTTTCTTTCTTTATATGACCATAAGATTTGTAAGAATTTTCTGTGTACTCGCTTCTGGCTGCATATATTTCAACCCCCTTTTCTCCTCTACTAGCCACATATTTCTGGTATGATGAAGACAAGTTCTTATTTTATAATCTCAGGCTGTGAACTTTAATGTCACAACATAGATTGGTACAGAGAATGGCAGAAGTATTCCTGGAAGCCATTCCAACACCAGGAAAATTTTTACACTGAAGTAACTGTGAACCACAATAATACATCCTACTAACCCAAACTAAATGCTTCTCCAATTCAACTTCTCCTTCCCTGGGCCCTAAAGTGTCTGTCTATTCTCACACCACTTGACTTAAAGAGAAATGTGACAGAGGGAAATAAGCAATAAAGAGCTTTGGTAAAAATATCTCATATTTGCAAATTTTAAAAAAAAATGACCACATGAGCACATTGCCAGAGCCCCTTCCAGGGCCTTGGAAGAGCCCTGTGCAATGAGGGGCCCTCAATCTGCAGATTTATTAGCTTCAAGAATGATCAACCTCTGGTGAAATGTGAAGTCACTGGAGGGTTTTGAGCAAAGTATTAACATGACCTAATTTCTGTTGTAAAAGGATAATTTTTTCTGGGGAGTAGAATATAGGGGAGCAAGCCTGGAAGCAGAGAGACCAGTCAGAGGCCTGAAGTTTAGGTTGCAAAAGAAAAGCAAAAACGCAGACATAACTCATTCTGGGTGTTCTAGGAAAGCTGACTCGATTACTCATTAAGCTATTGATTTCCTAACAATTCATGCCTGCCTGTGTCAGCTTTGTTTCCTTTCTTAGCTACTGTTGAGTCAGCAATTGTACAGCATTCTCTTGATCTTTTCTCTTCTCATTGTCTTTAAAGTTCAAGTTTTATCAACAATATTTTTGTTATTATAGCGATTTCTCTTCCTATTTGCTGCTGCCTAGATGCCTACAGTGCTGGGTGAATGATAGGCCTTTACCTACACTATTTCAGTTCACAGTATCATTGCTATCTGTGTCTGGGTTGAGAACTTCCCAGGAGAACTCTTTCCTATTATTTAGAAACCCTTTAGAACCTGGTAATTTATCACTTCATATTATTGTATATCCCTTTGCCTGATGAAGAACTATCCAACTCACATCTTCAAGGCCTTTAGAGTTTAATAATTTTATTACATTTTGGGGGAAGTTAACTTTATGTTGTGTTGCATTAGAACAGGGATTGGCAAACCTGTTTTATAAAGGGCCATCCAGAAAATATTTTAGACTTTGTGCACCATATGGTCTCTGTCAGAACTACTTAACAATACTATTATAGCAGCAAAGCAACTATAGACAATTACGCAAACAAATGAGAAAATGGCTGTATTCAATATACTTTTATTTACATAAACAGGCCTCAGGGCCGGATTTGGCCTGCAGGTTGCAGTTTGCTGACTCCTGCTTTAGCAATTTCCTCTAGCTGTTTCATGTTATGTGTCCCAAATCTTAATCTCACGTCACCCCATGAGTCTAGAGTCTCCGTCTTTAAAATGAGGACCCTAATATATGTCCTGTGTGCTACATAGCATTGTTTTAAGGGTCTAATGAGACATTAGTTATAGAAATCTGCTAAAATTTTAAAGTGGCATATGTCTGTATATTTCTTTCTCTTTCCTACCACCCTACAACACATTTCCCTGCCTCCCACTCCACCTAAAACACATGTATAAACATTCAATCACAGAGGAAAATTATGGCTTGTTATCTTATTCTTCTCCTGAGCTTTGTGGTGAATGCTGGCTTCCCCAAACATCACCAAACTACCTATAATGGCACAAAGCTGAGTTTGTTCTTACCATGGTAAGAGAGACCATAATGTAGACATAGTCTTAACAGAGCCTCAAAAGAGGGAAGGCAAAGTCAGGAAATTTATTGAAATTTTAGAGACTTAGAGACTCATCTAGATGAAAGTGGGTCTTTCAACGCAGGGCTTGGTTAGAGTTGGATATGGATTATGATACAACAGGTTAGGGTTAATGGACACAATGAGGTGAGAATTCTGACGAGGGGTTCAAAGAGTCTTGGGGTATACATTATCATTTAATGCTTTCTATTGAAAATTGATTGGTATTTCAGGAAGTTGCTGGAATAAAAAATAAATTCATTTTTAACTTTTATTTTTATGAGCAAATTTCCTGGAATAGTAAAATTACGTTTATGACCACTTTGAAGTAGTAAAGTCATGTTAATATAGTCAGTAAGCTGTGTGGATGTAGATGATTTTGATTTTGTCTTAAAAAGAATATTGGAGACATTCTGTGAGAAAAAGACAAGGAAACGTAGATAGGATTGCAGGTTTTACTTAGCAAAGAGCAGAGAATAACTAGCAGAAAAGAAGACAATGCTATAGAGAAGAGGGGAAGAAGGGGCCAGGATGTAAAGGGTGTGTCAGCCAAAGTTTAAGGAAAATTTTGAAATAGAAGAGAAACTTTGGGGGACTAGAAACTAGGATATAAGTTATGGCAAGAATGTCAAAAATCAGAAAAGAGAATATTAAACCTATCAAATATAAATTGTTTCCAATTAGTTGTTCTGGCTGCACAGTTTTATTTTCATGTGCAAATCTGTCTGAAGACTGAAAAATATGTGGGCCTGCTTTTGAGGAGGTTACTTTTTTATTAAAAGAATATGTACATTTTCTTAGCAGAAAATTTTAAATGTGTACATAAATAACCAGAAGAAAGAAAGATAACTCTTAATTGGAAGGTGAAATTCCAATGAATATTAGTAGTCAAAAGTCCAGAGAAATAAGAAAACTGACCTTCATTAAAAGTAAATAATAATTTCTTGGTGGGGGAAGAGTGGAGTGCAGACATGGGACAGTGACAGAAGAGAAGGGAGAGGATAAATTAAGAGCATGTTTGGAGGCTGTTGGCTGTTTTGTGGGAAATTGTCAAAGGCCATAGCATTTTTAGGAAGCAAAATATTGATCTTAAATCTTAATTTTTTTTAATTGCTGTGATATTGCAGAGTTTAGGCCAACTACAAAGTAGAGGCTATAGCACCCACGACTGTTCTCACTTCTGATACCAGCTAAAAGTTCAGGGGGTTCCCAAAACCATCCTCAGGTTTGATAATTTGCTAGAATGACTCACAGAACTCACTGAAAGCTATTCTACTCATAGTTATGGTTAATTACAAGGAAAGGATACAGATTAAATCAGCCAAGGGAAGAACACATATGTTGTTTTCAGCCCATGAAGGCAGAACACATCACTCTGCAGGCACTGATGTGTGACAGTACCCATGGAGAATTGCCAACTAGAGAAGCCCGTCTGAGCCTCAGTGACCAGAGTTATTACTGGGGCTCTATTTAGTAGACATGATTGATTGCATACGTATTTGATCTCAGTCTTCAGGTTGATTGTTACTGTGTTACCCAAAGGCCCCACTTTATGTCACATTGTTGATCTATTGCCAGCCCTTGTCCTAGGACTGTATGGTTGTGGTCACCCCCTACCCTAAATCCCATTGTTAAGACCATCCAGTATGACCTAAGGCCACCAGGCAAGCAAACACCCTCCCATCAGGAGGGCCCAGGGCATAGGCCAGATCTTTTCTTTGAGAAAAGCCAAATTCTTTGTTATACAGCTACAAATCCCTTTTATTACCCCTCCTTCAAGAATGACTTCTTCACCCATAGGAAGAAAAAATCATTCGCAATCCCATCAATTTGACTGAAACACTTTGAGATGGTTTGGATTTGTGACCCCACCCAAATCTCATGTCCAATTATAATCCCCATGTTGGAGGAGGGGCCTGGTGGGAGGTGACTGGATCATGAGGGTTGATTTTCCCCTTGCTGTTCTCATGATAGTGAGTGAGTTCTCATGAGATCTGGTTGTTTAAAAGTGTATAGCACCTCCCCCTTCCCTCTTTTCCTCCTGCTTCAGCCATGTAGGATGACCTTCTTCCCTTTCATCTTCCGCCATGATTGTAAGTTTCCTAAGGCCTCCCCAGCCATGCTTCCTGTACAGCCTGTGGAACTGTGAGCCAATTAAACCTCTTTTCTTTATAAATTACCCAGTCTCGAGTAGTTTTTTATAGCAATGCAGGATCAGACTAATACACACTTTAAATATTTTGGCATAGATTCTCCTAGATATATCTTAGGTAGTTTAGGTATAAAAATGTTAACTCACCTTTTTTTTATTGCTCTGCAACTTCTTGATAAAATGGATAGCTATTAACATGAGTCAGAAAACTAATCAGGAAAATACAATTGTCAAATGGGAGAGTTAGATGAGACCTTAGACTTCCTCTAGTCTTTTGGAAAGGTGAAGTGGTTTGTTCAAGACCAATGGAGTCAATGAGACAGAGCTGAATCAAAATTTCAGGTTCAGTGACTTTTCCCTTGCAACAAAGGGAGGCTCAAGAGACCTTGTTTTGGAACCAAAGGATGTTATTGAACCTTTTGAAAAGAGGGTTGCTTTGTTGCTAAATGGCAAGAAATCCCTAATGCCTTTTTGATTGATTTGATTTTGCCCCAGAATTCAGGATGTTTTCCAGATCCATATGTTAAAGTTTGTCAAGAAGACAGCTACTCAACTGCTTGCATATTTTTCTGATTAGCTGAGTTACATATGCTGCTGAAATAGTCAACTGGATTTCATGTTGTTGATAGAAGCAGCATGGTATCTAAAATTAAACACTATCTGTACCTCTCTAGCACTTTGAAAAATTTCCCCTTCCATTCGCTGCTTCCTTGTCCTTCTTAGAAAGCTATTAAATTTTATGTTTTTCAGATTCAAACCTGCAACGTAGTTGTCAGCTGCTTTCTTATTCCCCATCTCCAAAATTTCTAAACACTTAATTGACTTCTTTTTATGTGGGTGTGTGTCAGGGTTGGAGATTGTTAATTAATGGAAAATGGTTTAAAAAGGGGCCAGGACTTACTCTTCTGTCACACAAGCCTGTGAGTTGGGAGGGGGAATAAGTGGATGCACTCATTTTCATGAGTCAGAGCAACATTGTGGATAGACATAGTAGGTAAAAGATTGCTAGATCTCATCTCATCGGATGGAAATGACCTGCTGTTCCAAACCATTTCCACTCTATTGCCTAGATTTGCCTTAGCTATGACATGAGCAATGAGCAAATCATTTCAGTTAACTGGAGATCTGTTTTAAAAATGCAAAATGCGAGCATCCCTTAGGGGAATTTTTGTACCTTAGAGCACCCTCAGTTTGATTTTGTCTTTTGTATACTTAACTAAAGTCAGCTGCAGTGAAGAGATACAATTCTGATGAAATACACTTGGAACTTGATGTGGGGTCAGGCATAGGGTAGGACATCACAGGTATTCAGGAATGCTAGAGAAACTGGAGATCAAGGAGGATGGTTAGGGAAATGGAGAAGAGGGGGCCCTTCGTTTCTTCATTTAGTGTAGTTCTGAAGTGTGAGCTTAATGGAGCATCAAGATGGAGTATTTGCACAGGGGTCGACACATGTCTTTTCAACTACTAAGAGGAAAAATGTTGTAAATATTGGTAAAGTGATAGAAAAGGCCAAAGTGAGAGAAATCAGCTATGTACATTATGAAGTACAAGTTTTAATTTTATTGATTCTCTAAATGCATAGAAATAAATTTTAATCTAGAAATACAGAAAATACAGACAATTGAAGTCAGTGGTGGAAATTTTCAATGGGAAATTTTGGGGTGCTAGAAATTTAACTCATTGGGGTGTTGGTTACAGGAATGTGTGCATCGTCAGTAGTTACTGAAGTGGACCCTTAAGATACATGTTTTTCTCCATGGAAATTATTCCTAAATACAACTAGTTAACAGCAGCAACAATGACAAAGTGGTTGTGTCAGTCAGGATCTTGGCAGGAAACAGATATCCACTCAGTTGGGTAATTTGAAGAGTTTAATAAAAGGCCAATTTATGAAAGGGTCAGTAGGATGTAGCACCCCAGGACTGGAAACCTGAGTTTCCATTATAGAAGGGAGCAGTCACCAGAATGCAAAGACAGAGAACAATGCATGGAGAAGACCATTTGGCAGAAGCTGTAGGGATTCAGCCAGTACCTAATAACCCTATGGTGAGAGAACTGGAGGAATAAATACCCTAACCTCAGACTCTTCCCTCCTTCCTTCCTACCAATCTCCCCCTTAGATGAACCCAACTAGAAGCCTGAGAGCAAAGAGGCCCAAAGATGTAGTCTATACAGATCAGCTTGGCAGGGCACAGAGCAGGGTGGAGAAGGATGGAGAGGAGATTGGAGGGAGAATCAGAAGATATCCAGCAGAATGTTTTCCATTTTCCTGGAATCACTTCACTCCAAGTGTGTATGGTAATTCTCCCAAGTGTAAATAATATAAGTAAGACAAGGTTGTAGTATTTAAAACATTATACTGAAAGTTTGAGGATAACAGGGGTTTCCAATGAAGCAAAAGCAAATTTAAAGCCTCACATCAGCTATCACAGATCCATTAGCCATGCTTCATGCAGGGAGTTCCTCACTGCCTTCCTCTCTCTTCAGTCCCTAGTCATGTCGTGGTGAAAGGGCCAGTCTACCTTACCAGTGGTAATTTTCTTGACCTCTTTTCCCAAGTCCAAAATCTGACCCACTGAATGGATCCCCAGTCAACCCCCCAACAGAGAGGGATTCTTTCCTTTTTTTCCCCCCTGCCTCTTTTTTTTTTTTTTTTTTTTTTTTAACCTAGGATGATCAATAGTGGCAATATCCATTTCATTTGGGGAAACCACTATCTTCACTATAGGCAATGGTCTAGCCATAGTATATATAGCTCTTACCGGCTGTAGCCAGAGTAGTAGTGTCTTGAGGTCCAAATGAATTGGAGAATAAGGAGTCATGTCAAGGTTGAGAACATCCAGAAAGCCAAGCAAGACCAGGGCCTAGAAGAAGGGAACATGGGCCAGGACTGTTATGCTAAAGGTCTTTGGGTAGGTATCCAGGGGCCTCTCAAAAGTTCCACATTGGAAGATCTTGGATTGAATTCCACTTGCCAGCTATGTGGCTTCGGGCAAGTGACTTAATGACTGAGCTGTAATTTGTCTCTCTTCCCTTCCCTTCTTCCCTCCCCTCCCCTCCCCTCCCTTCTTCCCTCCCCTCCCCTACCCTTCCCTCCCTCCCTTCCCCTTCCCTCCCTCCCTTCCTTCCTTCTTTTTCTTTAAAAATAGGGATATGAAATGTACATGAAAACACTTTGTAAAACTGTGTGGTCCAAATGAACATAAGCTCTTCCTTTCTAGTGATTGTCCATCTTTTTCTGTTGTCACAACATTCACATGTATAATGCAATGTCATACAATAATTTCCAAGGGCAAAGCAAGGACTGGGGGTTTGGGAATATGTGCCTAGAGATATATTGTAAGTGGGAGCTTGGTTAGTTGAAAAAGCTTCTCATAGAGATTTTAATGAGGCTACTCACCACATCACCCTCGACTGGGTCATATGGAGTTGAGAGTTGCTTTGAGACAGAGGTTACAAACTTGTGTGGGTTGAAAGGTCCAGAAGATATGGCTTGTTTGGCTTTCATAGAATTGTCAAGTTGCTGAATTAGTTGTCAAAATTTTAAAATCAGGATATTTCACAGGTACAAAAACCTCATCATATTTCTGCCTTCTCTTGTAATACAGAATTTCTGGCAAAACCAAGTCTAGATTCTTCAATGCCAAAATTCTACTGGAGCTAAATAGTGGCTGTCTCTTTAGATGCAGCATGAATCCTCCAGCTGGTGTCACCTATTTGTGTCACGTGCCCTCTTGGTAATTGGGTTTGCCATCCTTGGCGTTCACTATCATGGAATTGTTGATACTGGAACTGAAGGGGACTTCAGACTGTCACAGGGCCCTGACTTTGCTTTTAGTCAGGTCAGGATTTAGTTTCTCTATTTAACAGCAAAAGCCTCCTGGCTTAAATGTTCTGCCTAACCTCACCCTGGTGGGGGCGAATGGGGACAAGCAGGCAATGGAAGAAATGGATCAGAATGAGGTCAGTTTTCTCCCAGTGAAGGGCTTTTCCCTACACTCATGCTTGTTCTCACCAGCAGATTATAATTTCTGAAGGCCCGTCAGTGGATCCATTGTGGGGAAAGGGAATCCTTAGATGAGAGAGGCTCCTGGAACCTCCCTGCAAGGTTCCACCAATGGTACACACACCAGTGTTCTCGTGGATGACCTTGAACCTGGACGCCCAGCCCTGGCCATCAAATGCCAGCCTCTCAGGAAGGACTGTGAGCTGGGAGCCGCCAGCATCCTTGACCCCCTGGCAGGGATCCCAGGCTGAAGAAACCCTCTGTGTTTTGTTGTGGGATGGGGAAGAAAGATAAGGCTGGGGAAGGAGGGAAGAAAAACAGGCACAGAGAGAATACCTTTTGTCTTTTCCTCCAGAAGTTGAGTTTTTGTGTGTCTGTGCCACATGTATGCAGTGAGATGTTCATTTTCTTTCTTGTTTTCCAGTTGTGGGATTGGTGTGTTGCCCTAATGCTGCTTGTTTTGGCTGCCAGAGGAAGTAGTGACAAAGGAAGTGGGAGAACAAACAATTTTGTAAGCAGCCAGCCTGAGAGGAACAATAAAGCAGAACTGCAGACAGGGTGTTGGGCTTGAGATTCTCTGAGACTGTTCGGCACCAGCATCCCTGAAGGTGGGGCCTCGGAGGAGGAGTGGGAACGTGGGGGGAATTTTAGAGCTAGAAGAGGTTGCAGTGATCACTCCAGAGAGATGTGTCGAGCTATGCTTTGCGACTGTGACCACAGGCTTTAGTTAGATGCCTTCTGTGGGCTCAGCTTCCCCACTGCTCCTCCTCTCCCATCCTCCCACTGTGTCATATACTGGGGCAATAGGCATTTTCCAATGAGGAGATAGTCTATACCAGGAAAATGTCTTTGTTTAGTGGGGGAGATTAAAAATAAGAAGAGGATACATGACTATGAAGAGGACCCCATAATGTGAACATTGCAGAAACATTTGGTTTTATCCTTGGTCATATCTTTAGGAATTTTAAAAACATAGTAGCACCCAAAGATTGTTAAAATTCCTAGTGATAGTTCAGTGGAATCTGAAAAGAATCCTATTTCACTTTACATTTTTCTCAAGACTAGCTAGGAGTGAAAGGAGACTTTGCATACATTCAAGGGATGGTGCCAAAGAGCTTGAGCTTGATTGAGAATGGTCACTGCACAGATAGTATCCTGGGGATGTGGTTGGAGAAGCCCTCTTTACCATAGATTTCTTAGAAATTTGGTCAAAACACGTCAGAGCTGGCTAAGGTGCAGTCCTTGCTCAAGGGGACAGAATGGCTTACCCTTTTACTTTTCACCAAAGGGCTATGAAAATGGATGAAGTTCCTAGTTTAGATGACTGCTGGGAGCCATGAAGCAGTGGGACCTTCACTTTAGCTTAACCGGCTCCCTGGACCTCTGGGAATGAATGTGCCTAAAATGGTGATTTTTTTTTTTTAAAAGGATATTCTGCAGCTAAGAAAAAGGCCTATCTTTTTCTCTGGTGAAACCTTAGGAAGTCACCCAGATATTAGGTAACAGCACTGAATGAAAAGGTGTATTGTTGTATTTGAAATCCCTAGATTGCTTCGAGGGATATAATGCACTTTTATTTTTTTCCTTCTTCCATTAAGTGATAAGGGATGGGAACAGAGCAGGCATCAACTAGAACACTAAAGAAGTTACAGGAAATACCACTGCCTTGTAAAACTGTAGCACGTCTGCAGCAGTTAAATGACTCAGATATGTAAAGCCTCTGGTTAGTTACTGTTTCTCAGGATAAAACCTTTCCATGTGGGTCTGGGCAGTAGGGTATATGGAAGTGCCAGGTAGGTTGGATGGAAAGGGAACTTATAAATGGGCATGTCAATCAATGTGTAAAATACATCTCTATATTAGTATCAGTTTAAACTTACCTGTAAACTGGTATTAGCAGGTGTCTTTGTCTGGCTAAGATTTCTGGCTCTATTAGCTCTCTAGATCCCTGCTGAACCTCACCTTAAAAAGCCGGTATGCTTTTGCTTAAAGGTATCTGGAGCTGTTGCCTGTTAAACTACACAGGAGAGGATAGCCTTAGTGCTGTCTGTTAAACTTTCATATTCTAAAACACAGAGTAATTTTGGAAATTATTGTTTTATCAAACCATACCAGTACCTATTTAATATTTGAATTAATGAGGGAAAAGGAAGAGATCTTCATCAAAAAATGTGGAAATGGATTCTGGCACATGTTATGGCAAAACTAAATTATTTTTGCTGGGCCCTTGGGAAAACCACTTGTCATCTATGTACAGTACCTGGTTTTTGCCTCTCCGTGTGTGTACTATGAAGAGATCTTACTGCAGCATAGATTTTCTGAGATGATCCTAATTTTGGATATTTATAGTTCTTACACATCATTTAAATGCCAGAGAAATGTGAATATTTCAATATTTTAGTATCTAAGCAATATGTTTTAGATTTAATTTTTCATGACAAAACTTGTGGGTCTTTTTTGTTTTTTAATAAAAAAAGATTTACTGAGATATAATTCACATGCCATAATAGTCGCCCATTAAAAATTGTTAGTATTTTCACAGAATTGTGCAACTATCACCACAATCTAAATTTGGAACATTTTATTATCCCATAAAGAAAGCTCTTACCCATTAGCATTGTTCCCCACTTTTCCCTTCCCACAGCCCTTGGCAATCCCTGTTCTACTTCCAGTCTGTAGATCTGCCTATTCTGGACATTTTGTATAAATGGAATCATGCAAGCTGTGGTCCTTTGTGACCGGCTTCTTTCTTTTAGCATAATGTACTTGAGGTTCATCCATGTTGTTGCATGTCTCAGCATTCCATTTCTTTTTATTCCTGTTTAATGTTCCATTGTATGGTTATACCACATTTTATTTCTCCATTCATCAGTTGACAAACATTTGGCTTGTTTCCACCTTTTGGCTATTATGAATAACACTGCTACGAACACTCACATACATGTTTTTGCACGGACATATATTTTTATTTCTCTAGGGAATGTACCTAAGAGTAAACTTACTGGGTCATATGGCGACTCCGTTTGCCTGCAGAAGAATGGGACTGTGATTCCTAGAGAATGCCTCCAAGACTTGCAGCCTGGGTGACCGCTTCAGTGTCTGTGGAGCCCTCATGGTCAAGACGCCATTGTGGAAGTTGTAGCAGGATGGACCTTAAGTATCCCCATTGTCCCAGCCTCCTGATGTTTACTTCTTTGTCATATCTCCTCCCTCTGACCTGGGTGGGGACTGTAACTTGCTTCTGACCAATTGAATATGAATGGGACGTCACTTTGTTGATTATGTTACATTACATAGGGCTCTGGTAGACTGGAGACTCTCCTTGTGCCTTGATGAAGTACACAGCTATGCTGGAGAAATCCATGTGGCAAGGAACTGCAGGTGGCCCCTGGAACCTGAGGACAGTCAGTGAAGAGCTGAGGCTCCAGTTATGTAGCTGCAAAGAGATGAATTCTGTCAACAACTGGGATGAACTTGGAAGTGGATTTTTCCCTAGTTGAACCTTTGATGAGAATGTGGCCCAGCTAATGCCTTGATTGCAGCCTTTGAAACTGAGCAGAGGACCAGCTAATTCGTGCCCAGACTTCTGACCCACGAAGACTGAGATAATAATATGTGGTGTTTGTGTAGCTAAGTTTGTGGCAATTTGTTATGCAACATTAAGAACAGTCGAGAATTTGGTTCCATTATATAATCTGGGCTGGATGCCACTGAGTTTACTTGTCAAGGCAAATATTCTGTTTACTTATCAGTATGATTATCACAAAAGATAAACTGCCATGGAAGTTCAAGTATGTGCTTGGTTGCTATAGAGTAATCTATACCTGTGGGGTATACTCTAGAATGAGAAAATAGGGATGGCAGAAGTAAGAAACAGAGTTCCACTCTGTCTGCTTGACTCATATAGGAGTCTCTACAAATCCTGTTCCAAAAAGAGTCACTAAAAGATCAGAACACAAGAGGAACGATAACTTATGTAATGAGAGCTACTATTTATTAGGGACTATGGGACTGAGAGGATATGCATGAAATTGAGGCCATGCCCTAATATAGCTTATGTTATACTGTAGTTATAATTTACTTAGCTCACTGTGAAGCTATAATCTTGAACTTAACATTCGTTTTCTCTTACACTTCTTTAGCCAAATAATAGCAAAACAAGCCCAGCCTGGTGAACACCACTTCTATTTTTGGAATTTACTTAGGATGATTCCATTTTTCTTAGTCATCCATATCTATATTTAACAGCCCTACACTCAGAATTTTAACTTATAGCTTATTTAAATCTATTAAATTAAATCTATTCTATTAAAACCTGCATTTTTTCCACCTGCCTCTAGACAGATGGAAACAGCTGATGATGTGAATCTCTTGACTGTCCTTGTCATATCATTTTGTCTTGTTACATTTAATTCCTGACTGACTTAAGTGAGGAGAGTAAGGTGGATCTTATCCTGTAGCAGAGGGATACATGTGGAATGTCCTCCACTTCCTTGGTGATCTGACTTTAATTTCAAGCACTGTAGAGATGACTCAGTGTGCAGTAACTAATATGAAAAGTCGTGCTGCTTATAACATACAGTGAGTAACTATTACCAGACTCACCTCAGATGACTTGGAAGTTTCCTAGTTGGGAGAATGAAGCAATTTAAAATTGATGGGAAATGAATGTCTGAAACCCAGTAGAGTAAAAGTTTCAAGCATCACTGAAATTTTCATCTTCCGAGGCCGGGTGTTGTGGCTTATGCCTGTAATCCCAGCACTTTGGGAGGCCGAGGTGGGCAGATCATGAGGTCAGGAGATCGAGACCATTCCTGGTTAACATGGTGTAACCCCATCTCTACTACAAATATAAAAAATTAGCCGGGCGTGGTGGTGGGTGCCTGTAGTCCCAGCTACTCGGGAGGCTGAGGCAGGAGAATGGTATGAACCCGGGAGGCAGAGGTTGCAGTGAGCCGAGATCGCAGCCACTGCACTCCAGCCTGGGCGACAAAGCGAGACTCCGTCTCAAAAAAAAAAAAAAAAGAAATTTTCATCTTCCATATCTCATACCAGTAGATACATAACAAAGCAAAATTTTGTTCTGCTGAGGATAGAATCAACTGTGGTTCCCCTTATATTTATTTATAGCAGTGCCATCGTCCCATCATAGGAAACAGAGATGAAATGGATGGAGTAATATTTTATGTGATGTACTTCATAGAAGAGTTTTGCTAGGAAACAAAGATTACTTGGACACGGTAGGAACAGACATTTCTATGAACAGGGTCTCATCACTTTTTTTCTATATCTATAAAAGAAAATGTATAATTACACTCTGATGGAGCAAATAGGATGGTGAGGAATGTTTATATTTACATAGTTGATTTCATTTACTTTAACAATTATTGTTAGTATTTTTTTTTTATTTTTTTTTTTTGAGACGGAGTCTCACTCTGTTGCCCAGGGTGGAGTGTGATGGCGTGATCTTGGCTCACTGCAACCTCTGCCTCCCGGGTTCAAGCGATTATTCTGCCTCAGCCTCCAGAGTAGCTGGGACTGCAGGCATGTGCCACCATGCCAGGCTAATTTTTGTATTTTTAGTAGAGATGGGGTTTCACCATATTTACCAGGCTGGTCTCGAACTTCTAACCTTGTGATCTGCCTGCCTTGGCCTCCCAACTTGCTGGAATTACAGGCGTGAGCCACCGTGCCTGGCCAACAATTACTTTTATTTACAGTTGTCAGTAAAATATTTTCACCTCTCTATGATGTGGGACATTGTGTGGTGATGTGGCCCTACTTCTCCATTCCATTGCCCACATCTCTAGTTCTGCAACAGAAGCCCCTGATTCTCTACTTATTGGTCTGCACTTACTCCTCTTGGCTATTAGTAGGAATTTTCTGGATGGCAAGTACTATCTTGGTTGCTCTTCCTATTGTACAGGTCCTTGGCCCCCTTAACTTGGGAATATCACTCTACTTACCCTTGGTTCTACAATCATAATTCCAAATGCTTCACAGAGCCCTTTCATAGAGGCAATATGTGCTTGTTAATTTGGACCCAAACAGAAATGAGCTAATTTTACATTACAGCTATCAATTGTACAATATTCTATAGGGCAAGGCTTTAAATAAGTAAGTGTAATGCATACATTGTCATTAGGATTAAACCAACATAGAGCTGATTCTAAGCATTTTGCTGTTTATTTCTTCCTCTTAAATATAGGCTGCACTAAGTCATTTTCATAGCATTAGCCCCACCTATTGCAGTTCAGTCTGTGCTGTTACTTGTTGTTGATGTGTTAAACACCACATTAACACCTCGCTGGTATTTCCACAAGTAACATCAATGACTGAGCTGATTTTCAGTCTAATTTACTTCTCAGACTTTGACTCTGTTCAGCACTATTTACCTTTTGAATTCCCCCTTTTTTAAGTGTCTCTGTTCAAATGCCTTTTAAATGAGAGGTATGTTAGGAGGTACATACCCCAGTTGTTCTTAGTTTTACTCAGAAGTGCTCATTCTTGCATTCCTCTAACAATCATGTCACCTCGTTTTGTGCCAACCACTGTGCTGGGTACCGAGAATACAAAGATGAATAAAACACTAGTCCCTGACCTGGAGGAGCTTCTAAAGATGGAGAGAGTCATGCAAGCACATAATTATACCATGATATAAGTCCTCTAGCAGGGATAGGAACACTGAATCAGCCTGCAGGAGTAAGAAAAGGTGGTGTTTTAGTTGGGTCTTGACGGATCCATGAGGATTTATCAGATTGTTTAGGTATGTATGAGGGAGTGGTGGCGGCAGAAATAATTTCTAGCCTGAGAAACAACATGAACGACAGTATGGAGGCATGAAAGGAAATGGCTGGTTTGAGAATAGTGAGAAGTTGGGTGTGACTGAAGTGTAGTGTGTAGAGTGTGTGTGTGTGTGTGTGTGTGTGTGTGTGAGAGAGAGAGAGACAAAAACAGAGAGAAAGACTCTGGGTGATGAGCTTGGAGTGGGAGAAGTTTGGAAAGAGAGAGAAGGATGTTGTAGGCTGGGTGTGGAATTCTGACTTGATTTTGTACCAATAGGGAGTAGTGGAAGTCCTAAAACAGAATATTTACATGATAAGAGATAGTACATGTAGCAGTGTATAGATGAGACTAGCATTGGAAAAGATGGAGCAGAGGGAGGCTCTATTAAAAGTCAGTTAAGGCTGCCTGCAGGAGACAGCTCCAAGAAATCCTCCACTAGCAGACCTGGGTATGAAGCTCTTGCAATTGAGCTGGAACTTAAACTAAGTCACTTGGAGGGGAATGCAGTGGAAGAGCTCCAGCTGAGAAACATTTCCAAGGTAGAATTGTCAAGATTTTGTGACTGGGTGATGGAGGGGACGTGAGGCTGACTCCAGTATTCTCACCTTGGGAGACCCATTTGGCTAGTGGCATTATTAATAAAAATTGAATACAGGAGAAGATAGAAGTTTAGCTGGGAGGGAGGAAGGGAAATAGGGTGGTACATCAAACATATCTGGTGTCTGATTCATATCCTTTTGGCATCCTCTCTGTTTTTGACCATGGCTGGGGCAAACCATTCTAGGGCAAACCATTCTAGGGCAGCTTCAATACACTTTGTGCGAGAGCATCTTGCCTCCTGTGAGTGCCCTGGTCTTCATTTCATGCCTTGGGGCTTTCTGAATACAAGCAAATAAACTTTGAGGGGGTTAACATTCCCAGTACAGTCATCAATCAGTAGTAGAAGGAACTAAAGGGTAAATGCTGCCACTTCCATCCTTTGGGTGGTCAATCTTAAGGCATTCTGTACCTTTGCAGAAACTCTGGCAGAATCAAGCTCTCTTGCCCACAGTGGAGCCTCCATAATACACTCTTATGTTGGCTTTTCTTCTTCCCTGTCTCAGCCTCTTCACTCATGCAGTTCTGCTCCCTAGAATCACCTCTCAAGTTAACTACTTTTGTGTAAGTTCTTATTTTAGGCTCTACTTTTCAAGCACCCTAAGCTAAGACAGGTGGGGAGGAAAAGATTGGTTTGGTTTTGGATATGTTAAAACTGCAGTGTCCAGGATCTCTGCTTATAGTTTAGGCATATATAAGCCTAAATGGCACTATATTTAGGCCTTGGTTAAATGGTACATACAGAGGCTGGCATCCTACATGTCTAAATATTAAAAAGTTATAAATCAAGCCAATACGTAGCTGAATAAAATGTTATATTCTCCCATGTACTTGCATATGTTTGGATGTAGAATTCTTGGGCTCCTCTGAGCTTCATGCAAGAATGCAGCTATGTGAAAATGCTCAGACCCATGACCCATCCTCCTTTCCTTTTCATCTCTGTCTCTATCATGCACTATGTATCCATACTCCAGTCTGCAAGCTCTATCCATACTCCCAACAAAGACCCACTCTCACACCTTGGGATGTGTACAAGGTGGTGCAGCTTGCCCTTAGGAGAATCAACCAAGGAAGAAGGACTGTGTAGGCTCTGGATGTGGATCCTGGGTACCTGGAACATGGTTTGGAAGTGGGGGCATGGGCTCTGGGTGGGCAGGTTCTTTTGTCCCATAAGATCCTCATTATGTAGGGAGGGTCACACCCAGAGGAGAGCCACATGGGGTCACTTTAAAGCATGGAGTCCAGGGGCCCCTTTTGGTTGTATTTAGGCATGGTGTGTCCATTGGGTATCCTGGTGGAGCTGTCTGGTAGGCAATTGGTAACACAGTTTTATGGCTTAAAGAAGTTGGAACTTCATATAAATATTTGGGAGTTGGTAGCATGTGGATTGTCATTGAATGATGGCTGTAACTGGGAAGATGAGTTGGAATGAATAGAGAAGGTCTAAGGACAGAGCTCTGGGGGTGGTTGGGGAGGTGGAGCCAGGGAAAGAGGCTAAGGAGCAACAGCCTCTGGGAGTAAGTTAAAATTCATCGTTTCGATATTTTAAAGGAATCCTATTTTTTATAAGTTAATCCATAATGCAGCACGATGAAGCTTATGCATTTTCTCCTCTGTGCTCACTCAATGTCCCAGGTATACAAATTCTTATTATATAGCTGCTCACAAGCAGTCTGAGACTTTGAGGACAGGGATTTATTTTAGGACTCTGGTGCTCAATCTCTTACCTGTTGCTGTGGCCTGAATGTGTCCCTTAAAATTAATATGTTGAAACTTAATTGGCAATGTGATATTAAGAGGTGGGGTCTTTAGGAGGTGATTATGTCATGAGGGTGGAGCTCTCCTGAATGTGATTAGTGACTTTATAAAAGAGCTGGAGGGAGCTAGACAGGCCCTTTTTGCCCTTCCATCTTTTCTGCCACACAGTGTTTGTCTTCTCTGGAATATGCAGCAACAAGGCACCATCTCAGAAACAGAACGCAACTTCCACCAGACACTGAATATGATGGTGCCTTGATCTTGAACTTTCAGACTTCAGAACTGTGAGAAATAAATTCTCATTCTTTATATTAATAAACTACTTTGTCTTGGGTATTTTGTTATATCAACAGAAAATGGACTAAGACATGGAGGGGGACCAGGTGTGGTGGCTCATGCCTGTAATCCCAGCACTTTGGAAGGCTGAGGAGGGTGGATCACTTGAGGTCAGGAGTTTGAGACCAGCCTGGCTAACATGGTGAAACCCTGTCTCTACTAAAAATACAAAAATTTGCTGGGCATGGTGGGGCACACCTGTAATCCCAGCTACTCAGGAGAAGTGCTTGGACCCAAGAGGCAGAGGTTGCAGTGAGCCAAGATTTCACCACTGCACTCCAGCCTGGGTGACAGAGCGAGACTCTCTCTCTAAAAACAAAAAACAAAACAAAACAAAACAAAAAAACCCAAACAAACCAAACCAAACCAACAAAGAAAAACAGACAAAAAAAAAATGGAGGGAGAAATATAGTGCCTTTTTGAAGCATGAATATGGTATTCAGAGAAAGGCTATTTTGTGATTAAGGAGGAAATATCTTAGATCTCAAATTCTCATATGTTTCTAGGTGTCCATTTCTTTAACTGTAACATGAGATAAATTATATCAGCATTAGTTTATTTTGAGAATCAAGTAAAATAACAGAATAGCACTTAGACAAAATTAAATGTTCTATACAAATGTAATGAGAAAGGCTGGTTCTAACGCTTTAATTTTGAAGAATTTTAAATAGAAGCTCAGTGCTCTGGAAGGGCTTTCATAATCATCTTATCTGACTCATTTTCCACCTAAGGAAAGAGAGAGTGCAGAAGGGTAAGAGACCAAATTTCGGAGGCCGAGGCGGGTGGATCACGAGGTCAGGAAATCGAGACCATCCTGGCTAACACGGTGAAACCCTGTCTCTACTGAAAATACAAAAAAATTAGCCGGGCGAGGTGGCTGGCGCCTGTAGTCCCAGCTACTCGGGAGGCTGAGGCAGGAGAATGGCGTGAACCCGGGAGGTGGAGCTTGCAGTGAGCCAACATGGCGCCACTGCACTCCAGCCTGGGCGACAAGGCGAGACTCCGTCTCAAAAAAAAAAAAAAAAAAAGAGACCAAATTTCATGACAAAGATCAGCCAACACAGTCTACTTCCACTATTACAGCTCTTTAAACATACCACTGAGTGTCCTCAGAGAGAGAAAAGAAAAAGATCCACAAAGCATACAAAATGTGTGGCAAAATAGTCCATTAGGGAAGTAAGACAGAATGAGTTTTGTGATGATGTGGTTTCCTAACAGTGCTACCCTTGGTTTGCTGAGCAGTCCTCTGAGAATTATGGACATGGCCTCTGCTGTAGCCTGTCTCTGAATGAATTAATGCCTGGCTACCCACTGGGACACTCATGGGAACATCGAGGCATTGACCCCACTGGATTTTATGTCAGTGGAAAAGACAGAAATTAACAAATAATTATAAATGACCAACTGCATGTAATTAAGTATATGATTAAGTATTAATAACTAAGTGAAGAACTACTCTAGATTCTGAACTTTATGAGGGCAGAATAATGCCTGTTTTGCCCCTTTACGTAGCATAGCATTTGCCACACATTTGGCATTCCACAGCTAGTTACTGAATGATATAATAGATGTAAAAAATGCCAGGAAGGAAAAAATGCCTGCTGTCCTTAAAGTAGGTGAAAGATGACCTGATCTGGTGGGGCAGATGGGGAAATCTACTGAGGAAATGCTGTTTATGCTGATACATAAAAGCAATTGTCTGCTGGGAGCGGTGGCTCATGCCTGTAATCCCAGCACTTTGGGAGGCCAAGGCAGGCAGATCACCTGAGGTCGGGAGTTTGAGACCAGCCTAACCAACATGGAGAAAACCTGTCTCTACTAAAAATACAAAATTAGCCAGGCGTGGTGGTGCATGCCTGTAATCCCAGCTACTCGGGAAGCTGAGGCAGGAGAATCGCTTGAACCTGGGAATCAGAGGTTGCGGTGAGCCGAGATCATACCATTGCACTCCAGCCTGGGCGACGAAAGCAAAATTCCATCTAAAAAAAAAAAAAAGCAATTGTCCTGGTGAAGAAAGGCAAAGAAACAGCATGTGAGAAGGGCCCCAGGCCAGAGGGGGCCTGGCATAGTTCTGGAATTGAGAAAAGCCTCACAAGGGGCAGTGGGCTATGGCAGGGCTAGAATGCTATTTATTGCTGGATAATAAATTACTCTAGAGCTCAGTGGCTTAAGACAGTAATCATTTATTATCTCATCATTTCTGGAGTCAGCTATTCTGGAGTGGCTTAGCTGGTGATTTTTGGCTCAAGGTCTCTCATGGGGTTGCAACCAAAATATTGGTTGGGGCTGTAGTAATTTGAAGGATTGACTGGGGTTGGAGGATCTGCTTCCACAAAGGTGCCGGTGTATGACTGTTGGCCGGAGGCTTCAGTTCTTCACTGCTGTAGAGACTTTGCTTCCTCACCACATGGGTCTCTCCATAGGGTTGCTCATGACATGGCAGCTAACTTCCTGTAGAGTAAGCAATCCTCAAGAGAGAGAGGCAGAAGACTTGATGGCTTTTATGACCTGAGTGCAGGAGTTGTATGTTGTCACTTCTACTATGTGCTGTTGGTCACACAGACTAATATTGATACAATGCGGGAGGGACAAAGATGTGAAGACCAGGAGGCTGGGGTCATTGGGGGCCATCTTGGAGGCTGGTTACCACAAGTGGTAATGGAACAGGGACCCAGCGGAATTGAGTTTTTAGGTCATATTAAGGGATTTGGACTTTATTCTATGATTAGGGAGAAGACATGGAAGGATTTTAAACAGAGTCCATCCACAGGACTGGAGATTAGGCAGGATTACTCTCCCTGAAGGGTGCAAGGGAAAGCAGAAAGATGGAGGCATGACTTCATTTCTAAAGCCTGGGTGTTTATATGCTAATTCAGCCAATATTTATGGTGGAGCTTTGATATGCCAGGATATGTATTGGATGTGAGGATGCAGAGGTGATGAGATCTACTTACACCTTGACCTTCTGGTGCTTACTGTCCAAGGGCAGACAAAGGTAAGTAAGTGGGCAATTATACCTCAGCAAGATTTCCATCACAGGGTAAAGTACAGGTTTCTATGAGGTCATTTCGAAAGGCATATAACTCATTTTGGGCAATCAAAGGGTTCCTTGAGGAGGTGCCATGTAAACAGGGACCCAAAGGATGAGTGGGCAACAGGTTATGTTCTCGGCATGAACATAGGCCAAGAAGTGAGAAAGAGAAAGGCTTGTTTGGGGGAACTGCAAGTAGTTCAACATTTCTGGAGTGCAGATTGCAGGTAGGTGTGAGTGGAAGGGTGAGCAGTACCAAGTCAGTGTGGTTATCAGGGTCACGTCAGGTCGAGCCCTTTATTCTTGCTAAGGAGTTTGAAGTTTATTTGGGGAGCAGGAGGAAGTTACTAAAGGACTTTAAGAAGAGGGTGGATCATTTAGAATGATGATTACTCTGGCTGCAGAGAATAATTTGAGAGCAGCAAACCTGGAGGCTGGCAGAGGAATTTAGAGGCTGTGATAATAAGACAGCTGTGAACTGATAATGGCTCAAACTGTGGTTAATGAGAATTGGATTCAAGTGAGGTTTAGGAATTAAACTGAATAGAATCTGGTGATGATTCTGTTGGGCGATGAAGAAGTCTAGGGTAATGCCTAGGATCATGGCTTAATCTTCTTGAGTTCTGGATGGTGACCAGAACTGACACAAAATTTGTTAGACAGGGATAGAACGATCAGAATTGAGGTACAAGGTTTGGGATGAGTCTGTCTGATCCAGTTACTGGGAATCGCCCACAGGGCTAGGAGACAATCAATATGGTGGATTTTGCTTTTAGTCTCCTGAAAGTTATGTCACAGATGCTGGAAAGAAGGGAGCCTATAAATGTAAAAGACTCCTTACCATGGAGGCTGGAGAACAGGAAATTAAACATTTCCTCAGACTTATGAATATTTTTTCTACCCGTGATAAGCCACAGCCTAGAAGGCAACAGAATGAATCTTATGAGGTTTTATATGGTGGTAAAGGAAGAGTGTATTATCAGCTGCGATTTCTTACCATAACCATTGTGCAACAGCAAGTTTGCTGCCAAAAAACCCCACTGCATCCTATTTAATGGTATGAAAGCCTCCTGTTTATAAGTGCGTGCCAGTTGTCCTATACTTTTTCTCTTCAAGTTTCTCAGTTCTGAGAGAGTTGAATTAACAACATAATCCACTTTAAAATACTAATTTTGGCTGGGCATGGTGGCGCACACCTGTAATCCCAGTACTTTGGGAAACCAAGGCAGGTGGATCACTTGAGCCCAGGAGTTCGAGGCAACATAGTGAGACCCTGCTTCTACAAAATTTAAAAAAATTAGCCAAGGATGGTAGTGCATGCCTGTGGTCCCAGCTATTCTGGAGCCTGAAGTGGGAGAATTGCTTGAGCCCAGAGGTTGAGGTTGCAGTGAGCCATGTTTGTGCCACTGCATTTCAGCCTGAAAGACACAGAGACCCTGTCTCAAGATAAGTAAAATAAACTACTGATTTTGTGGATTATGCTTCTCAGGATAATGAACTATCAGCAGTCAAACACAGTGTGTGTGTGTGTGTGTGTGTGTGTGTGTGTGTGTGTGGTGTATTCATGCACACATGTTTGTGTGAACATGTGCACATGTGTATGTGTGCCTGTATTTGTGAAAGTGTATGCATATGTGTGTGTGTGTAGACTGTATACTTAATAGCAGCCCTAAATGACACCCAACCGGCACTGGGGGTCAAGAGTTAAAATTATGTTAAACACAGAGAGCCAAATAACTTCCCATATGCCTCTTTTTACTCTGCACTTTCTCCCAGATCATCACTACTCCCACTGGCCTTTTTATACACCCAAGCTAGTCTGATTCATCTGCTTCTCTTTCCTCCTTGCCTCCTACAGAAACTGCTAAAATTATTTTCTATTGAGTTATAACAGCATTTCTCTAGAATCCCAAGCTCCACCTTTAGGTTCCATTGAGTATAGACTCAAAGTTGGGTCTTCATTTTAGATGATTTTTTCTGACTTTCTTGTTTTACTTTTTTGTTTGTTTCAATGAGGTCATTTTTGGTCCTTTCCGTGGTCTCAAGGAAGTAGTTTTTAGAGTCCAGCAGGGCTCACTATTTTGCATCAAGTGCACTGGAGATCCTTTGCAGGCGCACAAGGTGTTACCTTGAGCTGCTTGCTACCCTGTCCTCTGCCCACTACCTTCTACCATTGCTGCTTTTCAGACACTATCTGCCCTTGATTGTTAATGCTAGACTCCATGTCCTTTTGGAGGAAGCCCTTTGTGCAATTACAATTATCTTGACTATTTTTTTTTCTTTCAAAACTCACCCTGGAAACAGACCCTGTGCTACACTCTTTCAATATTTGTGTTTGAGACATTTCATGGAGAAATTAATCTGTGAGCAAAAAAGCGAGTTGGCACAGGTAGATGCATTTGCTGAGAATGATTGAATGGAACATCAGCACCAACTGTGACAGTCACCTAAGGCAGACTCTTGTCTCAGGGGCAACTGCCATATAATGAGCCTTGAGATCGGCTGAATTAATGTGGAGCTAGTAACTTACATCTGCACTCTTGAGGTCACTTGCACAGTCTGTTTCCTATGAAACTGGTCACTTGAGCCATCTTTAACAAAGACACAGACAAAACCAATTCTGTTAAACACCACATGGTCATAATCACCACCAATCTCAAATATATTTTACGTTGTCTATATGATCATGTTTTATTCTCAGGTTACTGATGAAGAAAGTGAAAACAGGGGGCTAAGTGACTTCATCTATTTACTACTATGTTATAATAAGCAGCTGAGCTAGGACAAACCAATTTTCTTAATTTGCGGTTTCATATTGTGTCCTCTTAAAACACTCCAAATCTAAAATTTCTCTTTCTTCAACAACACATGTATATTGAGTACCTATTATATGCAAGACACCATGGGTATTAGTCTGTTTTCATGCTGCTAATAAAGACATACCCAAGATTGGGTAATTTATAAAGAAAAAGACGCTTAATATACTTACAGTTCCACATGTCTGGGGAGGCCTTACAATCATGGTGGAAGGTGAGGAAGAGCAAAGGCACGTCTTACATGGCAGTAGGCAGGAGAAAAATGAAAACCAAGCAAAGAGGGAAACCCCTTGCAAAACCATCAGATCTGGTGAGAACTCACTCACTATCATGCCAATAGTATGGAGGAAACTGTTCCCATGATTCAATTATTTCCACCTGCTACTGCCCTTGACCATGGGGATTATTAAAATTCAAGGTGAGATTTGGGTGGGGAGACAGAGCCAAACCATATCATTCTGCCCCTGGCCCCACCCAAATCTCATGTCCTCACATTTCAAAACACAATCATGCCCTTCCAACAGTCCCCCAAAGTATTAACTCATTCCAGCATTAACCCAAAAGCCCACAGTCCAAAGTCTCATCTGAGATAAAGCATGTCTCTTCCACCTATGAGCTTGTAAAGTCAAAAGCAAGCTAGTTACTTCCCAGATACAATGGCAGTACAGGTATTGGGTAAATACAGCCATTCCAAATGGGAGAAATTGGCCTAAACAAAGGGGTTACAGGGCCCATGCAAGTCCCAAATCCAGTGGGGCAGTCAAATTTTAAAACTCCAAAATGATCTCCTTTGACTCCAGGTCTCACATCCAGGTCATGCTGATGCAAGAGGTGGGCTCCCATGGTCTTGGGCAGCTCCACCCCTGTGGTTTTGCAGGGTATAGCCTCCCTCCTGGCTGCTTTCCTGGGCTGGAATTGAGTGTCTGCCGTTTTTCCAGGCAAATGGTGCAAGCTGTCGGTGGATCTACCATTCTGGGGTCTGGAGGACAGTGGCCCTCTTCTCACAGCTCCACTAGGCAGTGCCCCAGGAGGGACTCTGTGTGGGGGATCTGACCCCACATTTCCCTTCCATGCTGCCCTAGTAGAGGTTCTCCATGAACTCCCCACCCCTGCAGCAAACTTCTGCCTGGGCATCCAGGTGTTTCTATACATCTTCTAAAATCTAGGCGGAGGTTCCCAAACCCCAGTTCTTGACTTCTGTGCACCTGTAGGCTCAACACCACGTGGAAGCTGTCAAGGCTTGGGGCTTCCACCCTCTGAAGCCACAGTCCGAGCTCTATGTTGGCCCCTTTCAGCCATGGCTGGAGCAGCTGGGATGCAGGGCAACAAGTCCCTAGGCTGCACACAGCATGGAGACCCTGGGCCTGGCCCATGAAACCATTTTCTCTCAGGCCTCCAGGCCTGTGATGGCAGGGGCTGTTATGAAGACCTCTGACATGCCCTGGAGACATTTTCCCCATTGTCTTGGGGATGAACATTTGGCTCCTCATTGCTTATGCAAATTTATGAAGCCAGCTTGAATTTCTCCTCAGAAATGAAGTTTTCTTTTCTATCACATTGTCAGGCTGCAATTTTTCCAAACTTTCATGCTCTGCTTCCCTTATAAAACCGAATGCCTTTAACAGCACCCAAGTCACATCTGAAATGCTTTGCTGCTTAGAAATTTCTTCTGCCAGATACCCTAAATCATCTCTCTCAAGTTCAAAGTTCCACAGATCTCTAGGGCAGGGGCAAAGTGCTGCCAGTCTCTTTGCTAAATCGTGACAAGAATCACCTTTGCATCCAGTCCCCAAAAAGTTCCTCATTTCCATTTGAGACCACCTCAGCCTGGACCTTATTGTCCATATCACTTTCAGGTTTTTGGTCAAAGCCATTCAACAAATCTCTAGGAAGTTCCAAACTTCCCCACGTTTTCCTTTCTTCTTCTAAGCCCTCAAAACTGTTCCAACCTCTGCCTGTCATCCAGTTTCAAAGTCTCTTCCACATTTTTGGGTATCTTTTCAGCAATACCCCACTCCACTGGTACCATTTTACTGTATTAGTCCATTTTCATGCTGCTGATAAAGACATACCCAAGACTGGGAAGAAAAAGAGGTTCAATTGGACTTACATTTCCACAAGGCTGGGGAGGCCTCAGAATCATGGTGGGAGGTGAAAGGCACTTCTTACATGGCAGCGGCAAGAGAAAATGAGAAAGATGCAAAAGCAGAAACCCCTGATAAAAGCATCAGATCTTGTGAGACTTACTCACTACCCTGAGAACAGTATGGGGGAACCACCCCCATGATTCAAATTGTTTCCCACTGGGTCCCTCCCACAACATGTGGAAATTATGGGAATATAATTAAAGATGAGATTGGGATGGGGACATGTGGAAATTATGGGAGTACAGTGAGATTGGGGTGGGGACACAGAGTCAAACCTTATCAGGGCCCTAACCTAAGACTGAGAGATTAGGAAAAACTTCCTGAAGTAACTTGTGATTGAACTAAATCTTTCAAAAAAACATGTATTTTATCTGATTTTAAAAAATACATATTTTAAATATTAAACTGTTGCCAGGATGATAGAGTAGTTGTATTTTTCCCTATTCCTCCTGCTAAGTAAAATTTAGAACTCTAGATAACATATAAACATAAAAATATCTTGAAAGATGGAGAGAAGAAGGCAGACTATGAATTTAAGGAATGATATGGTGGTGAGGTCCCAGAGTTGTCTTTGTGTACCTTTTTGGAGCTAAAGAAGCCATTGACTTGAAAGCACCAATGGGCACTGATGAAAAAGACCCCCAAAAAGGTTACTCTGTCTAGCCAAAAGACCATGAAAGGGGTAATCTATTATAATAAGAGAGAAAACATCTAGACAATACATTTTCTGCTTCCACCAAACACCACATTTTCTGCTTCCACACACACACACACACACACACACACACACACACACACCCAAAAGCTGTGGCCCTACCTCCACTTCCACCAGAAAAGTCCAAGAAGGGAACCACCTAAATTTACACCCTTGCCAGGTTATAATGAGGCACCCTGCCTAAGTCTGTTCAGGTGGCCATAACAAACTATCACAAACTATGTGGCTTATGAACAACAGACATTTATTTCTTACAGTTTGTAAGGCTGGGAAGTCCAAGATCAAGGTGCCAGTAGGTTCAGTGTCTGGTGAAGGTCAACTTCCTGTTTCATAGCTGGCTTTACCTGGCAGGCCTCATGAAGAAAAGCTGTCCTTCCCATACTAGGCTTGGTGCACAGCCTGTGTGTTGCAGTGTCTGAAGGGGGTTGCATTCAATAACTCAGGGCCCCTGGCCGGTCATGTTCTTTCACATATTCACATTCCTAGTCCAGGTGCCTTCATTCTTAGGTCTCTCTATGTGAGGCCTTCGGCTGAGGTGCTTTTCAGGCACCTCTGATGAGATCTCCTTAAGGGGGAAAGAGGGGAAACATTGAAGACATTTTTCCCCACTCTGACTCAATAACTAGTACTCTTCCCTTAGCCTTTGCCTTCCCTCTGGCCTCAGGATCCATAAATCTGCTGAAATCTTTTGTTTGGGGCTTCCTGAGCAGTGAAACAACCCCCACATCTATGCTGATTCACCTGATCCTCCACCAGGGTACAATTCAATGGGGGAAAATGGAACAGGGTGAGTCAACATTTTCTCTGCTTTTCATCTCTTGCTTATACCATCACAGTGAGTGATTACAGGCTCAACTCTTGTTTTTTGCATGTTACTTTAATTAGCTACTCCAACACCTGACAGTTCTGCTCTCTCTTCTAACTCAGCTGAACTCTTGACACATCCAGCACTGAGTTGACTGCCATGATGGAGGACATGAGAACAGGTACGACAGCACCAGTCCTTTCTTCTCATCCCTTTTCCTCTTCCTGGAGAAGCTCAGTGGCAGCATGGTGTGTGGCAGTAGAAGGAGTGGAAAGGCAAGAAAGAGGAAAATTAAAACCAGAGACCATTGTCCCTTCTCTCCAGCTGATCAGGCCCAAGCTTGGAAAGCAGAAAAGCTGTACATTAGGATGTGAGATTAAAGTTTTGATTTTGATGAGATTGTGGTGTTTAATATCTGAAAATTGACACACTCTTTCCACAGGAGTTCCCATGTCCTAATGTCTGAAAATGACTGGAAAAGCTCTGAGATCTTTCTGGAGTAGAATACAGAATGAATGGTGATCTGGCAGAACCACTTTGAAGAGTGGTAACATGAGAGAACAGAGCTATTTCACTATTTTATATTACCTAGTCCTTTAAACATACTAAATCCTTTTCTGTAAGTTATGTTCTTGGTTTACTTTTACTTTTAAAGATAAACCCATGTGATAGTTTACTTGTGTATGGTGTGAGGTAGAGATCAATCTTTTCTCTCCTTCATCCGCCAAATGCTTTGCCAATTGTCACCTTGCATTCTCATATGTAGTAAATTAACACAAACTCTTTGCTACTCCTCGCATTGAGAGATGGGACCTAATTCCTCTCCACTTAAATCGGATTGGCCATAGTGGTCTGCTTGACCATTGAAAAGTGTCAGAAATGACTGAGGCTAGGTCATAAAATGCCTGCAACTTCATCCCAGTCCTCTTAGAATGTTTACCTTTAAAACATTCTTGGATCTCTGATCAGCATGTAAGAGGTCAAACTACTCTGAGGTTGCTATGCTAAAAAGATCATATAAGAAAACATATTGAGAGGTCTGAAGACTAACAAAGAGAGAGATGTCTGGCCAGCTCTACCTGTTAGAGCCCCCAGGGCTCATATGGAGCAGAGACTAGTCATCCCTGCTAAGATTGCAGATTCAGGAGTGAAATATTCTTGTATTTTAAGCTACTATGTTGTGAGGTGGTTTATCACTAACTGACAATATATATGTCTGCTTCTGGACTCTATTTTGTATCATGATCAATTTGTCTATTTTTGTTACTGTGCCACACTGCTTCGATTACTGTTGTAAAGCTTGAGATGTAAAAATTTTGTTTCCCAAATTTTTCTTATTCTTTTTGCACATTACATTTCCAGATGATCTTTAGACTCAAGTTTCAAAGAGCATCAACTAAAGCCACTGGGATTTTTATTGGGATTGCATGGAACTTATACAGTAATTTAAAATGAATTGGTTATTTTATACAATTGAGTGTTTTCAAGAGGAAATAGAATAATTATATTATTCAAATCTATTTGTATCTAATATAGTTTCATACTTTCTTTATATTGATTTTATATATTATTTGTTGTTTATTTCTAAAATATCATAGTTATTTTATTAAAGATTTTAAAAGGGCAGTTTTACATTTACAACAAAATTGAGAGGAAGGTATAGAGATTTCCCATATACCCCTGCCTCCACATATGCATAACCTCCCCCATTATCAACATCTCCCACCAAAGTGGTACATTTGTTACAATTGATGAACTACATTGACACATCATTATCACCCAAACCCCATAAAACTATGGATTTACATTAGGGTTCACTCTTGGTGTTGTACATTCTGTGGGTCTGGACAAATGTATAATGACATGTAGCCACCACTATAGTATCATATAGAGTATTTTCAGTGCCCTAAAAATCCTCTGTGCTCTGCCTAGTCCTCTCTTCTCCCCGTCAAACCCCTGGCAACTACTGAGATTTTTTTAACTTTTCCATAGTTTTATATTTTCCAGAATGTCATGTAGTTGGAATAATATCATATATAGCCTTTTCAAATTGGCTCCTTTCACTTAGTGATATACATTTAGGTTTCCTCCATGTCTTTTCTTGGCTTGCATTTCTTCTTTGCACTGAATAATATTCCACTGTCTGGATGTGCCAGAGTTTATCCATTTACCTACTGAAAGCCATCTTGGTTGCTTCCAAATTTTGGTAATTAAAAATAAATTCGTGTGCAGGTTTTTGTGTGGACATCGTTTTCAGCTCCTTTGGGTAAATACTAAGAAATACGACTGCTGAATGGTATGATAAGCGTATGATTAGTTTTGTAAGAAACTGGCCGGGTGTGATGGCTCACGCCTGTAATCCCAGCACTTTGGGAGGCCAACACGGGTAGATCATGAGGTCAGGAGATCGAGACCATCCTGGCCAACATGGTGAAACCCTATCTCTACTAAAAATACAAAAAAATTAGCTGGACTTGGTGGCGCTTGCCTGTAGTCCCAGCTACTCAGGAGGCTGAGGCAGGAGAATTGCTTGAACCCAGGAGGTGGAGGTTGCAGTGAGCTGAGATCGGGCCGCTGCACTCCAGCCTGGTGACAGGGTGAGACTCCATCTCAAAAAAAAAAAAAAAAGAAACTGTCGAACTACCTTCCAAAGATGTTATAGTTTTTTGCTACATTGAATTAAAAAAATTAAAAAGTTAATATTGTATATTTTAATTGAGTAATCTGTAATAAAACACGACTGATTTTTAAATTTTATCTTTTTAGATTTTTATATTGATAAGCATTTGGATATTTCAAGTGGTTCTTGTGGGGAACACTGCTATTGTCAATCAAAACCTAGTCTCCCTTTCCTTCTGGACAAATAGCTAAAACTTATTACTAAACACCCTGACTGTTAGCTCTGGCCATGTGACCAAGTCCAATAATAGATTATGAATACAAGCAATGGGGGTCACTTCTAAAAAAATCCCCCCACATGCACCCTTCTATGCATGTGATATTAAGTCCCCAGGGAATAGTGGAGCCACAAGGTGGAAATATGCTGAGTTTCTGAGTTACATCATGGAGAGCTGCACGCAGACCTGGAGCACTTTATCTAAATGAAAATAAGCTTCTTTTTAAGCAACTGGAAACTTAGTGCTCATTTGTTATAGTGGTTTAGCCTACCTTAATTAATGCTTTGGATTTTCTAGGAAGGATGATCATATCATCTGCAAACAGACATATTTTCCATTTATTATGATTTCTAAAACAAAGCTGAGTCAGGGATCTTAGTCTGTCCTTATTTTAATAGTAATGTCCCATTAAAAAGTGCTGTACTGGTAACTGCTTAGTTGCTTTGGGTTTCTGACAAGTAGGAAGTATCCATTGTTTTTTGTTTACTAATACATTTTTAAATACCCGGAATGCAAATTTGTCCAACACATTTTTGTTATCCACCTAAATAACCATGCATTTTGTATTTTTTAATCTAGTAAACAACATGAATACATTAACAGATTTCCTATTGCTGATCCATCCACAGTTTCCTGAAACCAACCTTACTAAATTAAACCAACAAAGTTTACCTAAAATTTTATTTCTCTTAAACCAAAAAGCAATACTATGATTATTTTTGTTTCTTCAGAATTTACTAGTTAACTTATTTTTATTTATTTATTTTTATTTAAAATTTCCCCCAGCTTTATTGAGGTATAATTGACAAATAAAATTATATATATTTAAGATGTTTAATGTGATGCTTTGATACACATATAAATTGTGCAATGATTACCATAATTAAGCTAATTAGCATATTCATCACCAAATTATTTTGAATTTGCTTGGCTTATTACGTATCCATTGCTATCTTTTGCAAGTCCAGGTGTCTGTAGTGGTCTCAATCACTGCCCTTTTTCCCACCTTACCTCTTATCTCCCCTTGGGTGGTACCAAGTGCTTCTGAGTTGCAGATAACTTCAGCCGGCTTGCTTCTTTTCAGGACTGGCTTCTATGTGCAGTTACATTGTACCTTTCTCTTCTTTCCCAAGTCAGTAACCATACTTCCATATATTTTCTTCCAAGGGTTCATTGAATTTTTCTCTATGAAGTTATTTCTTTCCTCCCCTCACCCTATTCTTTTACCTCACAGTTTTTCCCTTTTAAAATACATCCTGTGTTTTGATTGAAATTTAGAAAGACGAGAACAATTTATTATTTAAAACTGAAGCTCTCAAGACCAGACTGGGCAACACAGGGAGACTCCATCTCTACAGAAAATACAAAAAAAATGAAAAAAATATATTAGCCAAGTATGGTGGTGCATCTGTAGTCCTACCTACTCCAGAGGCTGAGGTGGGAGGATCACTTGATCCCAGGAGTTTGAGGCTGCAGTGAGTTATGATTGTGTCACTGCACTCCAGACTGGGTGACAGAGCAAGGTCCTGTCTCTAAAAAAAAATTTTTTTAATTACATTTAATTTATCAAAAAAAAAAACCTCTGATGCTGTACATGTCATTATACATTTGTCCAAGTCCATAGAACCACAGCTGGGCATGGTGGCTCAAACCTGTAATGCTAGTGCTTTGGGAGACAGAGGCTAGAGGATTGCTTGAAGCCAGGGATACAGGACCAGTTTAGGTAACAAGGCAAGACCCCGTCTCTATGAAATTAAAAAAAAAAAAAAATTAGCCAGACATAGTGGCACTGCCTGTAGTCCCAGCTACTCAGGAGGGTGAGGTGAGAGGACCACTTGAGTCCAGGAATTTGAGGCTGCAGTGAGCTATGATTTTACCACTGCACTCCAGCCTGAGTGACAGAGTGAGACCCTGTGTCTTAAGAAAATAGTGAACTCTAGTATAATGTACCACTCTAGTGGGGGATGCTGACAGTGGGGGAGGTTGTGAATGTGAACGGGTAGGAGGAATATGTGACTTCTCTGTACTTTCAACTCAATTTTGTTACAAACCTAAACCTGTTCTAAAATGTAAAGTCTATTTACAAAAAAAAGGAAAATTGAAACTTCTGATAAACTGACCTATATTTTCCTTAGAAGAATTAACCAGAATTTGTATTATCCCATCCATGCAAAATAAATATTCTAGTTAGCTTTTACTTCCCTTTTCCTTGTTACTTGAGATTGAAATTACTAAGAATTTTAGTTCCAGATTGCTTCAGTTTTAGAAATATTATTAACTTCTATTTTAGTCATCTTTTTCCTAACAGTGCCATTAAGTTTCACAACATTATCTGCAATCATTTTGACTCAAGGATTTTACTGATTTCTTTGCCCACTACTATTTTATTGGTTTAGTTTCACATCTTCCTCTTTCTTGAATTCTTCACTATGATTTATTTTTCATTTTACAGAAGTCATTCTGGGGGCTCTTTTATTTCTCTCTCAGAATATATGGGTGGTATACTATCTGAGTCATTGCATATCTGAAAATATTCTTTACCTCCATACTTAGTGATAATTTTGATTGCATATTGAATTTAAGGTTTAAACTACTTTTCCACATAACTTCATAAACAGAGCTCCATTGTCTTTTAACATCTAGTGTTGTATGTAAGAAGTTCCATGCCCATCTAATTTTCATTTCTTATGCATAAATTGTTGTGTTTCTCTGGAAAATTAAAATATTTTAATTTTAATCCTGGATTTTGAAATCTGTATGTAAAAAAAAAAATAACATTACTGCTCTTCACTTACTGAACCCTTTTAATCTGAAGATAGAAAACTTTAGATCAGGGAAATTTTCTTTATTATTTCTTTGATTATTGCTTTCATTCATTTTCTCTATTTTTTTCGTTCTTCATCTCCTGTTACTATATGTGGAATTTTTTAGACCTATCTTCCATATCATTTATCTTTAATCATTTACATCTCTTTTTTTTGCCAGTTGGGTAGAATTCTATTACTTGTTTTTACAGGCCAACAATTTTTATTAATCTATTTTCATTCTACTATTTTGCCTCCCACTGAAATTTTACTTTTAAAGTCATGTTTTTAATTTCTAGAGTGCACTTGTTCTCCAATGGCTTTCTTTTTTGAAACCAGATTTCTTCATTTTACTAATTAATGGCCACTTAACTCTCTCTGAGGACAATAATTTTAAAAATTTCTTAAAGTTGTCTCCTATTTCTTGCTTTAACGCTCTTTACTTAGAGTTAAGTCTTCAGCTTAGTTATGTTGGTGCCCTTCTCTTAGCCTGTTGACTTTCTTCTTTGTTGTCTATTACTGTTTACCAGTAAAGGCTTGCCTTGATTAACGATGGTATCAAGTGTGGGTTTCTTCAGAATTTGTGAATGTCACTGATACACAGCCCTAAGCAGGTGTATTAGTCCATTTTCGCACTGCTATAAAAAACTACCTGAGACTGGGTGACTTATGAAGAAAAGAGGTTTGACTTATAGTTCTGCATGGCTGGGGAGGCCTCATGAAACTTACAGTTGTGGCAAAAGGCAAAGGGGAAGCAAGGCACATCTTCCCATGGCAGAGCAAGAGAGAGAGAGAGTGAAGGGGGAAGTGCCACACGCTTTCAAACAACCAGATCTCATGAGAGCTCGCTCACGATCACAAGAACAGCAAGGGGGAAGTCCACTCTCATGATTCAATCACCTCTCGCCAGGCCCTGCCCCCAACATACAGGGACTACAATTGGAGATAAGACTTGGGTGGGGACACAGAGACAAATCATATCTGCAGGCCTCCTTGCTTTTCAGATGACTGCCTGCGGTGCCCTCTGAGTACCCTTACTCAGATGCAGTGAGTAGGTGGGCACTTCTAAAAGCTGTGTTTTCTTCTAGGATGTTTTAATGGTAAGCAGACTGACAGAATAGGAGCCCCTCAACTGAGGAAGCAGGAACTTCTTATGATGAAGACAATGCTTTAAAAGCCTTTCCTGTACCACTGAGTGCTTTTTTCCTTTTCCTTTTCTTCCATTATACCGATCTAAATTTGAACAAGGCACAGCCATTTCTCTGGCTCCTCTCCGGCAGGCAGGTTACCATTTTTGTTAGGGAGTTGCTTTGCACAGAGCAGGATTCTGGCCCAGCTCCTGCCATATTTCTAAGACCCCACGCACTCCCATGCTTCCATGACCCACTCCTGCTTCTCGGAGATTTAAACTTTTCTGAACTCCGTTAGGAAACCAAACTATGCACTCCTCCATCACCCCTCCTTCTTTACTAGTATTAGGAGGCAGAAGTTTTGGCAATTAACTTATAAATTAATTTGATTCTATATGCTTTTATAATATCCAGAAATTCCTTAAGTTTCTGGTCATTTGCAGAAGGTTTCATTGCTTTCACAGGTGCTGTATATTTATTAGTATTTTTTTATGTCAGTGAAATTTTAGTGGAAGCAATGCAAAGAAAAAAACTTGAACTCAGTCCACTATCTTCAGTGGAAGACCCCTGGCCATATAAATACAGCCGTATCCTCTCTCTCTCTGTCTCTCATTCTGTGTCTCTCTTTCTTGCACTCTGTCTTTGTGATCCAGTGTTCATAATCTGTTCTTTAGAGGTTTAAATAGTTGGAAAAAAAAAAGCCTAGGTCAGGGTGTCTAACCCCTATGGTATGACAACAACAGCAACAACAAACTTTATTCTTTTCTCCTACTAGTAGTTATGGGTGTGAATAAACCCAGATAAACTTTTTGACAGTGTTAAGGCAAGCGGCAGAGGACACAGTGGTCAGAAAGGGAGGATTATAGGGTGATATTTCCAAAAATTTAAAGCAGGAGCATTCCATAATTTCCATTATAACTTAGGCCTTATTATATACCTTTCCTTTGTGCTTGGGGACTAGACTTTGCCCAGGCTGAAAGTATAACTGACCACTGCTCATTTCTGCGGCTCTGGAAGTTACCGTAGGTGCTTGATCCTGAGATGGCTCATGTATTCACTGGTGTTTGAGCAGAGATTGAACTCCTTTGCCATTTAGTCTTGCACCAAATCAGCACCCCTCAAATCATCCATCTTTTAGGACCACTGGATTATCTGTCTTAGGCTGGTTAATTTACTTTCAAGTTACCTTGGGAGTTCATGAGGAGTCCCCATTGCCCACAGAGCCTGATACAGTGGCTACACTGACAGGTTTTCGATTGCTCATAAGTGGCACAAATATTCTTGCTGGTCTTAATCTTCACTTTTCACTGTTATTGGCAATGGGCTAATATAAATTCCTTTTTCATTTCTTCATAATCCCATTAAAAAATAGACTTTATTTTTTAGAGCAGTTTTAGGTTCACAGCAACATTGAGCAGAAGGTGCAGAGATTTCCCATATAGCCCCTGCCTCCATACACACATAGCCTCCCCCATTATCAACACCCCCCACCATAGGGGTGCATTTGTTACAACTGATGAACCTACATTGACGTCCCAGTATCATCCGAAGTCCGTAGTTTACATTTGGGTTAACCCTTGGTGTTGTACATTCTGTGGGTTTGGATGGATATATAAAATGACACACATCTACTGTTACAGTATCATGCAGAATAATTTCACTGCCCTAAAAATCCTCTATGCTCTGCATATTCATCCCTTCCTTCCCCCAACCCTGGGCAGCCACTGATGCTTTTACTTTCTTCATAGTTTTGCTTTTTCTAGAATGTCATATAGTTGAAATCATATAGTAAAAAGCCTTTTCAGTTGGGCTTCTTTCACTTGGTAATATATGTTGAAGATTCCTCCATCTCTTTTTATGACTTGATAGCTCATTTATTTTTATCACTGAATAATAAATAGTCCATTGTCTGGATGTACCATAGTTTATTTATACATTTACCTACTGAACGCCATCTTGGTTGCTTCCAAGCTTTGACTGTTAAGAATAATGCTGTGACAAACATCTTTGTGAAAACACCTTTTGTGTGGACATAAGTGTTCAAATTTTTGGGTAAATACCAAAGAATATGATTTATAGATTTTATGATTAGGGTATGTTTAGTTTTGTAAGAAACTGCCAAAGCATATTCCAGAATGGCTGTACCATTCTGCATTCCCACCAGCAATGAATACAGTTCCTGTTGTTCCACATCTTTTAGCACTTGGTGTTGTCAGTGTTTTGAGTTTTGGCAATTTTAATGGTATTAATTTAATATCATTAAATGGTGGTTAGTGGGTATTCGTATCTTATTGTTTCCTAGTTGCATTTGACTTTCTGTCCTCTAATTGGAAAGTTCCTGTGATGGTTAATACTGTCAACTTGATTGGATTGAAGGATGCAAAGCATTGATCCTGGGTGTGTCTATGAGGGTGTTGCCAAAAGAGATTAACATTTGAGTCAGTGAGCTTCGGAAGGCAGATCCACCCTTAATCTGGTGGACACAATTGAATCAGCTGCCAGCAAATATAAAGCAGGCAGAAAAACATGAAAAGGAGAGATAGGCCTAGCCTCGCAGTCTACATCTTTCTCATACTGGATGCTTCCTGTCCTCTAACATCGGACTCCAAGTTCTTTAGTTTTGGGACTTGGACTGGCTCTCCTTGCTCCTCAGCTTGCAGATGGCCTATTGTGGGACCTTATGATTGTGTAAGTTAATACTTCATAAACTCATATATATATATATATATATATATATATATATATATATATATATAATCTTTCTCCTATTAGTTCTGTTCCTCTAAGAGAACCTTGACTAATACAGTGTCTTTTCCTTTAGGATCTTTAAGTGACTTAGAATTAATTATGCATTCAACTTTCTCTACTGCCATATACTGAGAGGCAGAAGGAGAGTACAGGGAACATAGAAAGAAAGGGAAACACATTAAACAATTTTAGTCTTGTGGGGTAGAACTTGCGGGGGTAGAACATGTGTGCACACACGCACTGAATGCCATTTTCACCTCTCTCTATCAATTCAGAAATCCCTCTAACTCTTGGAAGACAATTGAAGTAGCTACAGAGAGATTGGTATACCTAATGGTTTGCAGGAAGCTTATGTCATTAGTTCTAGCAAATTCATAAGCTAAAGTATTTCTATTTTATTTTTGAAGAAATTAGAAGGAGGGTTAAAGTTGAGGAAACAAAATTTTCTTGAAATTAAGAATGGGGAGCTGAAGGGAAATCAAGTGTTTGTAATCGATCGTATCTTGGTGTCTTGAAAGCCAGGGTCAGAGCAGGGAGGTTTTGAAATTCTTTTAAATGACAAAATGTACACGAAGCAAAACTAGGTAATATCCAAGAGACTTTAATTTTAGGAAGGAGTATATGATAGAAAGAATAATGGCCTCCCAAAGATATCTATGCCTTAGTATCCAGAACCTATGAATATATTACCTTACATGGCAAAAAAATATTTTGCAGGTATGATTAAATTAACTATCTTGAGGTGAGGGAATTATTCTAGATGATCCTCATGGACCCAATGTAATTGCAACAGTCCTTAGAGGGAGGCAAAATGAACAAAGTCAGATAATGTGAGGACAGAAGCAGGGGTCAGAGAGCAGAGAAGATGATACACTGCTAGCTTTGGAGATGAAAGAAGGAGTCATGAGCCAAGAAATGCAGTTCACCTTTAGAAGCTAAAAATAGAAACAGATTCTTCCCTAGAGCCTGCAGAAGGAATGCAGCCCAGCAGACCCATTTTTGATTTCTGACCTCCAGAGCTGTAGGAAAATAAATTTGTATATAGTTTTAAGTCACTAAATTTATGATAATTTGCTATAGTAACAGTATAAATTGAATCCAGATTATCTTAGTGATTGGTATCAGGAAAAATAAAATAGAAAAAATTATTTGCTATTTTAAATTATCACATGTTGAAGTAATAGAGTGGCTCATTGGGTCTATCAAACTCAAAATGTTCCATAGACTGGATTAAGAAAAGTGAAGCAATACTAAGGTGACATGCAGGGAATCATCTGTTTAAGAAGTCCCTAGGTGTTAGCACATTAGCAGAGCTGAGATTAGAGCTCCTATCACATCACTGATGACAAGAGTGTGGCTGTTATTGAATTACTGTCTCTCAGCTCCAAATCCACCCTTTAATGTTGTGCTTGATAGCCAAGATGGATCTCGTAAGCATTTCTTCTTTACCTCTTGGCACCATGTCAAGTTTTTTAGTAGATGGCAATAGAGGAACACTAGAGGGGGGGAGGGACTTCTTTTCCTGCTTTAGCTGTCCTTTTCCCTCCTTCCTGTGGTGCTTGGCCTGCCTATACAGGATACCCAGTGGAGATGACCCCTGGCAAGTTTAAGTGGTACTAGCCACAGGCAGCTTCCTGGAAAGGTGGCTTCTTTGTGATCTTAGCAACATCTTTGTGGGTGGCTTCTGGATGAGTTCTGTAGGTAACTTTTGACAGCCTTCAGTGAATTCATCAGCAGCCTCTGCTGACAGCTTCCTCGGGAGTTTCACTGGCACCCAGTGGTGGTTCTCTGTCTGCCACCCTTGGCCTGCAGACTATGGACCAACTGTGACTTCTCTCCTATCCTACAGGCTGAAGCCACAGTCCCTTTATTGTGATCTGTATCCCAGTCCTGAGGAAGAGGCCCCCTTCCAAGTTTGTTCCTTCTTTGGGTTCTCTCATTCAGACCTCAGGTAATCTTTAGATTTCTCTATTATCCCTTCTTGGTAGCTAATCCCCTATAAATGATTAATAATTCTTTACATTAACATTTCCTCTTCAAATTACTGTGTTCTTTCTGTCTCCTGACTTTGACTGATACTAGGACAGGAAGCCGAAGAAAGAATTAGTGTTCTGCATGGGACCAAGCTCACACATGAACATCACTTCTCATCAGCCTCCTCATCACAATTTTATGCTTCTTTTAGATATCATTTTTGTTCTAGCATGGATTTTGATGTTGCTTACAAACATTTCCTGAGTACATATTGTGTATTTGAGAACTAATCATAACATCTAAAAGCAGTGCAAAATGAGCAACACACATACACGTGTATGTGCACACACACACACACACACACGACTACTCCTATTGGGAGTTGAGACAACAGGCTTCAACATCAACTGTGTCCTTAACTAGCACTGAGAATATCAGAGAGAAAGCCCTCTGAGCTTTTCTCTTTGAGGCTTGATGAGATAAATTGAAGATATTTTCTGCTCAAAAAATCGATAATATTTGATTTGAGTGGTGTGAATGTCAAACAGCAAAATGTTAGTGAAACAAAAGGACAGTTTTGAAGGCTAGCCATGGATTCTGGGGCTGGTGAGAGGCACCGTGAGAGACATATGGAGTGACCATTGAGAGCAAGAAAAGATGTTCTGGGCTGGAAGTTGTTCTCCTTGTGCCAAATGCAAGGAAATCTATGAAAACCCTCTCACCACATAGAAGAAGCCATTCTTTTCTTTTTTTCTTTTTTTTTTGAGACGGAGTCTCGCTCTGTCACCTAGGGTGGAGTGCAGTGGCGCGATCTTGGCTCACGGCAACCTCCGCCTCCCAGGTTCATGCCATTCTCCTCCTTCAGCCTCCTGAGTAGCTGGGACTACAGGCACCCGGCACTGCGCCAGGCTACTTTTTTGTATTTTCAGTAGAGATGGGATTTCACCATGTGAGCCAGGGTGGTCTCGATCTCATGACCTTGTGATCTGCCCGCCTTGGCCTCCCAAAATGTTGGGATTACAAGCATGAGCCACCATGCCTGGCCAGAAGAAGCCATTCTTAGGCAACTACATAACAGACATATTTTTCAGAGCAGGAAAAGATACACAGAAACACGTGGAAGCAAATGTAAAACCATAAATCTACATAGACATGGTAGATTTTTATTTTAAAGTCTGAATTTTGGGCATTTGCAGATTGAACAACTGGGAACTTTTTCTATTAACAGTCCTGCATTCTATAATAAACAGACCAATGTGAATTAGATTAGGTTAGTATTCAAAAAAAAGGTCAGCAGGTGATAAAGAGCCAGGGCAGCTGTCAAATGAAAAGACTTGGTGCAGGTAACTATTCTGGATAGTTAATGTCCTTAGACCTAGTGACTCACTTCTAACAAAGACACTGCAGCAAAAGTGATAGGCTATCATTTCTGAGATTAAGTTTAAAAAGGTGTTGACTTCCACCATCGCACACACACACTCTCTCTCTCTCGATCACTGTCATGCTCATTCTGATGAAGTCAGCTGCTGTGTTGTAAGCTGTTGTATGAAGGGACACGTGTGACAAGAAACTGAGAGTAGCTTCTGTCCACACTCAGCAAGATTTGAGGCCCTCAGTCTACTATTATGCAGCACTGAATCTTCCTTAGTTCCTTCTTCACTCAAGCCTTGAGATGAGACCACAGCCTCTGCCGATATCTTGATTCCAACCTTGTGAGACACCTTGAGGGACAGACACCAAACTAAGCTGTGCCCAGGTTCCTGACCCACAGATACTGTGGGATAACACATTTGCTGTTTAAGTAACTAAGTTTTGTCACACAGCAATAGATACATAAAAGATGCTGGGTGCAGTGGCTCATGCCTGTGATCCCAGCACTTTGGGAGGACGAGGTGGGCAGATCACTTCAGGCCAGGAGTTTGAGACCAGCCTGGCTGACAAGGCAAAACCCTGTCTCTACAAAAATACAAAAATTAGCTGGGCATGGTGGCACATGCCTCCCAGCTACTTGGGAGGCTAAGGCACAAGAATCACTTGAACCTGGGAGACGGAGGTTGCAGTGAGCCAAGATTGAGCCACTGCACTCTAGCCTGGGTGGCAGAGTGAGGCACTGTCTCAAAAATAAATAAATAAGTAAGCAAATAAATAAATAAAGAGTATCGTTACACCGGTTTTCTGTGGCTGCTGTAACAAACTACCACAAAGTTGGTGGGTTAAAACCACAGAAATTTATTTTTTCATGGTTATGGAGGCCAGATGTCCAAAATCAGTATCACTAGGCTGAAATTACGGTGTTAGCAGGACCACACTCCCTCTGCAGGTTCCCCCTGCCAGCTGCTGACATTCCTTCGCTCGTGATAACATCATTGTAGCCTTCGTGGATGGCACTTTTAAATCTCTGTCTACCCCCATCTTCACATGGCCCCTTCCTGTGTGTGTGTGTGTGTGTGTGTGTGTGTGTGATCTCCCTCTGCCTCCCTCTTTTTTTTTTTTTTTTTTTTTTTGGAGACGGAGTCTCGCTCTGTCGCCCAGGCTGGAGTGCTGGAGTGCAGTGGCGCGATCTCAGCTCACCCAAGCTCCGCCTCCCAGATTCACGCCATTCTCCTGCCTCAGCCTCTCGAGTAGCTGGGACTACACGCGCCGGCCAATACGCCCGGCTAATTTTTTGTATTTTTTTTAGTAGAGACGGGGTTTCACTGTCTTAGCCAGGATGGTCTCGATCTCCTGACCTCGTGATCCGCCCGCCTCGGCCTCCCAGAGTGCTGGGATTACAGGCGGGAGCCACCGCGCCCGGACCTGCCTCCCTCTTATAAAGATACCTGCAATTGAGTTTAGGGTCCACTCTATTAATAATCCAGATCATCTCTTCATCTCAAGATCCTTACCTTCATCACATCTGCAGAGGTGCTTGTTCTATATAAGGTGACATTTACAGAGTCCAGGAGTTAGAACATGAATAATTTTTGGGGGGGCATTCTCAGCCTACCATAAATACCTACTGTTTTAAAGCTCATTATGCTCCAGATACAATGCTAAACACTTTATATGCATTTTCACTTACATGCATTTCACTTACATGTGTTACCATGCCTCATTTATATATACAGAAATGGAGTCTCAGAGAGCTTGAGTGACTTGACTCAGGTCACACAGCTATTTAGTGGTGAAGCCAGTGTGAACCCAGGCAATCTGACCTCTAAGTTTGGATATCTAACTGCTCTGCTGTGTTGCTTTCCCATTATATGCTTAAGCTAACTAATTAGAAAAGGGCATATCTATTTTCCTGGATATAATATATTTGGTGAGTTCTTACTAATGGTGTGACTTTTGGTATCTTTAGAGTTCCCAAATTGAAACGTCTTTTTAAGGAGAGGCACTTGAACTGGGAGGACCTTATCTAACATTTAGAATAAAAATACTGTTGCCTAGAGAATATAGACCAAGTAAATAACATTTCTCACATAATGAATCCTAGACAAGCACATCACATTTACACAAACCCAATCTCTGGTGTTGAAGGTCTAAAGAACTAGAATAGGCGAGCTGTGCTCTTTTGTGCAAAGCTCTTTAGGGGAACTGATTGCTTTGAGCACTTAGAGGCACTTCTCTATAATTAGTTTTGGATGGATTTATTTGGCTTTCCTGGGAAAAGTAGATCTAGAGGTGAAATCTGAATGAGGTTAGAGAAGAGGTGATTTTTGTGTTGATCAAAGTTCAAAATGAGAAGATACGTAATGGATTCCAGATTAGGATCTGTTCAGCATTTGCCATGCTATTCCTTTAACAGCTTGCTGATTTTCCACATATGACCCGGTAGTCTAAAAATTCAGATCACACAGAAACTTCAGTCTTGTTTAGATTTAGGATTTAGGCTTATGAATCTCTTTTTCCATATGTTTCTTCTTGGGGGCAGATTCTAAATTTAGGAAAGTAATGGTATCAGAGGCCTAAGAGTGATTTCTTGAGCTTTTGTTTTTATTGCTCATTATGATGGCATGGCAATCCCTTCCTCAATGTGACATGCCTGCACAGGTGTGCAGGTGGCTAAACGATTCAGAAGATGGTACTTGGATGGCAGATGGTCATGCGTTGTCTTGATTCCAACCACACTTTGAACATTCTGTCCCTCCTCTGACATGCCTCACTTCAGATGGCAACCTCATTTGGAGGTAAATTGTTTTTCACTGTGCTTTTCATGTTGGAGTTGACCTCGTGCCTGGCACTGTGTGGAATGAATTGGCCTACTTTCTGCCCCAGGGATATCAGAAGCTTATTGGTATTTAGTGAATGCTTTGTCATTTTGATCCTAGAAAATAGACCCTGAAGAGATCTTCTAATTTTACTAAGATTATCCTATCTACCTTATTGCAGTATCTCCCCAAGGACAGATGCTTTATGAATGAAGGAGTTCTAGAGTCAATTAAGTTGGGATGCTTCATAGAAAAAAGTGTTTTGAGGTCAAATGACTTTAGAAAATGTTGATTTCCCCCTTCCCTCTATCATCCCTGCAGCTAAAATATTGACAACCACACTTTATCTCTTTAGCTCCCCTCTGAGTACCACGGTCGGTATTTCTAGCATTTTTATAGTTTCCCACTTTCATCCAGGTTCTTTTCTTTGCCTGACGAATTTCTTCAGCAATCTGGGAGAGTCTGCACTCTTGCAAGTAAAACCTGAAAGTGTGGGTGAGTTTGGCTGGGCACGGTGGCTCACGCCTGTAATCTCAGCACTTTGGGAGGCCAAGGTGGGCAGATCACGAGGTCAGGAGATCGAGACCATCCCGGCTAACATGGTGAAACCCCATCTCTACTAAAAATATGAAAAATTAGCCAGGCGTGGTGGCAGGCGCCTGTAGTCCCAGCAACCCGGGAGGCTGAGGCAGGAGAATGGCGTGAACCTGGGAGGCGGAGCTTGCAGTGAGCCGAGATCGTGCCACTGCACTCCAGCCTGGGCAACAGAGAGAGACTCTGTCTCACAAAAAAAAAAAAAAAAAAAAAAAAAAAAAAAAAAAAAAAGTGTGGGTGAGTTTACACCCTCAGAACAACCCTCAATCATTGAAAAACTGGACTTGATAGATAAATGCCTAGGCCTCCCCACCCTCTGTTAAACAATTCCAAAGCCACATCATAGTTTCTTAGACAGATTCCAGCAGAACTGACCTCTAGTTACTCATGGCACTTACTTGTTCACTAACACAATTTTATTGTTTACTCATTTCCCTATCTCAATTTTCCCTGTCTCATTTGTGTCTCTTATTTTTGCCTTTGACATTAACTACCTGCACTCAAGTCTTTGAGAGTGTGTTTTAGGGGACCTTCTCCAATTCTTTGGGTACTCCTAATTTACAGTAGCTTTGAGAAGTACAGAAATGTCTCTTATCATGTTTCCTAAACATCATCCAACAGATCTTTTTTAATTTTAATATTCTGTGTATCTAATGTTCTTCACACTGTAGTTCCTGAATTGCTGTGGTTCCTGGAGATATTTCAGGTAGAAGTATTCTGAAGAGCTTCCCATAAAAGAGCCTACAGCCCATTTTTGTGTTAGAGTATCCTTTGCAAAAACCTCAAGGCCACAGGTCCACAAGGGACCTTATAGTGTATTTATCTCATTTTATCAATGGAGAAATAAAGACCTGGAGTGTTGAACTCTCATTTGGCTCAATCATCTGAGATTACATAGGAAGTCTACACACAAATTCTTTAGCCCAAGGGTCAGTAAACTATGGTTCATGGGCAAAACTCAGCCTGCTGTCTTTGTATATAGCCCACAAGCTAAGAATAGTTATGGCATTTTTTAATGATTGAAAACAAATTTTAAAATAATATTTCATGACATATGAAAATTAATATGAAATTTAAATTTTAGCATTGCTGAATAAAGTTTTAGTGGGACATGGCCACACCCATTTTTTTTTAATCCATTGTCTACAGCTGCTTTAGTGCTACAATGGCAGATTTGAGTTGTTGTGACAGAGACTGTATGACTTGCAAATATTTACTAGGTGACTTGTTACAAAAATAATAATATAAATATTAAAATAATATAAATATTAGCATTAATATAAAATATTTACTGGGTGATTTTTTACAAAAAAGTTTGCTAATCCCTGCTTTAGATTTCCAATACATGAATGGAATTGCATTATCTGCATAAGTCAATATAGTGTAGCCAAGAGATCATAGAGTTGGGAATAGTGCATAGGGATTTTATTTTATGCAGTGCTGCTAGCAAGCTTCAGTGGATTTTGGACAAATGAGGTCACATCTTTAAATATCAACTTCCTTATTTGTAAAATGAAGTGACTGGACTGAATGCTTCTCAGTGTTCACTTATGTTCTGTGTTTTCTTAGATTCTGTATTTGTCTATTTGGCATTCATTAATCACAGGGCCAAACCAGTGGGCAAAGTTGTTTACGTATCCCCTGTGAACAAGCTTTTGCAGGTGCTCAAAATCGTATTACAAATTCTCCAACCAATCCTGAGTCCATAAGCTCAACCACCTCATTTCTCTAACTCCCATACAACATTTCAATACTTTCCCTGCTCTGAATCATACCAGGCAACTAGACACCACTCCTATGCTATATCAGAGCCCACAGACATTATTCAAACTAGCCAGTACTAAGCTGTTTCTCCTGTCCCACCTTGCCTCTCATGAAGAAAACACAATAAAGGCTCTAGGCCATGCTCCTTCCTGCTTCTGCCTCCTGATCTACTCTGCTGCTTCCCCATGTGGCCTTGCATGGTGTGCTGTGCCTCTTGTTTCTAGGGGAACTGTGAGTAGCAACAAATTGTTCTTTCAATGGCCTTGACCTCTTCATATCATCACTCACTCCCCAGCAATAAATTAAGACTGGGTACAGATCACTTAAGTGCAAATAATTTATCATTCTGTGCAGCTATCTCAGATTTAACATATATAATATTGGAAGGGGGTTTGTTCCTAATGTTCAGCCTAAGCCAAACCTCCGTTATTGCTGTTCAGTTCCTTCGGTCTTCATCCATGAACTGTGAGAAAGAAAGTACTTAAGGCTGCATCCCTGCTGCACAGGGAGTCTTTGCCTATTTCTAAAGTTCATATGACCTGTTAAGAAGACTCCTGGTTTGCCTTCTTATAAATCAGAAGCTGAGATTCAGGAAAACTTTTTCATCATACAGTTTTCAATGGTCTTTTTTTCCTCACACTGCTCTAAATCACCGGAACCACTTGTGCTTTCTACTTAGCCCAGTATGAGCTGTAATGTATTAACTTTGCTCTAAGTTGTTTCCTTTTTACAATTTTTTATTTAATTAATTAATTTATTTTTAGAGACAGCGTCTTACTCTGTCACGTAGGCTAGAGTACAATGGTGTGATCATAGCTCACTGCAGCCTCAAACTCCTGGGCTCAAGGGATCCTCCCCTGACACCTGTCTCAGCCTCTTAAATAGCTTAGACTACAGGTGTGCACCACCATGCCTAGCTTTTTTTTTTTTTTTTTTTTTTTTTTGGTAGAGATGGGGTCTTGCTGTGGTACTCAGGCTGTTCTCAAACACCTGCGCTCAGCTTCCCAAAGAACTGGGATTATAGGCATAAGCCATTGTGCTCAGTCTGGTGTTTCCTTTTTTTTTTTTTTTTTTTCTGTCAAGTACTGTTTTCCAAAAGTTATCTGTCTTTTGGCACCTCCCCAAACAATTGGCACTGTCATTTCCCTTTTAAGGATCCTCTCTCTAGGTGCCCTTAGGAATAAAGGTTGATTAAGACCTACAAGGGCATACTGGTGGCACAAATGAGTAAAATAGACTGGGCATAATGCAATAGGGGTGATGGAAACCATTGTAAAGAAACAGACCTGTACTCTGTTAATAGCTGTTATTTCTGTTTGAGCAATTATTGTCACATGAGAATTCTGTCTAATAGTGACAAATCTTTTTACTCTTCAACAGAAGGGAGAGCAAGACGGCCAAATAGAAGCCTCCAGCAATTATACACCCCCCCAGAGGAACAACAAATTAAGCAATACAAGAAAAGCACCTTCATGAAGTTGAAAACTGAGGTGAACAATCACAATACCTGGTTTTAACTTCACATCACTGGAAGAGGTACTGAAGAGGGTAGGAAAGACAGCTTCGAATCGCCTCCATCACTTCTCCCTTAACCCATTTGGCTCAGAGAGAATCTGTGCACTTTGGGGAGGGTGAATGCAGTAACTGTGCAATTTTACATATGACCTCAGTGTTGTCCTATCACAGTGGAAAGCAACAGAAGGCAGAACTCAGTTGGCACCCACGGAGGGAGCATTTAGGCCAGCCCTAGCCAGAGGAGAATCACTTATCCTGGCTGTTGGAACCTGAGTTCCAACAAGCTTCACCAGCACCACTGTTGGCTAAACTGCTGTGGGGTTCAAAATAAACTTGAAAGGCAGTCTAAGCCACAAGCACTGCAATTCCTGGGCAAATCTCAGTGCGGTGCTTGGCTCAGAGCCAGTGGACTTGGGGCACACATGACCAGATGGGGTGGCCAGGGGAAGGTCACCTCTCCTCCAACCCCAGGCAGCACAGGGAGAAACTTCTTCCTTCTGCTTGAGGAGAAGAGAGGGAAGAGTAAAGAGGACTTTGTCTTGGAACTTGGATATCCACTCAGCCATAGTAGAATGGGGCACCAGGCAGAGTCCTGAGGCCTCTTTTCTAGGCCCTAGCTCACAGATGACATTTCTAGACACACTCTGGGCTAGAAGGAAACCCGCTGTCTTGAAGGGAAGGACTCAGTCCTGGCAGAATTTATCACCTACTGATTAAGGAGCCCTTGGGTCCTGAATAATCAGCAGTAGCAACCAAGCAGTATTCACCTTGGGCCTTGGGTGAGACTCAGAGCCATGCTGGCTTCATGTGTGACCCAGCACATTCCCAGCTGTGGGCCTTACAAAAAGAGACTCCTTTTGCTTAAGGAAAGAAGAGGTAAGAAGAGTAAGGGGACTTGGTTTTGAAGCTTGGGTACCACCAGCTCTACTCAGCGGTGTAGAGCACCAAGTGGGCTCCTGGGGTTCCTGATTCCAGGCCTTGGCTCCTGGACAGCATTTCTCGATCCTTCCTGGGCCACAGAGGAGCCTATTTCCCTGAAAAGAGAATCCCAGGCCTGGTAACATGCACCACAAGCTGACTGAAGAGTCCTTGGGCCTTGAGTGAACATGGTGGTAGCCAGGTACTGTTTGTTGTGGGCCTGGGGCAGTGGTGACCATGGGGAGAGACTCATCTGCTTGAGAAAAGAGGAGGGAAGAGTGAGAAGGACTTTGTCTTAAAGCTTGGGTGCCAGCCCAGCAGTAGTAGAATAAAGCACCAAGTAGATCCCTAAGGTTCTTGACTCCAGGTCCTGGCTCCTGGATGACATCTCTGGACCCACACCCACCATGGGCCAAGGATAACTCACTGCATTGAAAGGAAGGACATGAGCTTGGCTAGATTTACCACCTGCTGGTTACAGAGCCCTTAGGCCTTGATGAACATAGGTGATAGCCAAGCAGTGGTAACTGCGGGCCTTGAGTGAGACCCCAGTGCTGGCTTTGGGTCTGACCCAGCACAATCCCAGTTGTGGTAGCCACAGGAGTGCTTCTGTCACTCCTCCCCTAGCTTCAAGTGGGGAGAGAGTGATGGGAGGAGACAGAGAGAGAGAGAGAGAGAGAGAGACTCTGTTTGGGAGAAAGTCAGGGAAGAGAACAAGGGTCTCTGCTGGATAATCCAGATAATTCTCTCAGGTCTCACTCAAGACATCAAGGAAGTACCTCTACAAGCCTGCAAGAGCCACAGCATCACTGGGCTTAGGGTGCCCCCTAATGCACATGCAACTGCAGTGACCAAAGACTTAGATCACAGTGCCCAAATCTCTTTGAAAAGGGACTCGGAAAGCCTTCCCAAGAAGGATGGGCACAAACAAGCTCAGACTGAGAAGACTATAATAAATACCTAACTCTTCAACATCCAGACACCCACAAACATCTACAAGCATCAAGACTACCCAGAAAATGGCTTCACCAAATGAATGAAATAAGCACCTGTGACCAGTACCAAAGACACAGAGATATGTGACCTTTCAGACAGAGAACTCAAAATAGCTGTTTTGAGGAGTCTCAACAAAATTTGAGATAACACAGAGAGAGAATTCAGAATCCTATCAGATGAAATTAATGAAGAGATTGAAATAATTTTAAAAAAAGAATCAAGCAGAAATTCTGGAGCTGAAAAATACAATTGACATACTAAAGAACACATCAGAGCCTCTTAACAGTAGACTTGATCAAGCAGAAGAATTAGTGAGCTTGAAGACAGGCTATTTGAAAATACACAACCAGAGAAGACAAAAGAAAAAAAAGAATAAAAAAGAATGAAGCATAAATGCAAGATCTAGAAAATAGTCTCAAAAGGGCAAACCTAAAAGTTATTGGCCTTAAAGAGGAAAGAGAGAGAGAGAAAGAGAGAGAGAGATACCAGGGTGGAAAGTATATTTAAAGAGAAAATAACAGAACTTCCCAAACCTAGGGAAAGATATCAATATTTAAGTACAAGAAGGTGATAGAACACCAAGCAGATATAATCCAAATGAGACTACCTCAAGACATTTAATAATCAAGCTCCCAAAGGTCAATGATAAAGAAAGCAGCAAGAGAAAAGAAATAAGTAACATGCAGAAGGAAAAAAAAAAAACCTTTTATCCTAAAGTAGCATACCCTGTGAAAATATCCTTCAAACATGAAGGAGAAATAAAGACTTTCCCAGACAAACAAAAGTTGAGGGATTTCATCAATACTAGACCTGTCCTACAAGAAATGCTAAATCCACTTCCTCAGTCTGAAAGAAAAGGACATTAGTGAGCATTAGGAAATCATCTGGAGATACAAAACTCACTGGTAATAGTGGGTACACAGAAAGACAGAATATTATAACACAATAATTGTGGTGTGTAATCTACTCATATCTTGAGTACAAAGACTAAAAGATGAACCTATCAAAAATAGTAACTACAAAAATTTTTCAAAACACAGACAATATAATAAGATATAAATAGGAACAACAAAAAGTTAAAAAGTGGGGGATGAATTTAAAGTGTAGAGTTTGTATTACTTCTCTCTTTGCTTGCTTGTTACTTTGTTTAAGCAATCAGCATTAAGTTGAGCTTAGTCTAAAATAAGGAGTTATAAGATATTATTTATAAGCTTCATGGTAACCTCAAATCAAAAAACATGCAACAGATGTACCAAAACAAAAAGCAAGAAATTGAAACATACCACCAGAGAAAATCACCTACACTAAAGGAAGACAGGAAAGAAGGAAGAGAAGACCACAAAACAATCAGGATACAAATTTTAAAATGACAGGAGTAAGTCTTTACTTATCAATAATAACATTGAATGTAAATGGACTAAACTCTCCAACCAAAAGACATAGAGTGGCTAATTCGTTAAAAAAAAAAAAAAAACAAGATCCAATGATCTATTGCCTATAAAAAACACTCATCACCTGTAAAGTGACATAGACTGAACATAAAGGGATGGACAATTATATTCTATGCAAATGAAAATGAAATGAGCAGGAGTAGCCATATTTATATCATACAAAATAGATTTCAAGACAAAAACTATAAGAAGAAACAAAGAAGGTCACTATATATTGATAAAGGGGTCAATGCAGCAAGAGGATATATAAGAATTTTAAATGTATATGCACCCAACACTGGGGCATCCAGATATATATAACAAATATTATTAGAGCTAAAGAGAGAGATAGACCCCAATACAATAATAGCCAGAGACTTCCACATCCAACTTTCAGCATTGGACATATCTCCTAGACTGAAAAGCAACAAAGAAACATCTGACTTAATTTGCACTATAGACCAAGTGCACCTAATAGATATTTACAGAACATTTCATCCAATGGTTGCAGAATACACATTCTTTTACTCAGCATATGGATTATTTTCAAGGATAGGCCATATGTTAGGCCACAGAATGTCTTAAAAATTCAAAATAATTGAAATAATATCAAGTATCTTATCTGACCACATGGAATAAAACTAGAAATCAATAACAAGAGGAATGTTGGTAACTGTACAAACACTGGTAAACAGTATGTTTCTGAATGACCAGCAAGTCAATGAAGAAATTACGAAGGAAATTGAAAGTCTTCTTGAAATAAATGATAATGGAAACACAACATAAAACTTTTAGGGTACAGCAAAAGCAGTACTAAGAGGAAAGGATATAGCAATAAGCACCTTCAAAGAAGTAGAAAAACTTCAAATAAATAACACAATTATACATTTTAAAGAACTGGAAAAACAAGAGCAAATCAAATTCAAAATTAGTATAAGAACAGAAGTAATAAAAATCTTAACAGAAATGAATGAAATTTAAATAAAAATACACAAAGATCAATGAAATGAAAAGTTTGTTTTTTGAAAAGATAAACAAAACCGAGAAACTTTTAGCCAGATTAAGAAAAAAAGAGAGAAGACCCTAATAAAAAAAATTCTGAGATGAAAAAGGAGACATTACAACCAATACCACAGAAATTCAAAGGATAATTACAGGCTACCATGAGCAACTTTATGCCAATAAATTGGGAAACCTAAAGAAATGGTTAAATTCTTAGACAAATACAACCTACCCAGATTGAATCATGAAGAAATTCAAAACCTGAACAGACCAATAACAAGTTACAAGATCGAAGCCATAATCAAAAGTCTTCTAGCAAAGAAAAGCCTTGGACCTGATGGCATCATTGCTGAATTCTACCAAGCATTTAAAGATGATCTAAAACCAATTCTACTCAAACTATTCTGAAAAATTGAGGAGGGGGAATACTTCCAAACTCATTCTACATGGCCAGTATTACCCTGATACCAAAATCAAAGACACATCAAAAAAAGAAAGCTACAGGCCAATATCGCTGATGAACAGTGATGTAAAAATCCTCAACAAAATACTAGCAAACCAAATTCAACAACACATTAGACAGATCATTCAGTATGACCAAGTGGGATTTATTCCAGGGATGCAAAGATGGTTCAACATATGCAAATCAATCAGCATGATACATTATATCAACAGAATGAAGGACAAAATCATGATCATTTCAATTGATGCTGAAAAAGCATTTGATAAAATTCAACATCCCTTTATGAAAAAAACCCTTAAAAAACTGGGTATGGAAGAAAATACCTCAATACAATAAAAGCCATATGTGATAGATCCACAGCTAGTATAACACTGAATGAGGAAAAACCAAAATCTTTTCTCTAAGACCTGGAACATGACAAGGATGTCACTTTCACTATTGTTATTCAACATAGTACTAGAAATCCTAGTTAGAGCAATCAGACAAGATAAGGAAATAAAGGGCCTGCAAATTCAAAAGGAAGAAGTCAAATTCTGCTTGTTTGTGGATAATGTAATCTCATATTTGGAAAAACCTAAAAAATCTGCCAAAAGATCTGCTAGAACTAAAACATATTCATTAAAGGTACAGACTGCAAAATCAACATACAAGAATCAGTAGCATTTCTATATGCCAACAGTGAACAATCTGAAAAGGAAATCGAGAAAGCAATTCCATTTACAATAGCTACAAATAAAATAAAATACCTAGATGTAAACTTAACCAAAGAAGAGAAAGATCATGATAATTAAAACTATACAACACTGATTGGGCCAGGTGTGGTGGCTCACGCCTGTAATCCCAGCACTTTGGGAGGCTGAGGCAGGCAGATCACCTGAGGTCGGGAGGTCAAGACCAGCCTGACCAACACGGAGAAACTCCATCTCTACTAAAAATGTAAAATTAGCTGGGCATGGTGGCGCATGCCTGTAATTCCAGCTACTAGGGAGCCTGAGACAGGAGAATCGCTTGAACCTGGGAGGTGGAGGTTGCGGTGAGCTGAGATTATGCCATTGCACTCCAGCCTGGGCAACAAGAGCGAAACTCCATCTCAAAAAACAACAACAACAACAACAAAAAAAGAAAACTATAAAACACTGATTAAATAAATTGAAGAGGACACAACAAAATGGAAAGTTATTTCGTGTTCATGGATTGGAAGAATCAATATTGTTCAAATGTCCATACTACCTAAAGCAATCTACAGATTCAATGCAATCTCTATCAAAATACCAATGACATTCACCACAGAAATAAAAAAAAAATCCTAAAATTTATATGGAACCACAAAAGACTCAGAACAGTCAAAGCCATCCTGGGCAAAAAGAACAAAACTGGAGGAACTTCATTGCTTGACTTCAAATTATACTACAGAGCTATAGTAACCAAACTATATGATACTGGCATAAAAACAGACACAGAGAGCAATGGAATCAAATAGAGACCCCAGAAATATATCCATACCTCTACAGTGAACTCATTTTTGACAAAGGTGCCAAGAACACACAGAGGGTAAAAGACAGTCTTTTCATAAACGGTGCTGGGAAAACTGGATATCCATGTTCAGAAGAATAAAACTAGATCCCTATCTCTTGCTATATATAAAAATCAAATGAAAATGGATTAAAGTCCTAAATCTAAAACCTCAAACTATGAAACTACTAAAAGAAAACATTAGGGAACTCTCCAGGACATTTGTCTGGGCAAAAATTTCTTGAGTAATATCCCACAAGCACATGCAACTAAAGCAAAAGTGGACAAATGGGGTCACATCAAGTTAAAAAGCTTCTACAGAGCAAAGGAAAAATTCAACAAAGTGAAGACACAACCCACGGAATGGGGGAAAACATTTGTAAGCTACTTATCTGACAAGCGATTAATAGGTGGAATATATAAGGAGCTCAAACGACTCTATAGGAAAAAATTTTAACAATCTGATTAAAAATGGGCAAAATATATGAATAAACATTTCTCAAAAGAAGACATACAAATGGCAAGCAGGCATATGAAAAGGCACTCAACATAATTGATCATCAGAGAACTGCAAATCAAAATTACGATGAAATATAATCTCACCCCAGTTATTCAAATGACAGACAATAACAAATGCTGGCGATTATATGGAGAAAAAAGAACCATGGTACACTGTTGGTGTGAATGTGTATTAGTACATCCACTATGGAGAACAGTTTGGAAGTTTCTCAAAACGCTAAAAATAGAAATACCATATGACCCAGTAATCCCACTGCTAGGCATATACCCACAAGAAAAGGAATGAGTGTACTGAAGAAATATCTGCACTCTTATGTTTATTGCAACACTATTCACAATAGCCAAGATTTGGAAGCAGCCTAAGTGTCCATCCACAGACAAACTGATAAAGAAAATGTGATACATACATACTATGGAGTACTATTCAGCCATAAAAAAGAACAAGATCCTGTCATTTGCAATAACATGGGTGGAACTGAAGGACATTAAGTGAAATAGGCCAAGGAGGGAAAGACAAACCACATTTTCACTTATTTTGGGAGTTAAAAATTAAAACAATTGAACTTATGGGAAAAAACCTTTTTACTTTTTAAAGAGAAGCCCTAAATCTGGGCTTTAAATGACATTTTCAGAATTTACAATGTCATTTAAAAATATTTGCATTTTAAAATGTCATTTAGAATATTTGCAACAACTACACATTAAAACAAAAGACACGGTGTGAGCTGAAGTGAGTGCATCTGTAAAATCTTTTGAACTTGTGAATCATCATTTTTATGTCTGATCTGTGATAAACAGAAAAATCCTTTCAAACTCATTGTTGCCGTCTCCCAGGTCGTTTTTCTCCCAGAACTTATGACTGTCAAACTGTTTGTTCTTTGTTGACATTTAGTTATCCTACATGCCATCTCCTCACGTGCCACCCCCTTGTTATTCTAAGGATAAATGAGCCAATCTAATGAACTCATTCATCCTAATGAGAATTTTTTCCTTCAGTCGTTTCTTCCTTCTCAGTTAGAATGTATGTTTTAAGATAGAAGTTATAGAAATAATATTCTTCGCAGCTGGGCTAAAGTTGGAGGGTTTAAACATGTAAAAGGGCCACAGGGGGATGTTTGGGTGTAATGGTAAGTGGTGCCTTCTGCTAGTTCCCAAATCACAGGCGTCATCAAGCTGCCAGTGTCCAGGGCCAGGTCTGAAGACATTTTGGACCCATATCACTGCTCATGGTTATCATTGTTATTAGTATCAGCTTCAGGTAAGGGCTTACTTAGAGCCATTAAAGAGCTTCAGTTGGTTCTCCCTTTCTAAAGTTGAGAGTGCTTTTTGGTTTTGACAGGTTTCCTGCTTTTAAAAATTATTTGTTTATACACCTGGTAATTGGTTCCATTTGGCATCTTAATGTTACCTAAGCACTATTTAGCATGCTTAACAAGATTACCCTGAGCTTTTAAGACATTTAAGTGAAAGATCTAAATTCCATAAAAAGAAGAGGCAGCTGGTGAAACTTGGTCATTAGACAGGTAGAGAGCATATTTTTGAGTTGAGAAGCCCAAAACAGACTTCCTAGTTTTCTTTGCCCATTAGCCTGGAAGGCGCCCACGTTGAATCCACTTCTTTCATTCAGTGACCCTGGTGAAATGTCTGGTGCTCCCATCTTCTTTCATTCCCAGCAACACTTATTAGAACCCAATGAGGAGCTTTAGACTGCTGGTTGACTAGTGCTCCCCCACATACTCCCAAGTCACTCAGCTCCCTCTAAGGCGTAGTGAGGGTCTGTGCCAAGATTGCACACATCCAAAAGCCCAGCATGAATCACTCTTACGCCCCAGGGTTGCTAAAATGATTGAATCAGTGAGTTGAAAAGAACAGTGATTTTGTTCCTTTTTATCTCCCTGGGAAGTGGGGTGGGGAAGGGGATTAGGATGAACCCATCTATTTTAGGTGCTTATTTGCAGAATTAACGTCCCCCTAGGTAAGTGATGCCTTGGCTACAGTATACAGCTTTGCCATTAATGAGAGGGAAGTGGAACTGTTTTCATTCTTCTTGCAAGACTGAGAAGGGCGATTTTTTTGAGGCTAGCACCATCGTGTGGATAAAGTGAATACAGGTTTTGTTTGTTTGTTTGTTTTTTTTTTGGAGGGGATTGCATAACAGTCCACTCTAATATACCTCTGGAAACGCAATTTTGTTATTTTCTCATCTATTTCTTATATCTTTTCTGAGTCCTCATAGAGCAGCCAGAGATAAAAATAATTTTTGCAGCCGTGCCATATAGTGCTGGGATCCTAAGGATCATGTGCTTCTACAAAATGACTGACTGAACTGCAGGAACATGACAGTGGGAAATTCACAGAGCAGTTTTGGATCAGACAGAGCATAAATTAGAAAGCACATTTGGGATTAGCCACTGGGCTCTTCGGTGGAAGTTACCAATTTGGACTTTGTGAGAAATGCCAAGGCCTGTTACTGAGGCAACTTTCTAACCATTATTGTCCAAGAAATGCAAGCTACATCAGAGGGAAAGAGGAGAAATAAAAATCTGATTGCAGGATGCAAAATAATTTTACCAAACTGCATGGTTCATCTCCTGTGGAGTGAGAAAGTAAGGTGGGGTTTCTCTGATTATTTTGGAATCTGAATGAAAAGGGAAAAAGAACAATGTGGAGAAGCTCTGTTGACTTGTGGCTTTAAGTCTTAAGAGCATGATTGGGGGAGTGGGTGGCAAAGACAGGAGAAAGATTTTTTTTTTACCTCTGTAGTGGTCTTTCCTTTGTAGCTGGCACAAAGGTCCCTAGAGAGGGGCTGAGTCTGCCTTTCCTCTTTTGTAGTGTTTTTCCTCATTTCCAGATTGGCTGGTATGTGGGCGTAGGGAGGGCACAAATAGGTGGAGGTAGGGAGAGCTTTTGCTTATAAGGATTTAGCACCATTGAACACCTAACAAATCACTCTGCCAGTATTATTATTTCCTTTGCACAGTTCCCTAGCCCCAAGGGAAAAGGTTTTACTGGCACTTAAAACAAGAATCTGAAATTGTAGAAATCTGGGGGAGTCAAAACCAAATCAAGAGGTGCTGACGTTTGCTCTCTTTGATGAGCTACTAAAGTGATAGGAACATGCACAGAACAGTCCTCCCCACCCACCACTCACTCTTGTCTTCACACATTCCCTTCCCTTCCTTCCTTCCCAGAACTGGGCTGGCTTGTACAGCGATAGATATTAATATCTCTGGAGTTTCAGATTGAAAGACCTCCTTGTGGCTGAATACGGGCTGATGACGATCTGAAGGGAGTTTTTAGGCACATGTGAAGCTTTCCTCTGTAGGCAGCCATTTATGGAACTGAAGTGTGATAGGAAGCTGGGTGGACCAGCTGACATGGTAAGTGCAGATGCAGGATCCCAGAGATTATCAAGCAGCTGGAATGAGAGGTTGAATCAAAAGCGCAACCAATTGCAATGACTATCAAGTCGTATATTTAGTATATTTGGTATCCTTTTAGCATAATCTTTTTTAACTCTTTCCTTACATCCATATCTGAGGGTAGGGGCACCAGGTAAAAAGCCATGAGAACAGTGAGACTCCAGCTCAGGGAATATGTGAGCCTTGTTTCCTACTAGCCACTGGAAAATCTTGTCATGCTTCTCCTCCTCTAGTTCCTGACTCTCTTAGCCGGATCTTGCATTGTCCTTTTTATTGAACACTGTTTTAATCTGGAAGCCTGCTAATGGAGGCCTGGGAGCCTCTTGGGCCCTTTTCTCTGGGGTCACTAGGCTTTCACTGTAGACTTCTCCCTCTCTGTCACTGTATTACTTCCCTCACCTTCCAGCTGGGCCACAGGGACACCAACAGTGGATCCTCTGCTCTGCAGAGAAAGACTGGATGGAGGAGAGGTTTAAATTCTTTTTTTGAGTTAAGGTTGGTTCCCCAATTTTATAAAACTAGATTAAGTCGAGGATTCTGGGAAGATGGTAGAGCAGGAAGCACCAGGAATCTGTCTTCCTACCTAGACAACAACTGCACTGGCAAAACCTGTCTGATCTAGAATCTGTTTGAAGGCTTACAACTTCCAGGGGAAAGTTTGGATGACAAACTGGGTAAGTTCAGCTTTTAGCAGAGTAGCAGCTACCCATCTCCCATGCCCCACCCCAAGGGCAGGCAACACATCCGTACCCATTGTGGGAGCCGGGTAAGCCTCAAAGCCCTGTCCTTCATAAATTGGGGATCTATGATCTGATCCATGATTGCTATTTTTGATCTTGGAGATGCAGACACATAGGTAGGCAGCCATTGTTACACCCTCCCCACACCATTGCAAGGCTCTCCCCCAAAGCTGAATTAACTTTCAGAGGATTTAAAGGGTCAGCACTCTTTTGATATTCTACCCCCAATCTCCTATCCCTTCATTGTAATCTGGTTTTGGGAACCAGATATTTAAAATCTAAGACATTCAAAAGTAACCACATATACAGAGAAATTCAGAGAGTTAATGTGCATACCCAGGGACAGTAGACCCTTTTGTGCATGCAGGCTCAAAAGACCTGTGAAGATGCTGACACCTCAGGCTCATCCCTCGCAGACAGTCTATAACAATCAAAAATAAAAAAAAAAACCCAAATTAGCAAACCCTGGGGAAGGAGGAGAAACTTCTTTTCCGAATTACTTCATTATAATCCAGATGTTCAATTTTCAACAAGAAACATCACCAAGCATATTAAAAACTGGTAAAATGTGGCCCCCATTTAAAAAAAAACAGAAACCCCAAGAAAATCCAGATGGTGAACTTGCTAGACAAATACTTTAAAGCAACTCTCATAAAGATGCTCAAGGACTTAAAAGATCTAGAAAAAGTAAACACAACAATGTATGAACAGAATGAAAATATTGATAAATAGAAACTGTAAAAAAATAAACTAAAAAGAAATTTTGGAGCTAAAAAATATCATAACTGAAATGAAAATATTTTAATTTTTTAAAAACTTTTATTTTAGGTTCAGGGGTACTTGTGCAAGTTTGTTATATAGGTAAATTCATGTCATTGGGGTTTGTTGTACAGATTATTTTATCACCCAGGTAATAAAGCTAGTACAAAATAGTTATTTGTTTCTGCTTCTCTCCCTCTTCCCATCCTCTACTCTCAGGTAGTCCCCAGTGTCTGATGTTCCCCTTTTGTGTGTCCATGTGTTCTCATAATTTAGCTCCCACTTATAAGTGAGAACATGCAGTATTTGGGTTTCTGTTCTTACGTTAATTTGCTAAGGACGATGGCCTTTAACTCCATCCATGTTCCTTCAAAGAACATGATCTAGTTCTTTTTTATGGCTGCATAATATTCCACAATGTATGTATACCACATCTTTAAAATCTAATCTACCATTGATAGGCATTTAGATTGATTCCATGTCTTTGCTATTGTGAATAGTACTGCAGTGAATGTATACGTGCATGTGTCCTTACGATAGAATGATTTATATTCCTTTGGGTATATACCCAGTAATGGGATTTCTGGGTCAAATGGTATTTCTGTTTTTAGTTCTTTGAGGAATCACCACTCTGCTTTCCACAACGGTGGAACTAATTTACACTCCCACCAACAGTGTATAAGTTCCTGTTCCTTTGCAACCTCTCCAGCATCTGTTATTTTTTGACTTTTAATAATAACCATTCTGACTGGTGTGAGATGGTACCTTACTGTGGTTTTGATTTGCATTTCTCTAATGACCAGTGATATTGAACTTTTAAAAAATACACTTGTTGGCCGCATGTATGTCTTCTTTAAAAAAAGTGTGTGTTCATGTCCTTTGCCCACCTTTCAATGAGGTTGTTTTTTTCTTGTAAATTTGTCTAAGTTCTTCATAGATGCTGGATATTAGACCTTTGTCAGATACATAGTTTTGCAAATAATTTCTCCCATTCTGTAGGCTGTTTCTTGATAGCTACTTTTGATGTGCAGAAACTCTTTAGTTTGATTAGATCCCATTTGTCAAGTTTTGCTTTTGCTGCAATTGCTTTTGGAGTCTTCATCATGAAACCTTTGCCAGTTCCTATGGCCAAAATACTATTGCCTAGATTGTTTTCCAGGGTTTTTTATATATTTGGGTTTTACATTTAAGTCTTTAATCCATCTTAAGTTGGTTTTTGTACATGGTGTAAGCAACGGGTTCAGTTTCAATCTTCTGCATATGGCTAGCCAGTTATCCCAGCACCATTTATTGAATAGGGAGTCCTTTCCCCATTGCTTGTTTTTGTCAGCTTTGTCAAAGATTGCATGAAATAAAAAAATTATTGAAGGGATTCAAAAACAGATTTGAGCAAGCCTAAGAAACAATTGAGGAACTTGAAGATAAGACTATTGGAAGAAAAGTGAAAAGGTCCTAAGGGATCTGTGGGACACCATCAGACCAGCATACATGTTGCGGAAGTCCTAGAAGAAGAGAAAGAGAAGCAGAGAGTATTCAGAGAAAGAATAGCTGAAAACTTTCCAAATTTGATAAAAGACATAAATGTAAACATTTATCAAGCTCAAAAAATTCCTAGTAGGAACTCAAAGAGGCCCACACTGAGACACATTATAATCAAACTGTGAGAAGCCAAAGTCCTTCAGAAACATTTAAAACTGTTTTTCAAAAGTGAGAGAGAAATGAAGATGTTTCCAGATAAAAGCTGAGATAATTCATTACCACTAGACATGTCCCACAAGAAAAACTAAAAGGAGTCCTGTAGGTTGAAATGAAATGTTCCATATGCACTTGAGAATATTCAAGACAGTAACTGGAAGCTCTATGGAGAAATAAAGATCTCAGCAAAGGTAAATATCTGGGCAATTATAAAAGCTAGTATTATTGTAACTTTGGTTTGTAACTCTACTTTTTGTTTTCTACATGATTTAAGAGACTAACATTTTTAAAATTACTATTCTAAAAGCTAGTATTATGGAAACTTTGATTTGTAACTCTACATTTTGTTTTTTAAATAGTTTATAAAATTGATGCATAAAACAGTTATTTATGCTTTTGGACACACAACGTATAAAGACGTAATTTGTGATCAATAACTGAAAGGATGTGAGGATGGAGCTGTATAGGACCAGAGGTTTTGTATGTTAGTAAAGTTAGGCTGATATAAATTCAAATGAGAATATTATAACTTGAGGATGTTAAATGTAATCCCCATAGTAATCATAAAAATGGCTATAGAATATATACAAAAGGAAATTAGAAGGAAATTACAGTGTTTCAATATAAAAATCAACTAAACACAAAAGAAGACAGTAATGCAGGAAATGAGGGTGAAAAAAGATAAAAGGTATATAGAAAAATATAGCAAAATGACCAAAATCAGTTTATCGTTATCAGTAAGTGCTTTAAATATAAATAGATTAAACTCTCCAATCAAAAGACAGAGATTGGCAGAATAAATTTTAAAAAATCCCACACACACATGATCCAACTATATGCTGTCATCGAGCAATTCACTTTAGATCCAGAGATATGAATAGGTTAACAGTAAAATGATGGAAAAAGATATTCCATACAACTTGTAACCACAAGAGAGTGGGAGTGGCTATACTAATATCTGGCAAAATTGACTTCAGATTAAAACAATCACAAGGAACAAAGAAGGTCATTATATTTTAATAGAAGTTTCTATACAGGAAAAAGATATAATAATTTTACACCTACTAACAGACCATCAAAATATATGAAACAAAAACAGAATTGGAGGGAGAAGTAGATTTACAATAATTGTTGAAGACTTTAATAGCTCACTGTCAGTAATGGATAGAACAACCAGACAGAAGATGAATAAGAAAACAGAAGACTTGAACAACACAATTAGCCGATTAGATCTAACAGACATATACAGAACACTTTATTCAACAACAGCAGAATTAACATTCTTCTCAGGTTCATATGGAACATTCTTCAGGACAGACCTATGATAGATCAGAAATTAAGTCTCAATAGATTTAAAAAGAGAGATATAATATAAAGTATCTGCTGTGGTCTGAATATGTTCTCCAAATTTATGTGCTAGGAACTTGGCAGTGTTGAGAAGTGGGGCTTTTGGGAGAACTCTCTCCTCATGAATGGATTAATGCTCTTAGAAAAATGGCATGCAGGAGTGGGTTTTCTTCTGCTCCTATGCTGTGTGAGGACCGTGTTCATCCACCTTTTGTGCTTCCCTATTCCACCATGTTAGAATGTAGCAAAAAGACATTCATAAGATTCTGGCACCTTGATATTGGACTTCCCACCTTCCAAAACTGTTCTTTGTAGATTACCCAGTCTGTGGTATTCTGTTATAGCAGCACAAATGTATTAAGAGATCCTCTTCCCTAACTATAGTGGGATGAAGGAAGAAATCAATAACAGAGAGAAAATTGGAAAATTCATGAATTTGTGGAGAAACACACTTAAACAACCAATGTATCCAAGATGAAATTACAAGGGAAATTAGAAAATACCTTGAGACAAATGAAAATGAAAACACAACATACTAAAACTTACTGTATGCAGCAAAAACAGTGCTGAGGAGGAAATTTGTAGATATAAATATTTATATTTGAGAAAAATCTCAAATAAACTACTTAAATGTATAATAATTTAAGAAAGTAAAAAAAGAACACACTGAACCCAAAGCTAGCAGGAAGAAACAAATAATAAAGATTAGAGCAGAAATTTTTTTGTTTAATAATAGAGAAAATTAGCATAACCAAAAGTTGATTCTTTATCAACAAACTGACAAAGCTTTGGCTAGATAAACTAAGAAAAAGAAGACTCAAATTACTAAAATCAGAAATTAAAGGATTATTATTGATGCTACAAAAATTAAAAGGATTATAAGAGAGTACTATGAATAATTTTAACACATTGAATAACCTGGAAGAAATTTATAAATTCCTAGAAACACAAAACCTACCAAGACTGAAGCATGAAGAATTAGAAAACCTGAATATACCTATAAGTAGTAAGAAGACTGGCTTAGCAATAAAAAATCCCAATAAAGAAAACCCTGGGCCTGATGGCATCACTGGAGAAATGTACCAAACATTTAGAGAAGAATACCAATTCTCAAACTTTTGAAAAATATCATACAGGAGGAATTACATCCTAACTAATTCTATGAGGCCAGCATTGTCCTGATACAAAAGCCAGACAAAAACACTGCAAGAAAAGAAAACTACAAAACAATATCCCTTATGAACATTGATGCAAAATCTTTAACAAAATACTAGCAAACTAAATTTAACAGCATATTAAAGAGATTATACACCATGACCAAGTGGAATTTATTCCTGGAATGCAAGGATGGTCCAACATGTGAAAATTGATCAATGTAATACACCACATTAACAGAATAAAGGCAAAATTACAGTTATCTCAATTGATGCAGAAAGGGCCTTTAACAAAATTTAACACCATTATGTGATTTTAAAAACACTCAACAAACTAGGAAGATAAGAAAACTACCTCAACATAATAAAAGCTATGTATGAAAAAACTCACAGCAAACATCATACTCAATGGTGAAAGACTAAAAGCTTTTCCTCTTAGATCAGAAACAAGGAAAGGATGCCCATGTTTGCCATTTCTATTCAACATAGTACTGGAAGTTGTAGCCAGAGCAATAAGGCAAGAAAAAGAAGTAAAAAGGCATTTAAATTGGAAAGGAAAAAGTAAAAGTATCTCTGTTTACAGATGGCATGATTTTATACATGGAAAACTCTAAAGATTTCACCTAATAAAATTGTTAAAATAATAAATGAATTCAGCAAAGTAGCAGGAAACAAAAATAAACAAAAATCACTTGCATTTCTACACACTAACAATAAACAATCTGAAGAGGAAATTAATAAAATTTCATTTACAATAGCTTCAAAAATTATAAAATGCTTAAGTATTAACCTAGAAAGTAAAAGAGAAACAAAGAAAATTATGAAACATTGCTGAAATAAATTAAAGAATAAATAAATAGAAAGACATTTTACATTCATGGATTGGGAGACTTAAAATTGCTAAGATGTCAATGTTACCCAAAGTGGTATACAAATTCAGTGCAATGCCTATCAAAATCCCAATGACTTTTTTTTGGGCAGAAATAGAAAAGTTTATCCTAAAATTTACATGGAATCTTAAGAGACGATAAATAGCTAAAATAATATTTAAAAAGAAGATGGGAGGCTTATACTTCCTGATTTCAAAACTTACTAAAAAGCCACAGTCATCAAACCAGAGTGGTGCTGGCATAAAGACAGACACATTGGCCAATGGAACAGAATAGAGAGCCCAAAAATAAATCCTCACATATATAGTCAAATGAGTTTTGATAAGTGTGCCAAGACAATTCACTGGGGGAAAGGTTAGTATTTTCACCATACAGTCCTGGGTAAACTGTATGACCACATTGCAAAAGAATCAATTTTGACCTTTACATAACATCGTATGCAAAAATTAACTCAAAATGGATCAAAAGCCTAAACATAAAATATGACACAGGACAAAGTCTTTATAACACTAGATTTGGCAATTTTTTAGATATAGCACCAAAGGCCTAAGCAACAAAACAAAAACAACAACAAATTGATCTTCATAAAAATTAAAAACTTTTGGCCTCAAAAGACTTAATTGACAGAGTAAAAAGGCAACCCACAAAATGAGAGAAAATATTTGCAAAGTATATGTCTGATAAGGGATTAATATACAGAATATAGAGATAACTCAATAATAACAACTTAATTAAAAATAGGTGAATGACTTGAATAGACATTGCTTCAAAGACGATATAAACAAATGGTCAGTAAGCACATGAAAGGATGCTCAACATCACTAATTATTAGAAAAGTGAAAATAAAAAACATGGTGAGATATCACCTTACACACATTAGGATGACTACTATCAAAAATACAAAAAATGTATGTTGATGAAGGTGTGGAGATATTGGAACTTTTGTGCACTATTGGTCAAAATGTAAAGTGGGGCAGCTACTGTATGGAAAACAGTATGGTGGTTCCTTAAAAAATTCAAAATAGAATTATCATGTGTTTCAACAATTCTCCTTCTGGATATACAGCCAGAATTGAAAGGAAAATCTTGAAGAGATATCTGTACCCCGATGTTCATAGCAGCATTATTCACCATAGCTAAAATGTGGAAGCAACATAAGTGTCCATTAACAGATGAATTATTCAGTCTTAAAAAGAAAGGGAATCTTGTATGCTGCAACATGGATGAAACTTGAAGACATATAAAGTGAAATAAACCAGTCATGAAAAGACCAATACTGTGTAATTCCATTTATATGAGGTACCTAAAGTAGTCAAATTCATAGAAAGTAAATTGGTGTTTTTCAGGGACTGGGAGAAAGAGAAATGGGGAGATATTGTTTAATGGGTACAGAGTATCAGTTTTGCAAGATAAAAAGACCTCTGGAGATGGATGGCAGTGATGGTTACACAAAAGTGTGAATGTACTTAATGCTGCTGAACTGTACACTTAAAAATTATTAAGATGAAAAATTTCGTATGTATTTTTTACCACAATAAAAATGCTTGATTTAAACACACACACACACACACACACACACACACACACACACACACACCATCCCTTACCCCCCTTGGCTCTTTTTTCGCTTCCATCAGAAAGAGTTTTATTCAGTTATATTTCAAATTTGAAAATACTTTTATTGGGGTTTTTCTTTATGGCTTCTAAGCAGAAGCTGAGTAATCACTAGGCTGGTCAGTATGTACATTTCTACATTCATTTAATTTCTATTTGTTGAATGTTCACTATGTGCAAGCCTCTCTTTAAAAATATATTTGAGAGATTGAACTAACTGCCCTTCAAAATCTCTTATAAACCCAAGTTTCTATGATTCTGTGTGTTCTGCCTTCTAGTACTAGTTATCTGTGTAACCCAACTTCTCTAGAACTCAATTGTCTCAGTTGTTTTTTTCTAGTTCCAAAATTCTACAGATTTTCAAAGCATAAGGATGATAATGGCACATTACTTCCTTCACTGGACCATTTATTTCTTGAGTGGAAAGGTTCCAACCAAGATATTAACTCCACAGAGAATAGAGTACAAGTTAATTTTAAAAAAAAAGCTGATATGAAAGAAAAGCTAATATGAATTAGTGAGAAATTGAGTTTCAGAATCTTTTAAAATAAATACACTCTCAAGAACATAACTTGATTTTAGAAAAGATAACAGAGTGTTTTCAATTAACAGGAATGACCAAGGCAAAACGTCCATCTACTTGCATCAGAATGGAGATGCAGATGCAGATAATGAATTAAAGGGACTCAAAGAAGGTCACTATTCTGCCTTGAATTTGTTTTCATGGTTCTCTGAGAAGTGTCTAGAGGTGAGAAAGTCAATTTAACTGATTATTTTCTAAAAATAGAATAAACAGAAAATTTTGTTTAAAAAATATTTTCTTAGCATAGTTAAGTACAACATTTTCTATAGCTATCCACAGTACTTTAAGAAATTTACAATGTACTGCTAGAAATTTGAGTGAAACTTAGGAATTTTATGTGCTTTGGATGAAAGATGACAGCAAAAAATTATACAATTTTAGTTCATTTGCATTAAAATATTCTTACAGCAGAGCATGGAATCCAATAAAACAACCCAGGGAAAATCATTCTAATTTTAGGAGAAAAATTAACACCTACCTACCCTACAACCTCACAATTAAAATCTGGTGGAATTCTATAACCTTCCACATGGTTTGCCTCTTGTGTGGTGGGAAAGTGAGAGGGAGCTTTTATTGACTTCTTTGAGAGAATGAAGAGGAAAGAAGACAACACTGTTGAAGAATCTTCTATAATCTAGATGTCAGAAGAAGCCACCCACTCTTTGATTCTAAGATTGCCTTGCTCCATCCCCCATTCTATGTTCTGTTCTGTTGTTTTTTTTTTTTCCCTGAACATTTCTACAAATACTTTCTTCTAGTATTTGTGGAATACTTCATTCTATAACTAATGGCTATTTGTTTATCTCCAATCCAGCATTGACCTAAAGTTCAGACATGACTCTTTCTTTCTTCCAAAATTCACTTGTAAGAGTAGTTTAGTCCATTTCTCCTGCTATAACAAAATACCATAGACAGGGTGAGTTATAAACAACAGAAATGTCTCACAGTTCTGAAGGGTGGGAAGTCCAAGATCAATGTGCTGGCAGATTTGATGTCTGGTGAGAGCTGCTTTCTGCTTCCAAGAGGGCAGCTTGTTGCTGTGTCCTCACAAGGTGGAAGAGTGGAAAGGCAAAAAAAAAAAAAAAAAAAAAAAAAAAAAGACAAATGTTCTCTGCAGCCTCTTTTTTAAGGACATTAATCACCTCCCAAAGGCCCTGCCTTGTAACTCCATTGCCTTGGTGATAGGTTTCAATATTTGAAGTTTGAAAGTACACATGCATTCAAACCATAACAACCAGTCAACAAGAAGCAACTTGCACAAGCAAATATCTACAACTATGTGTGGCAGATTTTACTGGATATTGAGGTAATCATGTACTCATGTTGCAGCGCTGTTTAGAAAATATTCTAACATTGAATATTAGCTTTTCTGGTCCTCTGAAAGTCCCTTCTCCATTTCCACCAACTTAGATTTCAGAGTCTCATGACATTGTTCAGCTTTCTCTCCTACTGCTTCTCTGTCTCCCAGTTGTGATAAAAAAAAATCCTTATATTATTATGAAGAGCATTTTAGCTCTAGCACTTACCACCTCCTCCCTCATTCACACTTTGCACAGCTTAAGATTTATTAATGTGCTTTGCTAAAAAAAGCTTCATGTATTTCAAGTGTTACCCTTTCTTCTCTACCCTGCCCCCCTTACTTTTTACAGAAGCATGGAGAGGAATATGAAGCTTTATTTCCCCAGAAGCAACACTTAGAATACGTAAGACTTAGAAGAGTTAGATGAGCAACATGTATCCTCTCATGACCTCAGAAGACATAAGTGTAGTTGACAATCTCAGCACTTTGGGAGACCGAGGTGGGTGGATCACCTGAGGTCAGGAGTTCGAGACCAGCCTGACCAACATGGTGAAACCCCGTCTCTACGTCTCTACTAAAAATACAAAAATTAGCTGAGTGTGGTGGCAGCCACCTGTAATTCCAGCTACTTGGGAGGCTGAGGCAGGAGAATCACTTGAATCTGGGAAGCGGAGGTTGCAGTGAGCCGAGATCATGCCATTGCACTCCAGCCTGGGCAACAAGAGCGAAACTCCATCTCAAAAAAAAAACAAAAAAAAAAACAGTAAAAAGAAAAAAAAGGACTCACAAGACTGGGATCTTATTCTAGCTCTGTCACTAGTTAATTGTGTGATCTTGGGAAAGTACCTCATGGTACCTGAGAAATAATCTCTAAATTTCTTGCCAATTCTATGAGTCTGTGATTTGAGAGTCCCTCTGGTGCCTAGTTCTTCTATAAATGTAGTCAAGGTTGGGGTTTCTCCCTTCACAGGTAGGTGAACTTTCCCCTACCTTGGGCTGTGCCCCAACATCTCCCTGGCCAGCCATCTGCTCAATGCCTGTTGTCAGAAGCAATAGAGATTTTACAGACAGGCCAAGCTTTGGGGCCAGATACAGGCATATATCCTGTTTTTTTTCAACTCAGAACCTAGGTTGTGCTGTTTACTCAGTGAATCTGGCTTATTTGTGAACTGAAACTGCGCATAATGATATCTACCTTAGAAGATTGTGTAAAACAATGATGCACATGAAGCACTAAAGTGAAGTGCCTAGCACATCGTAAGTGCCCATAAATGGAACATTATCATGTTTGTATAAGGGGGAAAGGTGAGTGTCATGGCAAGCACATGACATGCTCTTTCTGGGTCTGCTGACACACTTGCATGTATATGGAAGAATGAACTCAGCTTACTGTACGGATAGCTCCCAAACTTTAGTTTTACTGGGTAGAAAATAAAAGTTAAGAGAGAGAGCTGAATGGTTCTAGGCAGCAATTTATTTTAGGCTACGATGAGGAGGGGAAAGGTAGATTGATTAAAGAGATGGGAAGAGAGAGGACTATGAATAGAAAAAATAAAACATGTCCAAGGGGATGATTCAGTTTCTGCAGTATGATGACTGACAGGCATCCTTTGCCTTTGTCTCCATGAATCATATATAAATATATATATACACACACATATATATATGAAATATAATATCTATTATATATGTCTGTTATATAATATAACTCAATATATTTATATATTATATATTTATATATATTTATATATTATAGATATTTATATAATTATAAACATAGATCATATAACATATGTGTTAATATATTATATCTGATATATATCATATACCTACTATATATCTATATTATATGTTAGATATAATATATAATTATATATTATAAATTATAGTATATATAATATATTAAATAATATATAAACAATTATATATCATAATAATATATAATATCTATTATATATAGATAATATATAATATCTATTATATATAGATAATATATAATACATAAAATATCTATTATATAATAGGTGTTATATATATTTGTATATAATTGTAATATATAAGATATAGAATTATAAAGACATAAGATTATTGTAACCTAATATATGTGGCATTGTGGAGTGAGATCTATCTCTGGCACTTGTCAAAGTGTGAAGTCCTGCTTCAGTGTGCGCATAGGTGTAAGGACAGAGACCTCATAAAGAAATTCACTGAGGATGCATATTCTGAAGATTTAAGGTGGATTAAAATGGTAGGTAGTGTCTCAGCCCTTGGGATTGATACTCAAATACTTTATCATCCACATCTATCTGTTTTCCACATCTATTCTCTTGAAGCTCAAATCTGGCTACAGCCTATGTACCTGTGAAAAATGGGACAAGTTTGCTGTTATCTTGGACCTTGGTCCATCTGTTCCGCATCTAGCAGGAATATAATTTACTTACATGAATGACTAGCTTCTGAAGAGATCTTGCAAGTGTCATGGAATAGTGGCCTCTACTGTTCATGAGGGAAACAGGCTACTGTGGTCAAATCATAAGGGAATACACTGCTTCAAAGGCCAATGCAGGCTGCTCCGTTGTCTGTAATGATTAAGACACTGTTGGGAAGGCCAGCTGCTGGCATCTATAGCCAGTCTCTTCTGTAAATATTCATCAGGAGAAGCAAGCCAGCCAGCCAACAGCCGTTTATCTCCCCTACAATAGTTTCTAGTCAGGCTGTAACCTCATGCTACATAAAAATGTTACCTTCCCAGGTCTGCACTGTAAACACAGAAAAGCAGCTATTAGTTTTGCTCCTTATCAGAAATGTATTTTGTTTTCTATATTTTCAGAGACAGGGTCCTGCCATGTTTCCCTGGCTAGCCTTGAACTCCTGGGCTCAAGTGATCCTCCCAACCCCGGTCTCCTGAGTAGCTGAACCTACATGCGCTTGTCACTGTGCCCAGCTAGAAAGGTTTTTTTAAAGCAATGATTTTAACCATTGGGTGTTGCCTTTAAGACCTCTGTTTCTGAGTATTATAAAATCAAAAATTTTAAATCATTTTAAGGAAGCAAAGTTAATAGCTGCAGTAAAATAAAAGCACATAAAGTGGCAGCTGTTCATTGTCAAAAGTTTACACTGGCGAGGAATCTTTCTCTCTTTTCCTTTCTTATCTTTTAAAATAAAACCATTTAAAATACCACTGAATCTCCTTCTACGGTAATACTGTTACATGGCAAAACTATTCTGCTGGCTTGCTCCGCCTTCTGGGACCAGTTTTTTTTTTTTTTTTTTTTTTTTTGCTGGCTTTCTCTACCTTCTGAGCAGAAATTTGTACTTTGTATTCTCACCTTCAGCAGCTATATTCTGGGTATGATTCCAAAGAATGCAGTCAACATTTACCTTTACTTTAAACAACAAAAGGGAAAATGTTATGGATTTTAAGCTGGCAGTGGAGATTTGATTCTTCTACAATAACTTTTGAACTGTTTTCTCAGCATTATTCTGCTTAGCTACAGCAGAGAAAATAGAGTGATGAATAATGAAATATTCATGAAAGAAAAATTTTAAAAAAAGTTTTCTTAAAATAAATTGATTCTAAAACCACAATGTGTGAAAGCACTTTTTTATGATGCCAACTTTCAGATTCATGGGTTTAGAGGGTGTGGATTTGTTGCATTATCATGTGGCAGGGTGCTGGTAAATGGGAGCCTACCACATTTTGACAAGAATGAAGTCCAGTTTGATGTAGCATTGGCCACCCAGTGGGAACAAACTTCCAGGTTCCACTGAATCTCAGAGTTCCACTGCCATTCAGTGTAGAAAGAAAGACACTAGATTTTTTTTTTTTTTTTTTTTTTTTTTGCCAAGATGGCTGACTAGAAGCGGCTGGTGTGCGCCGCTCTCACAGAGAGGAGAAAGAGTGGCGAATAAGGCGAATAAACATTAGCTCTTCAACTGGATCATGCAGGTGGACAAGTTGGGATTCATCGGGGAAGCAACACAACTCATGGAGAACGGAGAAGAGAGAGACAGGACAGCTACCCACCCAGGATCGGCAGGGAGCCGGGAGAGGCTCCCCACTGCCGGGAAATGGGCCTCTAGACTGACATGAGCTGCTTGGAGCCTGGGCAGAGCCACCACTCAGGCACACGTGGCTTCCTGAGGATCTTAGACCCCTGGGCACCCTGGCACCAGCTATTGCAGCTCTGGCGGTGGGGGCAGCAAGACTCCTTCACACCTCCCTGGGATAGAGGCTGAATCGACAGGGCTGAGGAGTGGACGGACCGCAGGCCTTACCTCCACTGCACCCCACCAGCCTAGGCCCACTGGCCTAGGACCCTAGTGCAGCCGCCGGTACCGCCTGAACTCTCTGGCCTCTGCACTTCCCTGGGATGGAGTTTCCAGTAGTGGCAGGCAGGCCCCTTAGTTTTCTGGCTTTGCAGCTCCCAGCTCCCGCTGCCCTCAGACTCAGGAGGGAGCAAATCAATTAAAGACTAACATAGCCCCCAACACAGTGCAGCTGTCTTATGAAAAAGTGGCCAGAATGTTTTTCATAAGACACAGTGCAGCTGTCTTATGAAAAAGTGGCCAGACTGTTTTCCATGTGGGTCACTGCCCCCACTTACCCTCAGTGGGCAGGGCCTCCCAACCTGGGACCCCAGCCATCTCACCCCTCCTGGGGTGCTGGTAGCAGCTCTGCCCTGCGATGGAGCTCCCAGTGGTGGCAGACAGGCCTGCCCTTTTTGGCTGCTCTGGAGCTCCTGCCCTTGCTGCCCTGAGGCTTGGGAGAATGTGAAAAGATAAAGGACTAATGCAGCCCTCCACCGAGCACAGCTGCCTTAAAGAAAAGTGGCCACTCTGTTTTCCTCATGGTTCGCTGTCCCTACTACTCCTTATTGGGCAAGGCCTCATAACCTGGGTCCCCACTCACCCCATCCCCGCTTGGGTGCTCAGGCAGGTTCTAAACCCACAATGTGTGAAAGTAGTTTTTTATGATGCCAATTTTCAGATTCATGAGTTTAGAGGGTGTGGATTTCTTGATCTGTCGTGTGGCAGGGTGCTGGTAAATGGGAGCCTACCACATTCTGCCAAGAATGAAGTCCAGTTTCATGTGGCATTGGCAGCCCTGCACTGCCCTCGGACAGAACTCCCAGCAATAGTGGGCAGACCTGTTATTTTTGTTCTCTATAGCTCCTGCTCCTGCTGCCCTCAGGCTTGGGAGGGAGCAAAAAGACTAAGGACTAAGGACTAAGGAGGACCTCCAGCACAGCACCGCTGCCTTACGGAAAAGCAACAAGACTGTGTTCCAGGCAGGTCCTGTTACTCCTCACTGGGCAGGGCCTTTGACATAATTAAGATCTGTGTCCCTGCCCAAATCTTATGTTAAATTATAATCCCCAGTATTGGAGGTGGGGCCTGGTGGGAGGTGATTGGATCATGGGGAGGTGGGGCCTGGTGGGAGGTGATTGGATCATGGGGGTGGATTTCCCCCTTGGTACTCTGTCATGATAGTGAGTTCTCACTAGATCAGGTTTTTAAAAAGTGTGTGGCAATGCCCCTCGACCCACCTTGGTCCTGCTCCTGCCATTAAGATGCCTGCTCCTGCTTTGCCTTCCACCATGAGTCAAAGCTCCCTGAGGCCTCCCCAGAAGCAGATGCCGCCATGCTTCCTAGCCGGCCGAACCGTGACCCAATTAAACCTCTTTTCTTTATAAATTACCTACTATCAGGTATTTCTTTATGGCAGTACAAGAATGGACTAATACAGCCTCTCAAACGGGGCAACCCAGCACAACAACCTTGCCTCTGCCTGAACACATCAATCGATGGTGGCTCTGCATTTCCCTGGAAAGGAAATCCCAGAGACAACCCTCAGGCTCTCTTGCATTGTGGCTGCAGTGGTACCACCCTTACTACCCTTGGGCAGGGGAAGGAACAAAGGGCCTGGTCACATTGCTGGCACCTCCAGCATGTCATAGCCACCCTATGGAGAGGAACTCAGACTCTTTTTCCTGTGAGCCCCCACCCCCTAGTCTTCACCAGGCAGGGTCCTCGGCTGAGGGCCACAGAGCAGCTGCCCCACCCCTGACTGCGCATTCCCACTGGTAGTAGCTCTGTGTTTCCCTAGGACCGAGCTCTGAGTGGCAACTGACAATCTCTCTGCCATTGCCACTGCAGCAGTTTTGCCCTTGTTCCTCTTGGACTGGGGAAGGAACAAAGAGTCTGAGGGCTTTATTTGTGCTCCAGCACGCCACAGTTACCCTAAGGAAAGGAGCTCATTCTGTCTTCCCTGTAAGCCCTGACACCCTGCTCTTTACCAAGCAGGGCTCCTGGCTCAGGCCCACAGTACAGTTGTCCCAACCCTTGGCTTAACGTTCCCGTTCCCGTTGGCAGTGGCTGTGTTTCTCTGGAGTGGGGCTCCCAGAGGCAACTGAAAGCACCTCTGCCACTGCTACTGCCATTGTAGGGGTACTGCCCTTGCTGACTTCAGACTGGGAAGGAACAAAGACCCTGAGTGCCTTACACCTCTAGCATGCTGCAGCCTCCATAAGGAGAAGAGGCAAGTCTGTCTTCCGCATGAGTTCCCTGCCCCCACTATTTGTTGCCAGACAGGGCCCCCAGGTTAAGCCCACACAGCTGCCCCACTCCAGGCCAGTCTCCCAGATTGGTAAGGGCCCTGCATTTCTCTGAGGGTAGAGCTGTAAGAAACAAGTGAAAGACCTTTTGCCATTGCCACTGCTGAAGTCCCTGGCCCTGCTGTCCCCAAGCCAGGCAGGCAACATAAAGGCTGAGCTTGCCCCAAGGCTGTGGATATGCAACCCAGGAGTGCCAAACTGAGATCTTCAGTCAACACTTGAGTGGGAGAGGAGTCCACACTCTCAAAGCACAGAGATGGAGCATGGCTGCAAACACAAGGAAATACAGAGGAGCCACGTGGCTAAGCAAGAGCGTATCTACTGGCTATTACACTTAAGTGCCATCTACTGGATCAGAACCCAAACTTCAACACCAAAAATACTTTGCTAATATACACCCCGTGAAACCAAGGACAAGAATTCAGCTACAAAAGACCCTGCACGAAGCCTCAGCCTGCTGAAAACATCCAGAAATGAAGACAACAGACTATACTCAAATTACACCACAATTAAAGGAACACTAACCCACACAAATAAGAACCAGCACAAGAACTCTGGCAGCTCAAAAAGCCAGAGTGTCTTCTTACCTCCAAACAACTGCACTAGTTCCCCAACAATGGTTCTTCACCAGGCTGAAATGGCTGAAATGACAGACATAGAATTCAGAATATGGATAGGAACAAAGATCATCAATATTCAGGAGAAAGTTGAAACCCAATCCGAGGAATCTAAGGAATACAATAAAATGATAGAGGAGATAAAAGGCAAAATGGCAATTTTAAGAAAGAACCAGGCTGGATGCGGTGGCTCATGCCTGTAATCCCAGCACTTTGGGAGGCCAAGGTGGGCAGGTCACTTTAAGATAGGAGTTTGAGACCAGCCTGGTCAACATGGTGAAACCCTGTCTGTATTAAAAATGGGCAAGGTGGCAGGCACTGTAATCCCAGTTACTCAGGAGGCTGAGGCAGAGGAATCATTTGAACCTGGGAGGCGGAGGTTGTAATGAGCCGAGATTGTGCTATTGCCTGGGCAACAGAGTGAGACTCTGTCAAAAAAAAAAAAAAAAAAAAGAAAGAAGAAAAAGAAAGAAAGAAAGAAACCAAACTGATCTGATGGAGCTGAAAAACTCACTTCAAGAATTTCATAGTACAATTACAAGTATTAACAGCAGAATCAACCAAGCTGAGGAAAGAATCTCAGAGTTCAAAAACTACTTCTCTGAAGTAACTCAATCAGACAAAAGTAAGGAAGAAACAAAAAGAATTGACAAAACTTCTGAGATACATGGGATTATGAAAAGAGACCAAACCTATGACTCATTGGCTATCCTGAAAGAGAGGGAGAGAAAGCAAGCAACTTGGAAAACATAGTTACGGACATCATCCACGAAAATTTCCCTAACCTTGTTAGAGAGGCCAACATTCAAATTCAAGAAATACAGAGAACCCCTGTGACATACTGTACAAGATGACTATCCCCAAGACACACAATAATCAGATTTCCAAGTCTGAAATGAAAGACAAAATATTAAAGGCATCTAGAAAGAAGGAGCAGATCACTAAAAAGGGAACTGCACCAGACTAACATGAAGGAAAAAATAAGATCTTTTTTTTTTTTTTAAGATGGGGTCTTGCTCTGTCACCCAGGCTGGAGTGCGGTGGTACAATCTCAGCTCACTGCAACTTCCACCTCCCAGGTTCAAGCGATTATCCTGCCTCAGCCTCCCGAGTAGCTGGGATTACCAGGCATGTACCACCATGCCTGGCTAATTTTTGTATTATTGGTAGACACAGGGTTTCACCATGTTGGCCAGGCTAGTCGCAAACTCCTGACCTCAGGTGATCCACCCACCTTGGTCTCCCAAAGTGCTGGGGATTACAGGCGTGAGGCCCCATGCCTGACCAAGATCTTTTTCAGACAAGCAAATGCTAAGGGAATTCTTACCCGTAGACTGTCTTACAAGAGGTCCTTAAGGGAGTGCTAAATATGGAAAGGAAAGACTAATATTGTCCGCCACAAAAACACACTGAAGTACACAGACTGTTAACACTATAAAGCAGCCTAGGCAATCAAGTCTAATAATAACAAGCTAAAATCAAACCGCAACTGATCAATATTAATCTTGAATGTAAATTGGCTAAATGCCCCAATTAAAAGGCAAAGAATGTCAAGCTGAATAAAGAAAGCAAGACCCAACTCTATGCTGTCTTCAAGAGAATCACCTGACATGTAATGACACCCATAGACTTAAAGTAAAGGGATGGAGAAAAATCTACCAAGTAAATGGAAAACAGGAAAAAGCAGGGGTTGCTGTTCTAATTTCAGACAAAACAGACCTTAAACCAATGGTAATCAAAAGAGACACAGAAGGACATTATATAATGGTAAAGAGTTTAATTCAACAAGAAGATCTGACTCTTCTAAATATATATGCATGCAACACAGGGACACCCAGATTTATAAAGCAATTTCTTAAAGACCTACAAAGAGACTTAGATAACCAAACAGTAATAGTAGGAGACTTCAACACCCCACTGACAGTATTAGATAATTGAGGCAGAAAACTAACAAAGATATTTGGGACCTGAACTCAACACTTGACAAAATGGGCCTAACATACACTTAACAGAACTCTCTATCCAAAAACAACAGAATATACGTTTTTCTCCTTTGCATGGGCACATACACCAAAATAGACCACACAATTGGCCATAAAACAATCCTTAGCAAATTTAAAAAACCCAAATTATACCAAACACACTCTTGGATCACAGTACAATAAAAATAGAAATCAATACCAAGAAAACTCCTCAAAAGCACACTGTTACATGGAAATTAAACAACCTGCTCCTAAGTAACTTTTGTGTAAACAATGAAACTAAGGTAGACATCAAGAAATACTTTGAAACTAATGAGAACAAAGATACAACATACCAGAATCTCTAGGACACAGCTATAGCAGTGTTTAGAGAAAAATTTATAGCATTAAATGCCCACATCAAATAGAAAGATCTTAAATTAGCAACTAACATAACACCTAGAGTAACTAGAGAAACAAGAGCAAACCAACCCCAGAGCTAGCAGAAGACAAGAAATAACCAAAATCAGAGGCAAACTGAAGGAAAATGAGATGTGAAAAACCATACAAAAGGTCAACACATCAGGAGTTGGTTTTTTGAAAGAATAAGATTAGTAGATCACTAGCTAGACAAATAAAGAAAAAAAGAGAAGATCCAAATAAACACAATCAGAAATAAAGAGGACATTACCACCAACCCACAGAAATACAAACAACGCTCAGAGACTGCTACTAATACCTTTAAGCACAAAAACTAGAAAACCTAGAATAAATGGATAAATTCTTGGAAACCTACGCCTCCCAAGTTTGAACCAGGAAGAAATGGAATCCCTGAACAAACCAATAATGAGTTCTGAAATTGAATCAGTAATCAAAAGCCTACCAATCATAAAAAGCCCAGGATCAGATGAAGTCACAACTAAATTCTATCACATGTATAAAAGAAAGCTGGTACCATTCCTATTGAAACTATTTCAAAAAATTGAGAAGGGACTCCTCCCTAACTCATTCTATGAGGCCAGCATCTTCCTGATACCAAAACCTGGCACAGAAAGAACAAAAGGAAAGCCTCAGGAGAATATTCTCGATAAACATAGATGCAAAATTCCTCAACAAAATATCAGCAAACAAAATCCAGCAAGACATCAAAAAAATAATCAACCACAATCAAGTAGGATTAATCTCTGGGATGCAAGGTTTGTTCAACATACGTGAGGCAATAAATGTGATTCATCACATAAACAGAACTAAAACCAAAACCACATGATCATTTCAATAGATGCAGAAAAGGCCTTTGATAAAATGCAAAATCTTTTCATGTTAAAAACCCTTGATACACTAGGCAATGAAGGAACATACCTCAAAATAATAAGAGCCATATGTAACAAACCCACAGCAAACATCATACTGAATGGGCAAAAACTTGAAACATTTGAGAATTGGAACAAGACAAGGATGCCCACTTTCACCACTCATATTCAACATTGTACTGGATATCCTAGCCAGAGCAATCAGGCAAGAGAAAGAAACTAAAGACATAGAAATAGGAAGAGAGGAAGTCAAACTATCTCCTTTTGTAGACAAAATAATTCTATATCTGGAAAACCCCATAGTCTCAGCCCAGAAGCTCCTTCAGCTGATAAACAACTTCAGCAAAGTTTCAGGATACAAAATCAATGCACAAAAATCACTGGGCAATGCACAATAGCCAAGCCGAGAGCCAAATCAGGAATGAATCACATTCACAAGTGCCAGGAAAGGAATAAAATCACTGGGAATACAGCTAACCAAGGAGGTGAAAAATTTCTACAATGAGAATTACAAAACCCTGCTCAAAGAAATCAGAGATGACATATTCAATGCTTATGGGTAGGAAGAATCAATATTGTTAAAATGGCCATACTGACCAAAGCAATTTATAGATTCAATGCTATTCCTATAAACTGTCAATGGCATTCTTCACATAATTATAAAAAACTATTCAAAATTCATATGGAACCAAAAAAGAGCCCCAATAGCCAAGGCAATACTAAGCACAAAGAACAAAGCTGGAGACATCACATTACCTGACTTCAAACTATACTACAAGGTTACAGTAACCAAAACAGCATGGTACAAAAAAAAAAAAGGAAAAAAAGAAAATAAAAACACATAGACTGATGGAACAGAGTAGACACCCCAGAAATAAAACCACACACCTACAATAGTCTGATCTTTGACAAAGTTGACAAAACAGGCAATGGGGAAAGGACACCCTATTCAACAAATGGAACTGGAATAACTGGTTAGCCCTGTGAAGAAGATTAAAACTGAACTCCTTCCTTACACCATATACAAAAATCAATGCAAGCTAGGTTAGAGACTTGTATGTAAAACCTACAACTATAAAAACCCAGAAGGCAACCTAAAAAAGTCATTGTAGACATACGTCCTCACAAAGATTTCATGATGAAGCTGCCAAAAACAATTGCAACAAAACCCAAAAATTGTCAGATGGAATCTGATTAAACTGAAGAGCTTCTGCACAGCAAAAGAAATTATCAACAGAGTAAACAGCCTACAGAATGGGAGAAAATATATGCAAGCTATATATCCAATAAATGTCGAATATCCAGAATCTATAAGGAACTTAAACAAATTTACAAGAAAAAAACAACCCCATTAAAACGTGAACAAAGAACATGAACAGACACTTTTCAAAAGAAGACATACATATGGTCAAGAAGCATATGAAAAAATGCTCAACATCACTAATCATCAGAGAAATGTAAATCAAAACCACAAGGAGATAACATCTCACACCACTCAGAATGGCTATTATTAAAAACTCAAAAAATAACAAATGCTGACAAAGTTGCAGAGAAAAGAAAATGCGTATACATTGTTGGTGGGACTGTGATATGGTTTGGCTGTGTCCCCACCCAAATCTCATCTTGAATTCCCACGGGTTGTGGGAGGGACCCGGTGGGAGGTAATTGAATCATGGTGGCAGGTCTTTTCCATGCTGTCCTCATGATAGTGAATAAGTCTCAGGAGATGGTATTAAAAATGGCAGTTTCCATGAGCAAGCTCTCTTCTCTTGTCTGCTGCGATGCGAGATGTGCCTTTGGCCTTCTGCTGTAATTGTGAGGCCTCCCCAGCCACGTGGAACTGTAAGTCCAATAAACCTCTTTCTTTTGTAAATTGCCCAGTCTCAGGTATGTCTTCATCAGCAGTGTGAAAACAGACTAATACAGTAAATTGGTACCAGTAGAGTGGGGCACTGCTGAAAAGATACTCAAAAATGTAGAAGCAACTTTGGAACTTGGTAACAGGCAGAGGTTGGAACAGTTTGGAGGGCACAGAAGAAGACAGGAAAATGTGGGGAAGTTTGGAATTCCCTAGAGACTTGTTAAATGGCATTGACCAAAATGCTGATAATGATATGAACAATGAAATCCAGGCTGAGGCGGTCTCAGATGGAGATGAGGAACTTGTTGGGAAGTGGAGCAAAAGTAACTCTTGTTATGTTTTAGCAAAGAGACTGGCAGCATTTTGCCCCTGCCCTAGAGATTTGTGGAACTTTGAAGTTGAGAGAGATGATTTAGGGTATCTGGTGGAAGAAATTTCTAGGCAGCAAAGCATTAAAGATATGACTTGGGTGCTGTTAAAAACATTGTTTTAAAAGGGAAACAGCATAAAAGTTTGGAAAATATGCAGCCTGACATTGTGATAGAAAAGAAAATCCCATTTTCTGAGGAGAAATTCAAGGCAGCTGCAGAAATTTGCATAAGTAATGAGGAATTACTTAATTCCCAAGACAATGGGGAAAATGTCTCTAAGCATGTCAGAGGTCTTCATGGCAGCCCCTCCAATCACAGGCCTGGAGGCCTAGAAGGAAGAAATTGCTTTGTGGGCTGGGCCCAGGGTCTCTTTGCTATGTGCAGTCTGGGGACTTGGTGCCTTGTGTTCCAGCCACTCTAGCTGTGACTAAAAGGGGCCAAGGTGCAGCTCAGTCTGTTGCTTCAGAGGGTGGAAGCCCCAAGCCTTGGCAGCTTCCACATGGTGTTGAGTCTACAGGTGCACAGAAGTCAAGAATTGAGGTTTGAGAACCTCTGCCTAGATTTCAGAGGTTGTATGGAAATGCCTGGATGCCCAGGCAGAAGTTTGCTACAGGGGCGGGGTCCTCATGGAGAACCTCTGCTAGTGCAGTATGAAAGGGAAATGTGAGGTCAGAGCCCCCACACAGAGTCCCTACTGGGGCACTGCCTAGTGGAGCTGTGAGAAGTGGGCAACCATCCTCCAGATCCCAGAATGGTAGATCCACTGACAGCTTGCACAAGGTGCCTGGAAAAGCCACAGACACTCAATGCCAGGCCATGAAAGCACCCAGGAGGGGGGCTATATCCTGCAAAGCCACAGGGGCAGAGCTGCCCAAGACTATGGGAAACCACCTCTTGCATCAGCATGACCTGGATATGAGACATGGAATCAAAGGAGATCATTTTGGAGCTTTAAAATTTGACTACCCCACTGGATTTTGGACTTGTATGGGGCCTGTAGCCCCTTTGTTTTGGTTAATTTCTCCCATTTGGAATGGCCATATTTACCCAATACCTGTATCCCCATTGTCTCTAGGAAGTAACTAAATTGCTTTTGATTTTACAGTCTCATAGGCAGAAGGGACTTTCCTTGTCTCCAATGAGACTTTGGACTGTGGACTTTTGAGTTAATGCAGAAATGAGTTAAGACTTTGGGGGACTGTAGGAAAGGCATGATTGGTTTTAAAATGTGAGGAAATAAGATTTGGGACGGGCCAGAGGCAGAATGATATGGTTTGACTGTGTCCCCACCCAAATCTCATCTTGAATTCCCACGTATTGTGGGAGGGACCTGGTGGGAGATAGTTGAATCATGGGGGCAGGTCTTTCTTGTGCTGTTCTTGTGATAGTCAATAAGTCTCAGGAGAGCAGATGGTTTTAAAAATGGGAGTTTTCCTACACAAGCTGTCTTCTCTTGTCTGCCACCATGTGAGACATGACTTTCACCTTCCATTATGATTGTGAGGCCTCCCTAGCCATGCAGAACTGTAAGTCCAATAAGCCTCCTTCTTTTGTAAATTGCCCAGCCTCGGGTATGTCTTTATCAGCAGTGTGAAAACAGAATAATACAGACTGTAAATTAGCTCAGCCATAGTGGAAAGCAGTGTGGCAATTTCTCAAAGAACTTAAAACAGAATTAACCATTCAACCCAGCAGTCCCATGATTGGGTGTATACCCAAAGGAATATAAGCCATTCGACTATAAAGACACATACATGCATATACTCATCAGAGCACTACTCACAATAGCAAAGACATGGAATCAACCTAAATGCCCATCAATGGTAGACAGGATAAATAAAATGTGGTATATATATACTATGCAACCATAAAAAAAGAACAAGATTATGTCCTTTGCAGCAACATGAATGGAGTTTGAGGCCATTATCATAAGCAAACTAACTCAGGAACAGAAAACCAAGTACTGCATGTTCTTGCTTATAAATGGGAGCAAACATCAACAACACATGAACACAAGTGTACTTGAGGGTGGAAGGTGGAGGAGGGAGAGGAACTGAAAACCACCTATTGGATAGTGAGATTATTACCTAGGTGATGAAATAATCTGTATAACAAAGCCCTGTGACATGCAATTTACCTATATAGCAAACAAGCACATGTACCCCTGAACCTAAAATAAAAGTTTTATAAAAAGTTATACACAAAAAGCAGAACTTTATTGGAAACCCTCAAGGCAGTGACATAGTGTTGGGTATTCTCATTTAGGGTGATGGGGTCTTGAGTAAATATCTTAGAGTTACTGGTATTATCAGAATGTGGGTATTTGTGCACTACTCTAATAATTGCCAGTAGAAGAGGGTTTGGTTTTCTCTGAGGCCTAGTGTTATAAAGAATTTACCAACTCCAGACAACTTGATATACTAAGTTGCTCATTTTTGGGGATACTTGTATTTGGTACTTCCATTTGAGATATTCATCTAGGATGGAAAATGTTTTTAGTCCTTCAGTAAAGAATGGCTTTGCTAACACATGGTCAGCTTATCTAATATGTGGCATGTCATTTTTCTTCCAAGTCTAGCATAATTCACAGATTTAATGTCACCTCTTATTGGACGTAGACATGGAGAATTACTCCTTCTATGTTTCTGTTATAGGACTTATCATATATACACGTGATATATCTGTCTCTCCTTCCCACCTTCTCAAAACCAGATATTATGTCTTCTTCATCCATGTATTCCCAACACTACACAGTACTAAGGATTTAACAAATATTCTTTTTCTTCCTTTCCCTTTTTTCCTCAAATCATGAGCAATATGAACTTATCATTCTGATAAATAATTATTTTGAAATGTAGAAGTAGGCCGGGTGCGGTGGCTCACGCCTGTAATTCCAGCACTTTGGGAGGCTGAGGTGGGCAGATCACGAGGTCAGGAGTTGGAGACCAGCCTGGCCAATGTGGTGAAACCCCGTCTCTACTAGAAATACAAAAATTAGCCGGGCGTGGTGGTGGGCGCCTGTAACCCCAGCTACTTGGGAGGCTGAGGCAGGAGAATAATTTGAACCTGGGCGGTGGAAGTTGCAGTGAGCTGAGATAATGTCATTGCACTCCAGCCTGGGCAACAGGGCGAGATTCCATCTAAAAAAAAAAAAAAAAAAAGAAATGTAGAAGTGTAGAGATGTTGCCTAAACAGGCCAGTTGATAACAGCTCAGAAAACTCAGGTTTGACCGTAGAAACGAATGGTGTCTCTAACACTGGCTTTTAGTGAACTGTTTCTCTTCTCCAGATGCAGAACCTTCAAAGGAGTGTGGAAAGTGTCTGGAAGGAAAGGTGTGCACCTTGGAGCTTTCCTTGGAGTGTATCTTTGAGCTGTTTGCGTTTGGGTGGTGAGTCTTTGGAAGGTAAGACTTCTGACCTCCAAAGGGGTGGATCTCCAGAGAGTAGCCTGACTTCCTGAAGGGCATCCTGGAGAAGCAAGGGTGAGGGAGGCAGAAACCTGAGTTCATCTTGATCCTCTAGGAGCTTGACCTTGGAGCACAGGGCAGAGTAGGGCTGAGTATTTGAATGGAAGAAGAAGTGCACCTTGAGTCTGGCACTGAGATTCTAAGCATGGGACACTGTTATCTGCACTTAGCACTGAAGAATGAAATCCACCTGCCTCAGCAAACCACATAGGGTGAACAAGATCTCAAATTACATAGAAGGTAACAATACATCCTGGTTTTCTGAAACAGTCCTGGCATAATTATTAACAGCATTCCTTTCTATTATCACAAGTGTCTCAATTTGTACAATAAATTACTTGACCACGTTGTGTAGGATCAGTTTTCAACAGTGACATTATGTGTTCTCACAAAGCAATGGCAGTGGACCAAGGAGTCCCAGGTTGGCTCCTGGCTGGTGTGAATGCTAGAATGACCCCTCCCTGCCCTTGGACTTGAGAGCTATAAAGGCTCCTGACAATTTAGGAGCGAGGAATAACTTCAAGAAGGAGTTCAAATATATCCAGTTTTTTTAATTTAATACATGGTATTTTATTCGATTTTATGCAACTTTCTGAAAAGATATACTTCACTGCAGTGAATAGTGCCTGTATGTGACAAGAATTTCTGTTTTCATCTAATACTAAGCTAATAGGTAGAATTTTTTACCTTAAATTAAGAAGGTTACAGCCTCTGGTAACCATTCTTCTACTCTCTATGCTTCCTCCTTAGCATGTAACTGACCCTATAAAAGTAATCTCAGTTTGGATTTTCCATTTAATCCAGAAGTTAATTAAAAGGATCTTTTATAAAATTTGCCTGTGGCTAGATATTACTGGTTGGTTACACATTTTCATAATTTCTATAGTCATTGCACAATGCCTAGAAAATATGACCTGCTTGATATCAGCTTTCTTAAAATTGAGACACTTTTAGACCTAAAACCTTACCATTTAAAATAATTTTCTCTTGTACTGGAAAATAATGTAGAGTATATCCTATTAGTAAGGCATGTGAATGTTTCAGCAATTAATTGGAAAAATAAGAGGTGTGATATATATGCTACTTTGAGTTGGTGAAGCAATTTATACCAGTCATATTCTACTTATTTTAGAATTGTTGCTTACTTTAGCCCTAGTGACCTGATTATTTACATGGTTCTTAAACTGAGCTCTTTGTAGAAGCTTTCACCGTCTTAATCTACTATCTTTAGAAGTTATAATTTTTGCTTATAGGAAGACACAGAGTTTAGCAATGAAGTAGACCTCTGCTTTTGCGTGTCCAGCATCCCTTTTCTCTTCCATAGGCACTGAGCCCCTTTTAGTGGGAGAAATGCATTTCATATAGTTTAGGTCATTCCCTTACTTTGTTCTTCTTCTTTGACTGCTCTTAATCCTTAGTAAGGGGCTGAACATATGACATAAGCTTGACCAATCAGAGTACTCCATCCCTCTGGCCACATTGACTGTGGGACAGGGTAGGCAATTGACCTCAGATAGGCCAGTTTATGACCTTTTCTGGACTTTACTGCTGAACCTGTTGGAAAAGACTTTTATTCTGCAAAGGTTGCCAATCTGGTAGTACGAGATCTGGATTGTTGGCAGCCATCTTGCCACTAAAAGGAGGAGGCCCATCTGAAGAGAGAAGAAAAAGAAATGATGTCCCAAGACATTGTTTTGAGGTTTCTTGCTGTAGCCTTGCCTAAAGCCCCAAGTCTATTCACGCACTGAAAAAAATTTTGTGGGTACATAGTAGGTGTGTATATTTATGGGGTATATGAGATGTTTTGAAACAGGCATGCGATGAGTAATCATCACATCATGTAAAATGATGTACCCATCTCCTCAAGCATTTATCCATTGTATTTACAAACCAATTATACTTAGTTATTCAAAAATGTATAATTAAATTGTTATCGATGATAGTCACCCTGTTTTGCTATCAAATACTAGGTCTTACTTAAAAAAAAAAACCACTAAGCATTCTCACCTCCCTGCCATCATCCTTCACAACCTCTGGTAACCATTATTCTACTCTCTATCTTCATGAGTTCAACTGTATTGATTTTTAGGTTTCACAAATAAATGAGAACATGTGATGTGTGTCTTTCTGTGCATGGGTAATTTCATTTAGCATAATGGCCTCCAGTTCCAATGCAAATGATGGAATCTCATTTTCTTTTTATGGCTGAATAGCACTCTATTGTGTAGATGTACCATATTTTCTTTATTCATTCATCTGTTGATGGGCACTTAGGTTGATTCCAAATTTTGGCTATTGTGAACAGTGCTGCAATGAACATGAAAGTGTAGATAGCTCTTCAATGTACTGATTTCCTTTGTTTTGAGTATATACCCAGCAGTGGGATTGCTGGATCATATGGTAGCTCTATTTTTAGTTTTTTGAGGAACCTCCAAACTGTTCTCCATAGTGGTTGTACTAACTTACATTCCCACTAACAATGTATGAGTGTTCCCTTTTCTCTATATCTTTGCCAGTATTTGTTATTGCCTTTTTGGATAAAGCCATTTTAACTGGGGTGAGATGATATCTCATTGTAGTTTTGATTTGCATTTCTCTGATGATCAATGATGTCAAGTACCTTTCACATGCCTGTTTGCCATTTGTATGTATTCTTTTGAGAAATGTCTGTTCAAATCTTTTGCCCATTCTAAATCAGATTATTAGACTTATTTCCTATAAAGTTGTTTGAGCTCCTTATATACCCTGGTTATTAATCCCTTGTCCGAAGAGTAGTTTGCAAATATTTTCCCCTATTCTGTGAAGTGTCTCTTCACTTTGTTGATTGTTTCATTTGCTGTGCAGAAGCTTTATAGCTTGATGAGAACCCATTTGTCCACTTTTGTCTTGGTTGCCTGTGCTTGTATTACTTAAGAAATTTTTGCTCAGACCAATGTACTGGAGAGTTTCTCTGATGTTTTCTTGTGCTAGTTTCATAGGCTGAGGTCTTAGATTTAAGACTTCAATCCATTTTGATTTGATTTTTGTATATGGTGAGAGACAGGGATTTCGTTTCATTTTTCTGCATATGGATATCCAGTTTTCTCAGCACCGTTTATTGAAGAGACTGTCTTTCGGCCGTGTTTGTTCTTGGCACTTTTGTCAACAATGAGTTCACTTTAGGTGTGCATATTTGTTTCTGGGTTCTCTATTATGTTCCATTGGTATATGTGTCTGTTTTTATGCCAGTACCGTGCTGCTTTGGTCACTATAGCTCTGTAGTATAATTTGAAGTCAAGTAATGTGATTCCTCCTGTTTTATTCTTTTTCCTTAGGATAGTTTTGGCTATTCTGGGTCTTCAGTGGCTCCCTATAAATTTTAGAATAGTTTTTTTAAATTTATGTGAAGAATGTCGTTGGTATTTTGATAAAAATTGCACTAAATCTGTAGATTGCTTTGGGTAGTATGGATATTTTAACAATATTAATTCTTCCAATCCATGAACTTGGAATAACTTTCCATTTTTTGGTGTCCTCTTCAATTTCTTTCATCAGTGTTTTACATTTTTCATTATAAAGTTCTTTCACTTCTTTGGTTAATTCCTAGATATTTAATTTTATTTGTGGCTATGATAAGTGGAATTATTTTTATTTTTTTTCAGATTGTTCACTGTTGGCATATAGAAACACTACTGATTTTCACAAAGTGGGGACAGGTCATCATGGTGGATGGGAGGCAGGACTAGATTGCAACTCCAACTCAGACAGGGAGAGAAGCATGCAGAGGCTCGCATTGTGAATTTTAGCTCCAGATCAACTTCAAGAAAAAAAAACAGCAATTCTGAGAGGACCTACAGATCCTCTGAAGGAAGTGGACTACTCCTGCAGGACCCGGAAGACACCCCAAATACTGTGTTGGTATCCATGGCTGAAAGACCCATAGACAGTTCATATGACAGGACTCTGTGCAGACAACCCCTGGTACCAGCCTGGCACCTGGTAGATTTGCTGGGTGGCTAAACCCAGAAGAGAGGCAACAATCACTGCAGTTCTGCTCACAGGAATCCACATTCTTAGGAAAAGGGAGAGAGTATTACATCAAGGGAACACCCCATGGGACAAAAGAATCTGTACAACAGCCTTGAGTCCTAGACCTTCCCTCTAACAGGGCCTACCCAAATGAGAAGGAACCAGAAAACCAACTCTGGTAATACGACAAAACAAGGCTCTTTAACACCCCCCAAAATCACACTAGTTCAACAGCAGTTGATTCAAACCAAGAAAAAAAATCTCTGATTTACCTGAAAAAGAATTCAGGAGGTTAATTATTAAGTTAATCAGGGAGGCACCAGAGAAAGGCAAAGCCCAATGCAAGGAAATCCAAAAAATGAAACAAGAAGTGAAGGGAGAAATATTCAAGGAAGAGGTAGCTATTCTTATATCAGACAAAACAAACTTTAAAGCAACAGCAGTTAAAAAAGAGAAAGAGGGACATTGTATAATGGCGAAAGGCCTTGTCCAACAGGAAAATATCACAATCCTAAACATATATGCACCTAACATTGGAGCTCCATAATTTATAAAACAATTACTAATAGACTTAAGAAATGAGATAGACAGCAACATGATAATAGTGGGGGACTTCAATACTCCACTGACAGCAGTAGATCGGTCATCACACAGAAAGTGAACAAAGAAACGATGGATTTAAACTATATCTTGGAACAAATGGACTTAACAGATACATACAGAACATTTTATCCAACAACTGCACAATACACATTCTATTCAACAGCACATGGAACTTTCTCCAAGATATACCATATGATAGGCCATAAAACAAGTCTCAATAAATTTAAGAAAATTGAAATTATATCAAGCACTCTCTCAGACCACAGTGGAATAAAACTGGAAATCAACACCAAAAGGAACCTTCAAAACCATGCAAATACACGGACATAATATAACCTGCTCCTGAATGAGCATTGGGTCAAAAATGAAATGAAGATGGAAATTAAAAAATTCTTCTAACTGAAGGACAATAATGACACAACCTGTCAAAACATCTGAGATACAGCAAAGGTGGTGCTAAGAGGAAAGTTTATAGCCCTGAACACCTACATCAAAAAGACTGAAAGAGCACAAGCTGACATTCGAAGGTCACACCTCAAGGAACTACAGAAACAAGAACAAACCACACCAAACCCAGCAGAAGAAAGGAAATAACAAAGATCAGAGCAGAACTAAATGTAATTGAAACAAACAACAACAACAAAAGAAATACAAAAGATAAATGAAACAAAAAGCTGGTTCTTTGAAAAGAGAGATAAAATTGATAGCTCATTAGCAATATAAATAAAGAAAACAAGAGAGAAAATCCAAATAATCTCATTAAGAAATGAAACAGGAGATATTACAACTGACACCACAGAAATACAAAAGATTATTCAAGGTTATTATGAACACCTTTACACATATAAACGATAAAATCTAGAAGAGACCGATAAATTCCTGGAAAGATACAACCCTCCTAGCTTAAACTGGGAAGAATTAGATACACTGAACAGACCAATAACAAGCAGTGAGATAGAAATGGCAATTTGAAAATTACCAACACACAAAAAAGTCCAGGACCAGATGGATTCACAGAAGAATTCTACAAGACATTCAAAGAAGAATTGGTACCAACCATTTTGACACTATTCCACAAGATAAAGAGGGAACCCCCATCCCCCAATTCATTCTGTGAAGCCAGCATCACCCTAATACCAAAACCAGGAAAGGACACAACCAAAAAAGAAAACTACAGATTGATATCCTTGATGAAGATAGATACTAAAATCCTTAACAAAATACTAGCTAACTGAATCCAACAACATATCAAAAAGATAATCCATCATGATCAAGTGGGTTTCATACCAGGGATGCAGAGATGGTTTAATATACACAAGTCAATAAAGGTTATATGCCACATAAACAGAATTAAAACCAAAATCACATGATCATCTCAATAGATGAAGAAAAAGCGTTTGACAAAATACAGCATCGCTTTATGATTAAAACCCTCAGCAAAATTGGCATACAAGGGAGATACCTCAATGTAATAAAAGCCATCTATGACAAATCACCAGCCAATATAATGCTGAATGGGGAAAAGTTGAAAGCATTCCCTCTGAGAACTGGAATAAGAGAAGGATGCCCACTCTCACTACTCCTCTTCAACATAGTACTGTAAGTCTTAGCCAGAGCAATCAGACAAGAGAAAAAAATAAAGGGCACCCAAATAGGTAAAGAGGAAGTCAAACTGTCACTGTTTGCTGATGATATGATTGTTTACCTTGAAAACCCTAAAGACTCCTCCAGAAGGCTCCTAGAACTGATAGAAGAATTCAGCAAAGTTTCCGGATACAAGATTAATGTACACAAATCAGTAGCTCTTCTATATACCAACAGTGAGTGACCAAGTGGAGAATGAAATCAAGAATTCAACCCCTTTTACAGTAGCTCAAAAATAAAATAAAATATTCAAGAATTTACCTAAACAAGGAGGTGAAAGACCTCTACAAGAAAAACTGAAAAACACTGCTGAAAGAAATCATAGATGACAAACAAATGGAAACACATCCCATGCTCACGGATGGGTAGAATCAATATTGTGAAAATGACATACTGCCAAAAGCAATCTACAAATTGAATGCAATCCCCATCAAAATACCATCATTCTTCACAGAAATAGAAAAAAAATCTAAAATTGATATAAAACAAAAAAGGAGCCCGCATAGCCAAAGCAAGACTAAGCAAAAAGAACAAATCTGGAGGCATGACACTACCTGACTTCAAACAAATCTATAAGGCCATAGTCACCAAAACAGCATGGTACTGGTATAAAAATAGGCACATAGACCAATGGAACAGAATAGAGAACTCAGAAATAAACCCAAATACTTATAGCCAACTGATATTCGACAAAGCAAACAAAAACGTAATATGGGGAAAGGACACCTTTTTCAACAAATAGTGCTGGGATAATTGGATAGCCACATGTAGGAGAATGAAACTGGATCCTCATCTCTTGCCTTATACAAAAATCAACTCGAGATGGATTAAGGACTTAAATCTAAGACCTGAAACTATAAAAATTCTAGAAGAAAACATTGGAAAACCCCTTTTAGGCATTGGCTTAGGCAAGGATTTCCTGACCAAGAACCCAAAAGCAAATGCAATAAAAACAAAGATAAATAGTTGGGACTTAATTAAACTAAAGAGCTTTTGTATGGCAAAAGGAATAGTCAGCAGAGTAAACAGACAGTCCACAGAGTGGCAGAAAATCTTCGCAATCTACACATCTGACAAGGGACTATTCAGAATCTATATTCAGAATCTAGAACAAACTCAAACAAGTCAGCAAGAAAAACCAAACAATCCCATTAAAAATTAGCCTAAGGGCATGAATAGACAATTCTCAAAAGAAGATATACAAATGACCAACAAACATATGAAAAAATGCTCAGTATCACTAATGATCAAGGAAATGCAAATCAAAACCACAATGTGATACCACCTTCCTCTTGCAAGAATGGCCATAATCAAAAAATCAAAAACCAGTAGATGTTGACGTGGATGTGGTGAAGAGGGAACACTTCTACACTGCTGGTTGGAATGTAAACTAGTACAAACACTATGGAAAACAGTGTGGAGATTCTTTAAACAACTAAAAGTAGAACTACCATTTGATCCAGCAATTCCACTACTGGATATCTACCAGGAGGAGAAGTCATCATACAAAAAAGATATTTGCACACTCATGTTTATAGCAGCACAATTTGCAATTGCAAAATCATGGAACCAACCCAAATGCCCATCAATCAACTAATGGATAAAAAAATTGTGGTATATTTATATGATGGAATACTACTCAGCCATAAAAAGAAATGAAATAATGGCATTTGCAGCAACCTGGATGAGATTGGAGGCCATTATTCTAAGTGAAGTAACTCAGGAATGGAAAACCAAACATCATATGTTATTACTGATATGTGGGAGCTAAGCTATGAGGACGCAAAGGCATAAGAATGATACAATGGACTTTGGGGACTTGTGGGGAAGAGTGGTAGGGGGTGAGGGACAAAAATGTAGGGAAAAAAATATTTTAAAAAAGACTGCAAATGTAGTGCAGTGTATACTGCTGGGGTGATGGGTGCACCAGAATCTCACAAATCACCACTAAAGAACTTACTCATGTGACCAAATACCAACTGTACCCCAATAACTTATAAAAAAAGTTACTGATTTTTGTATGTTGATTTTGTATCCTGCAACTTTACTGAATTTGTTCATCAGTTCTAAATAGTTTTTTTTGGTGGATTCTTTAATTTTTTTCCCAAATATAATATCATCTGAAAACAAGCAGAATTTGACTTCTTTCTTTCCAATTTGGATGTTCTTTCTTTATTTCTCTTTTCTGATTGCTCTAGCTAGGATGTCCAGTACTATACTGAATAACAGTCATGAAAGTGGACATGTTCCAGATATTAGAGGAAAGGCTTTCAGTTTTTCCTTATTCAGTATGATACTAGCTGTGGGTCTGTCATATATGGCTTTTATTACGTTGAGCTATGTTCTTTCTATCTCCAGTTCTTTGAGGGCTTTTATCATGAAGCATTGTTGAATTATATCAATTGCTTTTTCAGCATCAATTGAAATGAACATAGGGTTTTTTCCTTCATTCTGTTGATATAATGAATCACATTGATTGATTTGTGTATGTCGAACTATCCCTGCATCCCAGGTCATGATATATGATCTTTTTAATGTATTGTTGAATTTGGTTTGCTAGTATTTTGTGGAGGATTTTGCACCAATATTCATCAGATATTTTGGCCTGTAGTTTTCTTTTTTGACGTGTCTTTGTCTGGTTTTGGTGTCAGGGTAATATTGACCTTACAGAATGAGTTTGGAAGTATTCCCTCCTCTCCTGTGTTTTGGAATAGTTTGAATAGGATTGGTATTAGTTCATCTTTATTTATTTTTTAATTATACTTTAAATTCTGGGGTACATGTGCAGAATGTGCAGGTTTATTACATACGTATACACGTGCCATGGTGGTTTGCTGCACCCATCAACCCATAATCTACATTAGGTATTTCTCCTAATGCTATCCCTCCCCTAACCCCCCACCCCCTGACAGGCCCCAGTGTGTGATGTTCCCCTCTGTGTCCATGTGTTCTCTTGTTCAACTCCCACTTATGAGTGAGAACATATGGTGTTTGGTGTTCTGTTCCTGTGTTAGTTTGCTGAGAATGATGGTTTCCAGCTTCATCCATGGCCCTGCAAAGTACATGAACTCATCCTTTTTTATGGCTGCATAGTAGTCCATGGTGTATATGTGCCACATTTTCTTTATCCAGTGTATCATTGATGAGCATTTGGGTTGGTTCCAAGTCTTTGCTATTGTGAACAGTGCCACAGTAAACATACGTGTGCATGTGTCTTTTTAGTAGAATGATTTATAGTCCATTGGGTATATACCCAGTAATGGAATTGCTGGGTAAAATGGTATTTCTAGTTCTAGATCCTTGAGGAAATGCCACATGATCTCCCACAATGGTTGAAATAATTTACACTCCCACCAACAGTGTAAAAGCGTTCCTATTTCTCCACATTCTCCCCAGCATCTGTTGTTTCCTGACTTTTTAATGATCGCCATTCTAACTGGTGTGAGATGGTATCTCATTGTGGTTTTGATGTGAGATGGTATCTCATTGTGGTTTTGATTTGCATTTCTCTAATGACCAGTGATGATTAGCTTTTTTTCATGTTTGTTGGCTGCATAAATGTCTTCTTTTGGAAAGTGTCTGTCCATATCCTTTGCCCACTATTTGGTGGAGTTGTTTGTTTGTTTTTCTTGTAAATTGTTTAAGTTCTTTGTAGATTCTGGATATTAGCCCTTTGTCAGATAGATAGATTGCAAAAATTTTCTCCCATTCTGTAGGTTGCCTGTTCACTCTGATGATAGTTTCTTTTGCTGTGCAGTAGCTCTTTAGTTTAAATATATCCCATTTACCTATTTTGGTTTTTGTTGCCTTTGCTTTTGGTGTTTTAGTCATGAAGTATTTGCTCATGCCTATGTCCTAAATGGTATTGCCTAGGTTTTCTTCTAGGGTTTTTATGGTTTTAGGTCTTACGTTTAAGTCTTTAATCCATCTTGAGTTAATTTTTGTATAAGGTGTAAGGAAGGGATCCAGTTTCAGCTTTCTACATATGGCTAGCCAGTTTTCCCAACACCATTTATTAAATAGGGAATCCTTTCCCCATTGCTTGTTTTTGTCAGGTTTGTCAAAGATCAATTGTTGTAGATGTGTGGCATTATTTCTGAGGCCTCTGTTCTGTTCCATTAGTCTATATATCTGTTTTGGTACCAGTACCATGCTGTTTTGGTTACTGTAGCCTTGTAGTATAGTTTGAAGTCAGGTAGTACAATGCCTCCAGCTTTGTTCTTTTTGCTTAGGATTGTCTTGGCTATATGGGCTCTTTTTTGGTTCCATATGAAATTTAAAGTAGTTTTTTCTGATTCTTTGAATAAAGTCAGTGGTAGCTTGATAGGGATAGCACTGAATCTGTAAATTACTTTGGGAAGTATGGCCATTTTCACGACATTGATTATTCCTATCCATGAGCATGGAATGTTTTTCCATTTGTTTGTATCCTCTCTTATTTCCTTGAGGAGTGGTTTGTAGTTCTCCTTGAAGAGTTCCTTCACATCCCTTGTAAGTTGTATTCCTAGGTATATTAATTCTCTTTGTAGCAATTGTGAATGGGAGTTCACTCATGATTTGGCTCTCTTTGTCTATTATTGGTGTACAGGAATGCTTGTGATTTTTGCACATTGATTTTGTATCCTGAGACTTTGCTGAAGTTGCTTATCAGCTTAAGGAGATTTGGGGCTGAGACAATGGGGTTTTCTAAATATACAATCATGTCATGTGCAAACACAGACAATTTGACTTCCTCTTTTTGGAATTGAATACCTTTTATTTCTTTCTCTTGCTTGATTGCCCTGGCCAGAACTTCCAATACTATGTTGAATAGGAGTGGTGAGAGAGGGCAGCCTTGTCTTGTGCCGGTATTCAAAGGGAATGCCTCCAGTTTTTGCCCATTCAGTATGATATTGGCTGTGGGTTTGTCATAAATAGCTCTCATTATTTTGAGAAATGTTCCATCAATACCTAGTTTATTGAGAGTTTTTAGCATGAAGGGCTGTTGAATTTTGTCGAAAACCTTTTCTGCATCTGTTGAGATAATCATATGGTTTTTGTCATTGGTTCTGTTTATGTGATGGATTAAGTTTATTGATTGGCATCCGTTGAACCAGCCTTGCATCCCAGGGATGAAGCCAACTTGATCGTAGTGGACAAGCTTTTTGATATGCTGCTGGATTTGGTTTGCCAGTATTTTATTGTGGATTTTCAAATCGATGTTCATTAGGGATACTGGCCTGAAATTTTCTTATTTTGTTGTGTCTTTGCTAGGTTTTGGTATCAGGATAATGCTGGCTTCATAAAATGAGTTAGGGAGGATTCCCTCTTTTTCTATTGTTTGGAATAGTTTCAGAAGGAATGGTGCCAGCTACTCTTTGTACCTCTGGTAGAATTTGGCTGGGAATCCATCTGGTCCTGGACTTTTTTGGTTGGTATGCTATTAATTGCTGTCTCAATTTCAGAACTTGTTATTGGTTTATTCAGGGATTCAACTTCATCCTGGTTTAGTCTTGGGAGGGTGTATGTATCCAGGAACTTATCCATTTCTTCTAGATTTTCTAGTTTATTTGCATAGAGGTGTTTATAGTATTCTTTGATGTAGTTTATATTTCTGTGGGATCAGTGGTGATATCCCCTTTATGATTTTTATTGCGTCTATTTGATTCTCTGTTTTCTTCTTTATTAGTCTGGCTAGTGGTCTATCTATTTTGTTGATCGTTTCAAAAAACCACCTCCTGGATTCACTGATTTTTTGAAGGGTTTTTTGTGTCTCTATCTCCTTCAGTTCTGTTCTGTTCTTAGTTATTTCTTGCCTTCTGCTAGCTTTTGAATTTGTTTGTTCTTGCTTCTCTAGTTCTTTTAATTGTGATGTTAGGGTGTTGATTTTAGATCTTTCCTCCTTTCTCTTGTGGGCATTTAGTGCTGTAAATTTCCCTCTACACATTGCTTTAAATGTGTCCCTGAGATTCTGGTAGATTGCGTCTTTGTTCTCATTGGTTTCAAAGAACTTGTTTATTTCTACCTTCATTTCGTTATTTACCCAGTAGTCATTCAGGAGCAGGTTGTTTAGTTTCCGTGTAGTTGTGTGGCTTTGAGTGACTTTCTTAATCCTGAGTTCTAATTTGATTGCACTGTGGTCTGAGAGGCTGTTTGTTATGATTTCCATTCTTTTGCATATGCTGAGGAGTGTTTTACTTCCAATTATGTGGTCAATTTTGGAATAAGTGCAGTGTGGTGCTGAGAAGAATGTATATTCTGTTGATTTGGGGTGGAGACTTCTGTAGATGTCTATTAGATCTGCTTGGTCCAGAGCTGAGTTCAAGTCCTGGATATTCTTGTTAATTTTCTGCCTTGTTGATCCATCTAATATTGACAGTGGGATGTTAAAGTCTTCCACTATTATTGTGTGGGAGTTTAAGTCTCTTTGTAGGTCTCTGAGAACTTGCTTTATGAATCTGGGTGCTCCTGTATTGGGTGCATATATATTTAGGATATTTAGCTTTTCATGTTGCATTGATCCCTTTACCATTATGTGATGCCCTTCTTTGTCTCTTTTGATATTTGTAACAGTTTAAAGTTTGTTTTATCAGAGACTAGGATTGCAACCCCTGTGGTTCATCTTTAAATGTTTGGTAGAATTCAGGAGTGAAGTCATCAGGTCCTGAGCTTTTCGTTACTGGGAGACTATTTATTACAGCTTTGATCTCATTACTTGTTATTGGTCTTTTCAGGTTTGGATTTCTTCATGGTTCAATCTTGTTAAGTTTTTTTTTTTTTTTTTTTTACTCTTTAAATCTATTTTGTCTTATATAAGAATAGTTATTCTTGCCTGAAGTGTGTTTCTTTTAGGCAACAGATCCTTGGGTCCTGTTTGTAAATTCATTCAGCCAGTCTATGTCCTTTGATTGGAGAGTTTAGTCCACTTACATTCAATGTTATTGTTGATAAGTAAAAAATTACTTCTGCCATTTTGTTGTTTCCTTGTTGTTTTGTGGTCTTCTCTTCCTTCTTTCTTTTCTTCCTGTCTTCCTTCTAGTAAAGGTGATTCTGTCTGGTGATATAATTTAGTTTTTCTTTTGCATTTTTTTGTGTATTCATTGTATGTTTTTTGAGATTACCATGAGGTTAGCAAATACTATCTTATAACCCATTATTTTAAGCTAATAACAACTTAACATTACTTGAATAAACAAACATGAAAAAAGAAATCAAAGGCTCTGTTTCTTAACTTTGTACCCCCACTTTTTAACTTCTTGTTGTTTCTATTTATATTTTATTATACTGTCTATGTTTTGAAAAGTTGTTATAGTTATTATTTTTGATTGGTTCATTGTTTAGTTTTCCTACTTAAGGTAGTATACATACCACAGTTACAATGTTATAATGTTGTGTTTTTCTGTGTACTTACTATTAGCAGTAGTTTTGTACCTTCAGATAATTTCTTATTGCTCATTAATGTCCTTTTCTTTCTGACTAATGTACTCCCTTTAGCATTTCTTGTAGACTAGGTGTGGTGTTGATGAAGTCCCTCAGATTTTGTTTGTCTAGAAAGCCTGTATTTCTCCTTCATGTTTGAAGGACATTTTCACCAGAATACTATTGCAGGATAAATGTTTATTTCATCTAGCATTTCAAATATATCATGGCAGTCTCCCCTGGTCTGTAAGATTTTCATTGAAATGTCTGCTGCCAGATATATTACAGCTCCATTGTACATTATTTTTTTCTTTTCTCTTGCTGCATTTGTGATCCTTTCTCTATCCTTGACCTTTGGGAATTTGATTATTAAATGCCTTGACATAGTCTTCTTCGGGTTAAATCTGTAGGTGTTCTATATTTGGATATTGATATTTTTCTCTAAGTTTGGGAAGTTCTTTGTTGTTATTCCTTTGAATAAACTTTCTATGCCTATCTGTTTATCTCCCCTTTAAGGCCAGTAACTCTTAGATTTTTTCTTTTGAGGTTACTTTCTAGATCCTGTAGGTGTGCTTTGTTTTTTATTTTATTTTTTTCCTTTTATGTCCTCTGACTGTGTATTTTCAATTAGCCTGTCTTTAAGCTCACTAATTCTTTCTTCTGCTTGATCAATTCTGCTATTAAAAGACTCTGGTGTATTCTTCATTATGCTAAATGCATTTTAACTCCAGAGTTTCTGCTTGATTCTTTTAAATTATTTTAATCTCTTTGTTAAATTTTTCTGATAGAATTCTGAGTTTCTTCTCTGTGTTATCTTGAATTTGAGTTTCTTCAAAACAGGTATTTTAAATTTCTTCCTGAAAGGTCACATATCTCTGTTTCTCCAGGATTGGTCCCTGGTGCCTTACTTTAGTTTGGTGAGGTCATGTTTTCCTGGATGTTTTTGATGCCTGTAGATGTTTGGTGCTGGGGCATTGAAGAGTTAGGCATTTATTGTAGTCTTCTCAATCTGGGCTCGTTTGTACCCATTCTACTTGGGAAGGCCTTCCAGATATTCAAAAGGACTTTGATGTTGTGATCTAAGCCATATCTGCTTTAGGGGCCACCCTAAGCCCAGTAATACTGTGGTTCTTGCCAACTTGTAGAGGTACCACCTTGATGGTTTTAAGCAAAATCTGGAAGAATTCTTTGGATTATCAGGCAAAGGTTCGTATTCTCTTTCCTTACTTCCCCCCAAATGAATGGCATCTCTCTCTTTTCTGAGTCACCTGGAGCTCTGGGTGGTGTAACACAAGTACCTCTGTGGCCAAAACCACTAGGACTGTGCTGAACCGTTAGACCTGAAGCCAGCACAGCACTGGGTCTTACCCGAGTCCTGCTGTAGTCACTACCTGGCTATGGTCTATGTTCACTCAAGGCCCTGGGGGCTCTACAATCAGCAGGTGGCAAAGCAACCAGGCTTGTGTCCTTCCCTTCAGGGTGGTGAGTTACCCCTGGCCCTGTGCATGTCCAGAGGTGCTTTCAGGGGCCAGGGTCTAGAGTCAAGAGCTTTAGAAGTCCATCTGATATTGTACTGTACTGCAGATAAGGTAGCATTCAAACCAAAAGACTCAGTTCTTCCCATTCTTCCCTCCCCTTTCCAAAAGCAGAGATGCCTCCCACCATGGCCACTGCCACCATAGGCCTATGGGGAGTACTGCCGGACTACCACTAATGTTTCCTTAAAGAAGGCCCCAAGGCTCTTCAGTTAGCTTGTAGTGAATGCTGCCTGGCCTGGGACTTGCCCTTCAGGGCAGTGGGATCCCCTCTTGCCTAGGGCAGTTCCAGAAATGTATTCCAAGAGCCAAGTCCTGAAATTGGGAACCCAAGGGCTCACTCTGTGCTCTACCTCACTGTGACCAAGCTGGAAGACAAAGTCCACTTTGCTTTTTCCTCTGTTTTTCTCAAGTAGAAGGAATCTTGACCCATAGCCACAATAGCTGGGACTATGCTGAGTCTCACCTGAAGCCAGAAATTCTCAGGGTCTCACCTAAAGCCCTCCACATAGTACTTAAGTATCGCTGCTGGTTATTTAGGGCCCAGAGGCTTTTCAGTTAGCAGGTGATGTGTCCTTCCAGGACTGAGTCCTCTTCAAAGTAGCAGGCTCCCTTCTGGCCCAGGGTGTGTCTAGAAATGTCATCTGGGAGCTAGGGCCTGGAAAGGGGGCCTCATGACTCTGACTGGTGCCCTATCTTCCTGTGGCTGAGCTGCTATTCAAGATGCAAGACAAAGTCTTCCCAACTTGAGTCCTCCTTGAGCAGTCGGAAACGGTCTCTTTTGGAGCCATGAGCTGTGCTGCCTGGGATTAGGGGAGGGGTGATTCCAGCACTCCCTTAGCCACTCTGTGACCACCCCCACTCCCTGCCAAGTCCACTGTGTCTGGGCCTAGTGCAGCACTAGGACTCACCTAGGAATTTCAAGTTTATATAAGCCTCCAGAGTACTTTAGCTTGGCAGCGGCAAGGCTTGCAGAAACTTAAATTCCGACAGCTGGGATCAGCAATTCTCCTCTAGCTAGGGCTGGTTTAAATTAGCCCTCTGTGGGCAGGTGTCAGGTGAGTTTGGTCTGGTTTTGTTTTCTGTTATAATGGGGAAGCACTGAGTTCAATGTCTCACAAATGCTGCAGTCTTTCTCTCCTCACCACACAGAAATGCTCTCCACACCACACCCTTGCTGCTGGAGGATGGGAAAGGGGGGGTGTTGGTGATTCCAGACTGTTTTTCCTATCTCTTCCGTGTCTCAGCAATATGAAGTTAAAACTACAGACTCTGAGTGCTCTCCTGATTTTTGATTCTTAAAAAGGTGCTTTCTTTGTTTAGATAGTTGTTAAATTGGTGTCCTTGAAGGGGGATAATTGGTGGAGTCTTCTGATTTCTTGCCTGGCTTATTTATTCACAGACTTTTTATTTTATATTTAAATATGTAAGTATAAATACTTATGTATTTGCTATAAATTATCTTAAGCTAAGGTCACTTATAACCTATGAGTTCTAATATAAGCAGTAAGTAATCTTCTGTATTTCAGGAATCCAGTGTGTCAGATTTTTGAGATTCACTAGAATAATTTATCAATTAACTTTTCTTAGCATCTATATAATTCCCCAAATGGTCAAATTTGTTTACTATCAAGTACTATTCAGCCGATCCACAGAGCCACATAAATCTATTACAGAGCTTTTTACTGGTCAAGGTTAATCCTGGAAAGATGACGTGGTGACAGAAGGTAGTCAAGCAGGCAAACGGTGAGGAAAAAACTGAAGCAAATCTCTTTCCTCCACAAGTTTCATGCCTCCCTTCTACAGGCTCGGATCCCACTTCCCTTCTATTGCTCAAGGATATTTCTTAGGGAATCAGTGGGGTAACATGTCCTCTGTCTCAAGTGTGAGAGATGGAAAGAAGAAGCATCTGAGCTTCCACAAGGTGCTCCTGCCCAGTACCTTGGGCAGTACATTGACGAGGAGATCTGGATTTATGAATCTTACATGAAAAAACATGTAGCTCAGCAGTCTGATGAAAAATAGGGTGATGAAAAAGAGACAGCAAAAAATCCTAAAAAGAGAATGCCATGAAACTGTTAACCAGAAGCTTAGAAAACTTGGAACAAAAAATAAATCATACCTGAATGCATATCTGGCTCCTAATTGATATTCAAATGGATTATCACCCCCTTTCCTGACAACCTTTTATAATGGCAGCTCCCCCTCCCATATTCTGTCCTATTGGTTATTCTCTGTCCATTACCGTGTTTTATTTTCTGGGTAGCATTTGTCACTAAAATAATTTTGTTCTCTGATTTTTTGTTTTGTTTATTTTTGGTTTTGTTTTGGCAAGTTGTTTTTCAAAACAGTTTCATTGGCTTATAACCCTCTAGCAAGGTATAAGTTTCTGTGGACCCATATCCTCTCCAACACTTGATATTATCAGATTTAAACACTTTTGCTAATCAAATGGATGTAAAATAATCTCTCATTATGGCTTCAATATGCATTTCCCTGATGAACAATGATGCGAACATCTGTTATAGGTTTATTGGTTTTATGTGTTTCTTCTTGCCCATTTATCTACAAGGTAGTTTTAGCTTTTCTTATTGATTTGTAAGAGTTTGTTTCATGTTCTTGATATCAATCCTTTTCCATTATGTGTATTGTTATGTATCCTCCCAACTTCATAACTTTCACTTGCTCTAAGATGTTAAAGAAAAAAATTCTCGATTTTAATAGGGTCTAGTTTGTCCATCTTTTCTTTAATTAGGATCGATGCTTTCTGTGTCCTTTTTAAAAAAATTCCCTATCCCAAGACCTGAAATATACTTATATTTTCTATTAAAAGTCTATGTTAGTTTAAAAATATGTCTACAGATTCTTTGTTACTCCTCCTTTCAAGAGTATTCCCCTCCATTGGAGTTTGGGCTGGATTTAATAACTTACTTCTAAAGAATGGAATATGGTGAAAGTCACAGTATGTAGTGCAGCTTCCTAGATTACACCATAAAGGTATTGCAGTTTCCTGCACACCCTTTGGAGGAAGACAGCAGTCATGTTGTGAGGACACTCAAGCGGCCTTATGGAAGGGTCTATGCAGTGAGGAACTGAGACTTTGTCAACTACCAGAAAAAGCTTGCCAGATGTGTGAGTTAGTTACCTTGGAAATATAACTTCTAGCTCCAGCCAAACCTTTTAATGACTGCAATTTTGGTCAACATCCTAACTGCAACTTCCTGACAGATACTAGCTAGAACCACTTGGCTAGTACCACTTGGCCCACAGAAACTGTGCTAATAAATGTTTGTTCTTTGAAGTCACTAAGTTTTGGGGGTAATTTATTATGTAGCATAGAAAATAATACAGAGTTTTGAAGATTTTTATTTTTTTTTTTTAGCATTTACATCTTTAACACATCTGGGCTTGCCTTTTGTATATACTGTATTTAGTGATCCAATCTCATACAGATAACCATTTTTTTCCCTGCTGTTCTTATTGAACAGTTCGTTCTGCCTTTTCCTTTGACATGCAATCACTGTCACATACCAAAGTTTGCTATGTGCACAATTTCTGAACTCTTTCTTCCATTCCACTAGGCAGTTTTCCTATTCCAGTCCCAATACCACACTATAATAATTACTATAGCGTCATAGTAAGTCCTGATATCTGGAAGGGCATGTTCCCCACTCCGTGCTCTTTAAAACTGTCCAGGTTATTCTTGACCCTTTATTCTTCCATATAGAGTATATTTTAGAATTATTTTATTCAATTCCATGAAAAACCATTTGGAGAGTTTGATTGAAATTGAGTTGAATTTATTAATCATTTGGAGGCAATTCTTACTTTTTTGATATGAGTTTCTATCCATGATTATGTTATTTTCTTTCATTCATGTTATCTGTAACATTTTGTAATAATTTTTTATAAACCTTCTTATGGTGGTCTTGATTTTTTTTTCTTTCAACTGATGAGTTATTTAGGCCTTATGGCTTTAATATGAATTGCATGAGGAAACCTTCCCCATTTCTTTCCTGTATTATTCTTACCCAGCTGTTTTGGGATGCCTCTGCCCCAGGACAAATTCACTATTCACCCTTAAAGGTCAAAAACAGCCCCTTTCCCTCTACTTTTCTCAAGTTTGCTGCTATGGTTGATCTTGGTGACAGGAGCCAGCACTCATTTCAGTACAACACCTTGGTCAAAATTAGAATCAGAAGCCCTTGACACATCTTCCCACCACTCTCCATGAAATTTCAGCCAATACGCATGAGAAGGTTCTGGGATTGCATTCCCAGGGAAAATCCTAGGAGTAGCCTAGCTTTCTTGTCTCTTGAGTTAGTGCCCAGTGTACCAGTGCCCCACAAGATGTTGAAGCAGAATGAGAGGAAAGACATTTATAGTTTGACATGATTAGCTAGACTTTCAGGATCTCTTTTCTAAGATTTCCTTCAGGATACCAAGTCTCTTTAGGCAGACAGTCCTTATTCTAGAAATCCACACAGTCAATTCCATTGTGGGCCCTTGTGTTGGAGTATAAGAGAACAAACTAGGAGTTCTAGAGAAAATTCTGCTAGTTGTTTTAGGAATATTGTATTCAGGAATATTGAAAGATGTAATATTTCATTTATCTGGTATGAAGGGGTATTCTACTTAAGCAAATTTTCTAGACAATTGGAGCTGACCTTTAACCACCAATAATTTTATGTTAAACATTTTGATGGAACTCTCTCTAAATCATATTTCATACCATTTTGAATATATGTTTCTTTATGCCTTCTTAAACAGATTATATTGAATATAATTTGACCTTTTCTTGAAAATGTAGGAGCTTCGTGAATACCAATTTTACTTTGCTATCACAGTGATTCCCTCAGGATGAATATCTACTCAGGTATTTGAATCTTAAATTTTTATTCAATTTAACAAGTATTTTCAAGCAACCATTATGTGTTGGATACTGTTAGATGCTCTTTCTCATAATGCTTGTCTCTCTTCTATCTCTTATTAGACAGTGGTATACTAGCATGTGACAGTCTTCATTCTAATCTACCAATGGTACTAGGAAACCAGATACATCAAGCTAATCCAAATTGTTAAAGGGAAAAGGCAGTAAATAAGAGATCTGCCACATCTCTTTTACATAATCAAATTTCTATTTCTTAATACCACAAGGCTGTTGATTTTTAATAATGGAAAGTTGAGATTATTAATTACCTTTAAACAAGTAAGTCATAACATTAGAATTGAGAAATACAGTCAAAGACATTAGTTTGCTGACTTGTGTGTGTGTGTGTATGTGTGCACACGCATATACAAGGCTCTCCTTGTCTAGACTTTTCCCTCTGCCCGAATAGCTAAATAGGGCTCCCAATTTTATAGGAAGTTTACCTGAAGATATTTTACTTACTTTTTACTGAATAATCTTGCTGTCTTTTGGGTAGGAGTACCCTGGAAGAAGAAAGGATATTGATAAATAAGCAATTTCTGGAGGCTATTATCATCATCCAATAATATTTAGTGAGCCATTAGTTATATGTTATTTAGATAACTTTAACAAATTCTTTTTATATGCATAAGCACATATAATTTTCAGGCCAAAATTTTAAAATATGTTTATTATTATTGTTATTTGTCCTACCTTTTTACATATTTATATGACTAAACTAAGGCACAGAAAGACAAAGGATGTTGCCCAAGGTCACATAGCCAGTTAGGGGCAGGATGGGGCCTGGAACCTGGATACTCTGACTCCACATTCTTGGCTCTCTCAACTATACCATTCTATCTTCTGCTCAGCCAGTGACCCTTAGAGAAGCTTATAGGCTAAGAAAACTATATAAACATATCTTAAGAGATAAGTCTTAAAAGCTATAAAAAATCTAAAGATGAGTGATCAAGTTTGGCTTTATCCCTGGGATGCAAGTTTGGTTCAACATACACAAATCAATAAATATAATCCATCACATAAACAGAACTAAAAACAAAAACCCATGATTATCTCAATAGATGCATAAAAGGCCTCTGATAAAATTCAACATCCCTTAATTTTAAAAACTCTCAATAAACTAGGTATTGAAAAAACATAACTCAAAATAATAAGAGTCATATATGACAAATCCACAGCCAATATCATACTAAATAGGAAGAAGCTGGAAGCATTCCCCTTGAAAACTGGCACAAGACAAGGATGACTTCTCTCACCACTCCTATTCAACATAGCATTGGAAGTTCTGGCCAGGGCAATCAGTAAAGAGAAAGAAATAAAGGCTATTCAAATAGGAAAAGAGGAAGTCAAATTATCTTTGTTTGCAGGTGACATGATCCTATATCTAGAAAACCCCATCATCTCAGTCCAAAAGCATCTTGAGCAACTTCAGCAAAGTCTCAGGCTACAAATTCAATGTGCAGAAGTCACAGCATTCCTATACACCAACAACCGTCAAGCAGAGAGCCAAATCATGAATGAACTCCCATTCACAGTTGCTACAAAAAAATAAAATACCTAGGAATACAGCTTACAAGGGAAGTGAAAGACTCCTTCAAGGAGAACTACAAACCATCGCTGAAAGAAATCAGAGAGGACTCAAACAAATGGAAAAACATTCCATGTTCATGGATAGAAAGAATCAATATCATGAAAATGGCCATACTGTCCAAAGTTATTTCTAGATTCAATGCTATTCACATTAAACTACTATTGACATTTTTCACAGAATTAGAAAAAATGATTTTAAAATTCATGTGGAACCAAAAAGAGCCCTAATAGCCAAGACAACCCTAAGCAAAAAGAACAAAGCTAGAGTCATCACGCTACCTGACTTCAAACTATATTACAAGGCTACAGTAACCAAAACAGCGTGGTACTAGTACAAAAACAGACACATAGACCAATGAAATAGAAAACTCAGAAATAACACTGCTCACCTACAACCATCTGATCTTCAATAAACCTGACAAAAACAAACAATGGGGAAAGGACTCCCTATTCAATAAATGATACTGGGAAAACTGGCTAGCCATATACAGAAAATTGAAACTGGACTGCTTCCTTACATAATATACAAAAATTAACTCAAGATGGATTATAGACTTAAATGTAAAACCCAAAATAGTAAAAACCCTAGAAGAAAATCTAGGCAATACCATGGACACAGGCATGGGCAAAGATTTCTTGATGAAAATGCCAAAAGCAATTGCAACAAAAGCAAAATTAGACAAGTGGGATATACTTAAACTAAAGAGCTTCTGCACGGGAAAATAAACTATCATCAGAGTGAGCAGACAACCTACAGAATAGGAGACAATTTTTGAAAACTATGCATCTGACAAATGTCTAATACCCAGAGTCTACAAGGAACTTAAACAAATTTACAAGAAAAAAACAACCTCACTAAAAAGTGGGCAAAGAAGATGAACAGACACTTCTCAAAAGAAGACATACATACAGCCAACAAACACACAAAAAAAGTTCAACATTACTGATCATTAGAGAAATGCAAATCAAAACCACAATGAAAAACCATCTGACACCAGTAGAATTGCTATTATTAAAAAATCAAACAACAACAGATGCTGGTGAGGTTGCAGAGAAAAAGGCATGCTTTTACACTGTTGCTGGGAGTATAAATTCGTTCAACCATTGTGGAAGACAGTGTGGCAATTCCTCAGAGACCTAGAGGCAGAAATACCATTTGACCCAGCAATGTCATTACTGGGTATATACCCAAAGGAATATAAATCATTCTATCATAGAGACACATGCACACAAATATCATTGCAGCACTGTTCACAATAGCAAATACATGGAATCAACCTAAGTGCCCATCAATGATAGACTGGATAAAGAATATGTGATATATATACATCATGGAATACTATGCGGCCATAAAAAGGAATGATATCATGTCCTTTGCAGGGACATGGGTGGTATTGGAAGCCATTTTACTCAGCCAACTAACCCAAGAACAGAAACCCAAACACTGCATGTTCTCACTTATAAGTGGGAGCTGAATGATGAGAACACATGGACACATGCAGGGGAACAACACACACTGGAGCTTGTCAGTGGGGTTGAGGTAGTGGGAGGGAGAGCATTAGGAAGAATAGCTAGTAGATGCTGGGCTTAATACCTAGGTGATGGGATGATCTGTGCAGCAAACCACCATGGCACACGTTTACCTATGTAACAAACCTGCACATCCTGCACATGTACCCCTGAACTTAAAAGTTGAAGAAAAAAAAATCTAAAGATGAGGCTATGTCCTGTATTTCTGTGGCATTCTGGTTTCAAAATATTTTCTCAGTTATTTCATTGTCCTTTAACCTTCCTTGTGAGATAAAAAGAGGAATTATGATCACATTTTAGAGCCAGCCAGGCATGGTGGTGGGTGCCTGTAGTCCTAGCTACTTGGGAGGTTGAGGTGGGAGGAACCCTTGAGCCCAGGAGTTAAAGACCAGCCTGAACAACATAGTGAGACTTCATCTTTCTACTAAAAAAAATTAGAGCTGTGGAAAAGAGGCTTACAGAATTTGAATTAGAAAGAAACTTTTAGGATTACAAATTTTGATCTATAGTTTGAGTAAGATTACATGGCCTGCCAAACAGTCAGTTCTCAGGCATCCTGTCTCCAAAGTTGCTCAGACATCACTAGGTCATTGAACCATCATGGGACCCTGATGAGCTTGATGTAGACAACTTTAATTTTTTCCTCTGACACATAGTTAGAAGGAATATTTTGATGAGCTGTGGGGAGAGATGGTAGGACACATTGGAGATGTCAAAAACTTGGTTCTACAGAAGTGGGTCGAGTTAATTTCAGGGATTTTGTTTACTAAGCAGAATATGCAAGCTTCGGGGCCAGAATGACTTGTTCAGTACTCTTAAGAACCATGGACATGGCCTAACATATATCCAAACATTTGGATGACCCAAACACAATGGCCAATATTTGATATTTGCTTTTAAGGAAGTGTTTAGTTCTCTTTTCTAAGTATTTATCTTGACTATCTGTAATTTCTGATGTTTGTCAACCTGGACTCTAAAGCCAATATAAATTACAAAATTAAAGCCCAACCAAAGTTTAACTTTAACCTTTTATCCTTGCTGCCACAAGACATCAAGCAGGCCAAGAGGATTGGTGCTCTGTATGAAATTGTTCTTTTCCTTCAGACCTTTACATGTGTGCTGGTGGCTTTGCTATATTAAATATGAACAGACACTGAAACTCTGTCACAAAGAAGCAATAGCGTTCTATGTTTTAACTCACAGGCCAATTCTGACTAGATGATGACAGATGGTGGGTGCTCTGTGTTGTGAGAGATTAGGAACCATGTCAAGATCATCAGGAAAGAGTACTGTGATTGTAGGAGATGGAAGAGGTGGTGTATGTGCCCTATATTGGCCTCTTTCTATAGAGCATACCCTCAATTAAGGTTGCTTCTTGCCTCCATTCTGAGTTCTCTTAGGTCTTCGGCTAGTTTTTTGAGAGCCTGTTATTTGTATGGCTGAATGAGAAGAAAGTAGATTGTTCCTTAGAGTCTAGTTTGTTTGTTTAGGGTTGGAATGCTCTGTAATTATAGCTGGTACTGTTCTTGGAAAATGCGCATGGCAAGATTGGGTATATATTTGGTGCCTTATAGTTTGCTGGAGATGGCTTTGAAAGGCAATGACACTGTGAGGAGCTGAAGAGAGAATGGAGTGTTTACCTCATTATTTTGGCTGGTATGCTCTTTTTCCACAGGGTTCATGCTCACGAGTTTTGATCTATGAAGATAACAGCCAGGACAGAAATTGAACAAAGTGCACTGAAATATTCATACTACACTATGGTTATTTTAAAAAAGCTTTATATTCTAAATCTGTACTGTCCAATATTGTAACTACTGTCTACCTATAGCTATTTAAATTAATTAAAGTTAAATTAATTTCCTCAGTTGAGTACATCTTTTATGTACTCAATTGCCATATGTAGTTAGTTTTACCTACTAACTAGCACAGAAAATTCTACTGGGCAACCTTTTCTAGAATCTTGGCTTAACAGTTAAGCCATAAACCAATGTTCAGCAGGGATCTTGAGTGACTTGAAGGTGTCCTTTAGGGGCAAGGACCTACAAGTCCTAGGACCCTGGACTATATATATATAGAGAGAGGCTATATGCAGTTTTGATCTCTTGTTCTTGATCTAAGGATTTAAAAATATTTCATAAATAGAAATACTTCTTGACTGCATTAAGATTTAACTTACAGAGGGGGTCAAGAAATGGAGATGAGGTTTTTGGTTTGGATTTCTCACCATTTAGACTCTTGACAAACTCATTGTACTTTGAGGAGTGCTTTCCCATCTCTAATTTTAAATGTTCGTAGTTCAATACAGTGTACAGTTCTGATTTATATAATGTGGTAGCTGTAGTATGAGTCTAGAGATTAGTTTCATGCCTATCCCTTATGGTTGGGTGTCCATATATTTGGGGGAAGTGAGGATGGTATTAATGAAAAGGCCTTTCTGTGATATATAAGGAATACCCTACTTATCAAGGTGACTGACCACCAACTCTTTCTAAAGTACATGTTTTTACTCTTAATATCAACCCGAATAATAATGTGATAATGTGATAACATTACGAAGGGAGATGTGTTTCTGTGGTCTTTTTAGAAGGATGGGAGAATGACTGGAAGTTTTAAGTTGGTGTGATCTACTGGGGTCAACCAGATCACTAACAGAGGGCAAAGATATGTGGCGTCGGGACTCATTCAATTCCAAATAGAAATTGGTCTGAGAACTGTTTGCTCTGACTCAGGCTGAGATGGAGTTTCTACCAAAACCAGGATGTTCCTTTGCCAAAGCTCACACTTCTCTCTCAAGGAACAGAGCCTCTAGTTCTTCTTCTATTTTCTTCAACGTTTCCTGGTACTTCTTCAAAGAGAAACAAAGAAAGCCACAGTTACTACTTAGAAGGTTTACAATTTTTCTAAGCATAATAAGCACTTGTTATTACATGATACCATGAATGCTTGGTATTCCCACTGCCACTTTCTCTGCTTTCATAAAACTCACCCCCCTACTACTCTTGATCTCTCACTATGCCTTACCACTGGACAGGTTTCTGGGCATCATTGACATTATAAATAGCAGAAGTGTGAATTATTAACTTAACAGCACAGAGAGTGGGAGAGCAGGGCAGGAATTCCCAGGGAGACAAAGACAAATAGAGTGATATTGATAGTGAGGTGGGGTGCTGATGACCTTAAAGTATCCTAGTAGTGCCACCTTGAACTGTTGAAATTGCTCTGGACAGTAGTCTTTGAAAATCCTTGTTCTATTTCATCCTGTACCTTAATAAACCCTTTGCTATCCCTTTACCAAGAAGCTCTACCTTTATGTAGAGGGCTTGATCTTCACAGAGCTGGGTCACAAATGCATACTCCTTCATTACCTAGGAAATCAAAATTTAGTTGTAAATATATTTCGGTAAATTGCTATAAGAACACAAGCATACTTGTTTTCTCTTGGGTCCCAGGTCCTAAATGTGGTTTTCTAATTGTTCTAAATATGTTTTCTTTTTTGCTGTACAGATAAATGTATTTCCTTTTTTTAGGGTAAAAAAGCTAAATGGGAGTTATTGGTCAAAGGTGGAATTTGGGGGCAGTTGGGAGAGGAATAGATAGATAACTAATATTTGCGAGATACAAACTGTAGAGTGTATTCTGTAAAAAAATGTTTGAAGAGAAAGCAACCTCAGGGATTGTGCTTATCTTCCTTTTCTTTACCCCTCCCTAGCCCCATCATGGTCTTGGATCTGGAACCTTAATGTAAATCAATCACTTGAGAAATAGATTGCCTGACCAAAGATCACATTTCCCTTTTTGGGGAGAAGTCACATTGAAGTTCCTGCTGTTACCTTGAGCAGCTCCTTCTCTTGGCATGCATAGGAAGCTTCCAGCTGTTGTAACTTAACCTAAAGAAAGCAAAAGAGACTGCTAACTTGGCAAGGTAAAAGCTGTGCAGGAATGGAATGCTGTCACCAAGGTGGCCTCACGAGCTGTGAGGAGCCTCAGGGCCATGACTTCACACGTCTCCTGATAGAGGAATTAAGCCACCCAGCACCGTTTGCAGCTGCTTGGTAAACTTGCTCTTTTATATTCCTTACCTTTTAGTCTTCATCTGGTGCTAGCTTCACCCCTAAACTTCAATTCTGAGCTTCCTACTCTTACTTAGCCATTTCTCTTAAAAATAATACCAGTTTTGAAAAACTTCACTCTTCCTTTTCCTTTTAATATAGTCAGTCAGACTCTAAGGTGTTTGTTCACTCCTTTCTCCCTCCCTGTATGCCTTGCTCACCCTTTTATTTCCTTCAATACTTGGCAAAAGACCATTCTATATCAGCTGCTATGCTGGAGTGAAGCATGTGTGTATCAGGTGGCAGGGGGTAGTACTTAGGATACAGTAGTAGACAGGATGGACCAGCTTTCCACCCTTGCAGAGCTGGCATTCTGGTAGGGAGACACAACAAATACATCTACATGATAATGGTATGTGCTATGAAGGAAAAAAAATTAATGTTTAAAGATAGTGATGGTAGTGGTGGTGTGAGAGGAGGTGGTAGGTGGTTGGCAAAGGCCTCCCTGATGTGATGATACTTGAGCTAAAGTCTAAATGATAAATGCTAGCTAAATGGAGATTTGGAAGAAATATGTTCTCTGTGAAGGGTATGGCAAGGGCCAAGACCATGAGGTTATCACAGATTTGGCTTATATGAGGGAGTTGTGTGGCCAGAGCATAAGGGAAATTGGTAGGTAGGGCCGAGACAGGGTGGGATAAGGTAGACAGGGGCTAGATTGTGCAGGGCCTTGTGGCTTCTAAAAGGATTTCGGTTCTTCTAATTGCAGTGAGAAGGCAGGAGAGGCTTGAAGTCTAAAGACACAATCTGATTTGTGTTTTTAGAGAATAGCCTTTTCTGTGTCTGGAAAAAAGAATTGTTTGGGAGTGAGAGTAGAAGCAGGGAGACTGGTTGAGTGGTGACTCCTGTTGTCCAGGTAAGGGGTTATGGTGGCTTGCAAAAGGATAGTAGTAACAGAAGTGGTAGAGAGGAATGGATGCATTTGGGAGATAATTTTGTAGAAGAGCAGACATGACCATTCTTCCTTCCCTTTTCAGCTCTGCTGTTCCCACTTTGATCTAGGTGCCATTATTTCACATCCAGATTCTTCTGAGAGTTGGTTCACTCTTCAGTCAGTTACATCCAGGACCAGTTAGCCAAATGTGCTAAGGGATATATAGTTTCAAGCCAATGGTGTGAGTCACAAAGGGTTGAATTAGGCACCCCATTAAGCTGCTGCACTGATTACTAGCATGCCAGAGGAACAGAAGCAAAAGAGATTCTGTACATTCACAGAATTAGAGATATCACCTGATAATTCATTAAAATAGGTGGGCAAAGAGTGGTTCAAAGGATTAAACAATATTCTTGAACTCTTTAGGGCTAGCCAGCAAAATAATGGCCATTATTCTGACTAAGACTAGACTTTGTTCTCTGTCATCTGACAATGTGAGTGCAGCCAGACTGAAAGTGTCACCACTCAATTCTGGCTGGTCTTATTTTCTGGGAAAAAGAGGTGATCTTGGAAGAAAATCAGTGTCCTGACCACTGCAATCAGATGGCAGGTTCAGTCAGGGGTCTTTATAGCTCTTCCTAATTTTGGCTCCAATTTCTTCCTGATTTCTCTCTTTCCAGATAACTTACCTGAATTAGCACAGCCAAGCAAGCTTATTTGGTGGCTTTAGACTTCCTATTTTTGTGGTCATCAAAACTAAATTGGCCAGCAGAAGATAGGGGAGTAATTCTCCATACTTTCATTTTCTATTTCTATTTTCTATGTATCCAAATTTTCAGAGGCTTCATACACACAACCAAGTGCAGGCTTTGGAGGGTAGAGAGAAGTTAGATAAGGCAAGGACAAAGATGTAATTCTAGAGAAGGTGTCAAAAAAATCAAATGACGAGTTAATGGGTGCAGCACACCAACATGGCACATGTATACCTATGTAACAAACCTGCACGTTGTGCACATGTACCCTAGAACTTAAAGTATAATAATAAAAAAATTTATCTGCTCTCTGAAGAAAAATAAAGTCTCTGCAACACAGTATGTCAGTGTTGGCAAAATGGCACTTGTACCCCATGAGTATACACAAGAAATTTCTCTCTCTCTCTCATCAGATAGGTTGTGGTTGGTCTCAGGTTCTTAGCTCTGGAACACAATTAGAGACATGCCAAGCAGAGTATGATGTGCTTAGCAGGTAGTGGTCATACTAAATACTTGAGTGACTAATTGAACCCTTTTCTAGATTGGAATCCAGGACAGGGTACATAAATTGCCGAGCACTCAGTAGACTTACAAATCCTAGTTCTGCCTCTATGAATTCATACATGCACCTCAGCAAGAATTTTAAATAATAATGTAAAACTCACACAACTTTTTGAAGTTGCAGCCATCCAGAAAAGGAGACAATATTTTTTATACACAATTTCATTTAATCTTGAAACTGAGGCTGAGAGGCAGTAATTAAATTACCCAACTTCACACACCAAATTATTTTCTGTGGCTTTAAACTGGGGACTTTAACTGCCCCAAATTTTACATATGCATTTGTGCCCTGCTCTTCCTAACAGAAGAGAGAACAATAAATAAGACTAAAAAGTGACATTCCTTACCTAAGGGCAGAGAAGAATTCAGCACTCCAGTGGTTCAAGCTTAAGCTTGACATGGAGGAAAACTACCAAGAATTTGTCACAACGTTGACATTGATTTCCAACTTAACAGCTTGTTTCCTGGTTACATAGCCCAACCACATTTAGGATTGTTTTTTTCATTTACCTTTGTCTCTTCTAGGGCTCCATCTGGACTGCTTTGTTCACAATTGGTTATCTTTTGTGATTTCCTTGTAAGCTATAGTTTCAAATAAAAAATATACTAAATTAAAAGGTGTAGAAGGCAAAGACTTTCTCTGGTGTGTGGAGATTAGTAACTATGGCCTTTATAAACCTTTCCAGGATATGGTCCTTTGGTAGATATTTGGTGACCTGTGGAAACATCTTTGTTCTACCTCTGTCTTCTTCTCACTAGTCTTGGCCACTGATGCTAGAGTCCACTCAAAGCAGGAGTACTTTCCTGAACCCCTAATTCGCACTGGGTTACTCAAGGATACAGCCCCCTACAGTAGAAGGCTACTTTATACTCATGGGTCAGAGAGTAGGGTAGTCATTGGAAGCCCACTGTATTCTGAGGAGGTATTGAGGCATTGGAAATGGCTAGACAAGAAAAAGGAAATCCTTGGGGATTAAGTTAATTATTTTTGTTGTTGTTTAAAAGGTCTCTGTTGAAAGTAAAATTAACCTCTCACTGCAAAGGTTCCAGTCAATGACTTCAACAGAGTATCTGTTGGAATCCATTTTCTGGTGATAGAATGAAGAACCCATGAGATTACTAAATATTCCATCCATTCCTTTTCCCTCTTGCCTACAGAGAAAATCCCTAACATTTAGGTCATGAACCTTGGCCTCAGGAGAGTGGATTAGAGAGTAATATGCACTCCACATACAGGCCTCTCTGACTTATGGGTTCCTCTATGATCACTTCCCCCAAACCTTGCCCCTTTGATGAATGGGGCTGTTGTGGGGGCACTGGAGAACACAAGTACCCTACCTCACCTTTTGTTGAAGTTCTGTTATACTGTGGACCAACGTCTTATTCTTCCTTTCCTGTGAGAGAGAAATAACAGTGTAAATCTGCCTCTGTACTCCATCTGTTCTTATTCAGTTGATTGCTGTCCATTTCACCCCAGCTATATTTTCCTGCAGTAACTTGACCTTATTTGCATAATGTCATGTGTATATTGAAATCAAACCACAGGTGAAATACAGGGATATAGATGCCCATCTGCAGGGCTTCCCAATGATTAAACATTGCCCAAGAAGCCAGACACATCCCCTTCCACGCATGGACAAATTTTATCATGACTTTTGAGATGGCTACTGTTCATGTATAAAAAGGAGAGACAAGCTTATCTGATAATTGATGAAGGATGGAATGAGGAATGCAACCTATTAAATGGCTCTTCCCAACTTCTTGCTTACAAGTCTGGCTGTTTCTTCCTCCAGCTCCTGCAAGGCTCTTTCCCTTTCCATCGTGGTGCGGTTCTCCTTCTCCCACTCTTCATCTTCCACCAGGCCCCGCGTCTGAATGATCTCACTTTCCAGCCTGGACAACACAAGCACATGCCATGAGGACCCATGCTTGGCAGTTTCAGAACTGATAAAACACAGATTTCAGATATAAGGGAACTTCAGGGACAGTGTACATGAATCTCAAGCTGAAAACTCTTCCTTACTGAATCCATAAAGCAGGAAGACCTGCCTGATTCCTAAGCCAAACACCCCAGTGTTCTCTCAACTCCATCTTTTAGGAATCTATTTGAAACTTGCTATGCTTCAGTGTTCAAGAGAAATGTCAAAGAATGAAAAATTAACTTTTTGCCACACAAGGTAGAAGTCTCTAGAACAAGCAGGAAAATTCAGTTTTGGTTTTGGTCCTCCACCCCTTCTTTGGATTGGGAACTTCCCTCATGAAACCTTAATACTCACCTCTGAATCTTATCTTCCCTCTCTTGGATTTTGAGAAGAAGTTTCTGATTTGCTTCATCTATTCTCTGCGTATCCCTTTCAAGGTCCATGTTCAAACTGATAATGTTTCTTTTTGACTGAGCCAATCTTGAGATTTCCATTTTCTCCGACCTATAGACTCAGCCCCCAAAATGAACAAGGGCCAGTTATCTCAAGATCAATAATCATCAGGCCAAAAAGGGTATTTAGAACACATCTAGTTTATTAACCTTACTCTCTCTGGGGGCATACCATTTTCATTCTTGAAAAATTACATTTCTTGATCATGCTCTACAACTGTTTCGATAATTCGCAGCTCAGTCAGCAAGGGTCTTTCCCAGGCTTTCTCCTCCAAAGTGCTCAATCTAACAGTGCACCTTCACTCTGGTTTCTTGAGAAGCTTTGCTTCCTTAAATAACCCCTTGCGCTGGGGAGAAATGTTTCTCTTGGCAATCTTTTCTTAGATAAACTATTCACAAAACCTGCTCATACAATACACATTTATTGAACACTTTTATCTAAGCACCTGGCATATCACTTCTGGTTGGGCCTGGCTTTCTGCAGAGCCACAAGGGGTTTCCACCAGCATGATAGGGCTTCAATCTTTCCCTTCCTTCTCCCACCTCAACACCTCTCCCTCACTTGCCTGCTACAAAGTTTGAAATTTTTACCATGAGAGTAATTCCATTGAGCACACCCACATAGGCTCTAGGCATAGCTTTCAAAAATGCAAATATCTTTTTTGAAGTAAATTTAAATGAAATAATGGTAACTCTAGAGTATTTTGGGAAGGGTACATGGGAGGCTCTTGATATATTTTTCTTTTTCTACTAATGTAAATTAATTCATTGGTTTGTGTTTCAGTTGATTAACCACTATTAGCACAGTGAGGCACAGAGGCTTTTGTTTTAGATAGGAATGAAGGATAATATTGGAAAGTTAAGTCCTATCTTGGAAGGGCTTGCTTGGATGGGGGATTTACAGTAATCACTTCAGGAAGGTATGGCATGCTTGGGGTAGGGTGCGGAGGTGGTTGCATAACAGGAGTAGAAGGGGAGAAGGAGGCTGGAAGATGAGGCAAGGGGTCAATAGCGAACCTGCTTTACACCTTGGTCTCTGGATATGGCTTTGCATAATCATGACTACTTAATCCAGCTGATCTTTCTTGTGTCCTTCCATTGTAGATTCCCTAAAATGCCAACAGAGATGTATCTAATGAATTGGAGAAATGGGTTCATTTATGAATACAGTAACTAGGGAAGAGTCCCAAAAAGTAGAAATCAAATTAAGTTAACTCATTTTCTCCCTCTAATCCCCACATTTTAACCATGACAAAACTCAGCCTTTTGATTCTTCTGCCCGTGTTCTGATTATACCCTATTAAAGATACAGTCAGGATACAGAGATAATGCTGGAATATACGTCCTATTAATAGATATAGTCAGAGATGGTTTATCAACATAAAACCCTGTGGAAGTTTATACAAGACAATATAAAGAAATAGAGATAATCAATAAGTCTCTTTTTGCTCTAGGCCAGTTGCTTTCCATAAAGCCCCATGGGCATGGATGTAGGTTTACAATATCCCTGAAAAGTAATCTTTGCTCTCTATCTTTGCTTATGCCAGAATTTCCAGATATTAAGATCTTTAGTATTAAAGAGGGCTCAGAAAACCAAGTATATGTAAATCATTTGTCTCTCCCTTCCCCTTAGTTTCTTTTTTTCCCCTTTATTTCTTCTACAAACTCTACCTCCCCTTTTTGATGTGTCTTGTCTTCCTGATCCTTCCCTAGTCAATTAGCTTCTGAGGAGTCTAATCTTTCTCCACTGGAACTATCCAATAGAATCTCAGAACATTCTGAGAGGTCATGACATAGGATGGGCGGGGCAACATGTCATAGTGGGGTGGGTGGCAATGGTTTCTCATCATTTGTGTAGAGTCCAGAGCCTAGATAAGTGTGTGGATTTCATGGCCAAGTCTTCCCTGGATAGCAGTAGGTTCAATGGATTTGATTTCTGGGCTGTTTGAAGGGGCAACCTCTATCTTTTATTTCTCTGGCAGATAAAGCTCTCTTCCTGCCTCAGTGTGACTAAAATGGAAAGTCTAGGTCTTTTGGCCAGCAGTCTAATTTCATCATGTAGCCAACTAACTACTCATTCATTCAACAAACAGTGAAACACTGAATGAACACGATGTGTATCTTCTAGGCTCTGTTCTAAGCACTGGAGGGAAAGAATGAACAAAGCAGCCAAAAGCCCTTGACCTCATGAAGTTTATATTCTAAGATGTGTGTGTGTGTGTGTGTGTGTGTGTGTGTGTGCGCGCGCGCGCGTGTGTGTAGGGGGGACTGGTAACACAATCAATAAAATAAATAAAATTATTTTTACTTGATATGATAAAAGAGGAGACTGCTGAAATTTTACCCCAAAGAGTTAAAGAAACCAGTGACTAACAAATTCTTGAGCTTGCAGAATAGCAGATAAGAAAATAAACAACTTGCTGAAATGCTGAAACTCCCTCTATTTGAGAGATTTCAAAACAAAAAACCTAGCTGAAATTGGTTGGAACCAATAAGGCCAACTGGAGTCTGTGCAGAACAAGCTTACTGATGTCACAGCTTGAATTTCCACTGCATGTTTTATACTAATTTCCCCTGAATTTGCACATGGGACCCATAAGGAGGCATGAAGAGATAATCGTGCATGCCTGAGGACTTTCCAGACCTCCCCTTTTCTTCTACCAGTCATTTGCTAATTCCAGAATCCACTCCCTAAACCTTTTCTAATAAAAGTACTGCCTGAGAGCCAGCACAGAGAGACAGATTTGAGTTGGATTCCTGTGTCCTTGTTAGTAGACCTACAGTAAAAAGCCTTTTTTTTCTCACAAACCTTGTGTCATAGTATTGGCTTCCAGCACATTGGGCAGTGACACTCTTTTGCTTGGTAACACTGCCATGAGGAAACATAAACAGGTGAAGGAGGTAAGAGTGAGGAGGTTGTTGCAAGTATAATTAGGGTGGCGCAGAAGAAGCGACTGAGCATTCTCAGACCCGTTAAGTGGGGTGTAGATGTGGTAAGAAGCTTGGTGGACAAGAGAAGCCCTCCAGTTGTGCTGAGATGGACACAGAGTCCAGCAGATCTAGGAGCATGAAGGGAAGGCATGAAAACCCAAAGCTTTTCCTGTGATGCTTCCTGGGTACCTAGCTCTTCCTTGTACCTGCCACCATCTTAGGAAAGAGCAGCACTCTGGAGAGGGAGAATCTCCTTAAAAGACTGAGAAATTACCTGAAAGAGAATTTTAAATTGGAAAATTTTATGATGTCTCAAACTGGCTTTATTGAGTCTTTTCTGCCAACTTTAGGAACAAGAGCTGGAGGGGAAGGTATGATCAGTTGCAGAATCTAAAGAATATAGTTCTGCATACCTGAAGCTATATACCTTTGATAAGATTCTGTACCATTGTAACTTTTTGTGTATGCAAGTCACGGAAACTTGGGAAGTTTTGGATCTCTACTTAGTAAGGACCACATTGAGTTGATTTGTGAGCCAGAGTGACTTCTTAACATACTGTAGTTTCCAATAAACTATTTGTAAAATTAATGGCCTCTGATGACCCCCATTACCATCTCCCTTCTTCCTGAAAGAAGGCATTTCATTGCTTTATGAAGCTGTACACAGAAGAGTAATTAAGTAACAATTCAGGCCAATGGCCTCTCCCAGGAATTAATGGTAGGGAGAGTTCATTAACCCCAGCTGGTTATAGCTTCTGCAGGAAATGCCCTGGACCAAGGTTATCGAAGCTGTTAATGGATTGGACAGGGACTTTAACTGGGATAAAAATAAAGCTCGATCTCCTTCCTGGGGAGCTTTTCTCCTTGAGAGGCTACCGAAGGCAAGCTGGTATGAGCAGCAGAACCCCAAGCTTGAGGCCTTGTGTGGGATGAGGACAACAGATTGCTATCACTGGGAATTGTTAAATCAAGGTAAAAACAGGGCATTGGGGGCAAATTAAGGTGTTTGATATAAGCCTTCCTGCTATTTGGGAGATGGTTTGATTAACACCCAGCGCAGCTTTAGAGCAGCTGTTTTTGCCTTGTTAACTTTTCGGTGCCATGCTTTGCCCCATTCTGTGGAGTTGCTGAGAGACCTCATCCCTATAAAAGCATTCAAAGATTTTATCTTATAAACATTATCATTTTCAGTATAAGCAAAATATAAAAAACTTATATTTTGACCCTTTATAAATCAGTATTCAAAATAAAAAATATAAGAAAAATAAGGACAAGAGGGAATAACTATCTTGCTGGGATTAAAAGGCAACATTAAAAAATCTCCCATGTGTATGACTGTACCCAGAACATTTTCTGACTCATTCTTCTGGAAGGCTGGAAAAGTGCAACAGGAAAAGGGAATTTTCTCGATTATAACATGGAGATGCTACTATGGAGCAGTTATTTATGTATGCTTCATATTAGTAACTTTTTTTAAATTTGTTTTTGATGAGGTCATTTCATCAGAGGTAACCAATGCTTGGTTGCTGCTTTAATCACCCTTTGCTTTATTTTAAATTTGCTTCCCTTTTATCTTTAAAATTTGCAATTAGTTAGTGATAATTAAATGGAGGATTCCTAAAAAAGAATAACCGGAAGAACTTACATGCAAAGTCTTATAAAAAATTTACACTGACTTCCAATGTAACTTTATACTCTTTTCTCAAGTCTTCCAGCTCTGTGTTCTTTCTGCCATATATAGAAAACATAATCATTTAATTTTTTTTAGTCTTATTTGATAATTGTAGAGAATCTTCCATACATTGAGACTTTGGGGCATCTTTTGTTTAACCAAAGTAATATTGTGCTGAGATAGTCATGCTATAAATGACATCATTAACTTAGCTTTGGCTACATACCTATCATTCTTTTGTTTAACAAATATTTTTATTGAGCATCTATTATGTACTGACCTAGATAATGGGATAACTCATGGATGACTACTCAGTTTCATAAGGGAGACAGACATGTACACAGTATGGCCTTACAATGTGATAAATGTCATACTGAAGAAAGGTAGAAAGTGCTTTGGAATACAGAGAAGAAACATCAAGCTTTAAGTGATTTGGGGAAGCTTCCATGAGAAGGCAACTTTGGGTTAAGTTAATCCTAAAGGAAGGGAATAACTTTACCAGATAATGCAAAGGGCACGGTAAGAGGAGGAAACCAACAGGTTCAAAGGCACAGTATGCTCAGTGTACAATAAAGAAGTCACTGTCGTTTCTGTCTAGAGCAGTGCATACCAATGTGTGTTACATGAACAACTAGTGGTATAACATGACACAGAGATCAACTTTTTAATTTTAAAAAGTTAATTTCAAGAGTAATAGTCAAATATTTAGTAAAATTGAAAGTAGCACATTAAAACTTGACTAAAAGACATTGCTTAGCATGAGGATAATTTTAAGTAAAACCATTGCTTGATTTATAGAAAAATATTAAGTTGATAGCAATTCTGGGAGAACGTGAATGTAGCCAACACCGTGAAGGTGGTGTGTGAGTGGCTGAAGTCTGGGAAACAGCTCTAAGAGTGTATGTGGCATGGCATGGTGGGGAAGAAACAGCTATGTTGGCTGAGGAGCACCACGTGTGTGTGCTGCAGACTTTAGGTTTCACCTTGAAAGCTCCTGAAGAGGCATTTGAGACTTCTAAGAAAAGAGTGGTAAAATCATTGTCTTTGAGAAAGATAACTCAGGGGCAGTGAAGGATGGATATAAAGAAGGAGTCCTCTCCTTATCCCCGTGCTTGTCTATGCTATGCATTCAGATTAGATGTCTGAGGGGAGATGTATTACATTTATTTCCATTTATAATGGAGGCTCAAGTTTTTTTTCCTTCCTCCAACCAAAAAGAGTACACTTGGAAATTTATTTTTGTTTGTTATCTTTTCTTTTTTTTCCTTTGTTTTTAATTGACGCATAATAATTCTATACATGTATACAAGTTTTTACCATGGATTTTTTCCTATTGAAAATAGTATATTGGAAGTTTTCCCCCTTTATATTATTGATACTCTGGTTGGTTTTTAAAGGCAATACTGAGTGTTTTTCTACACGCACAAGGTCTGTCAAACTGTCAGTGAGAGTTTTTACCTCTGACTGCCTGACTTTGACCTGATGATATAATCATTGGCTGAACAAGTGCTCGTCCATAGATTGTTTGGTCTCCCATTGTTCTTTAAATTTATTTATCTTTTCCACGGGACTAATTCTTCCTCCAAATGGAAACTTGGAAATCCCATGACATTTTCTGGTTGCTTCCAGTCACAGATCAATGTTCCAGTTCAATAATCAAGAAACCTGATATCATGCAGTAGTCAAAACTCTGAACTTGGTATAGAGTTGAGTATTCAACCCTCTGGCAGCTGAGGTGTACTATAGGCAGAAAAGCAGTAACTGAGGAAGGAGGCTTTGTTTATTTATCTCTTTCCACATGGAGCACATCTGCTCTTCCCTCCCACCAAGCTTGCTATGATGATGAACATATACCTACTACATAGGAGAGGGAAGGGGACTTAAAGTTCTTACTTGCTCTTATAGATGTTTTGGAGGTTGCCCAACCAGTATCTTGGTGTAACTGGGATCTGTAGCCTTGACCTGGGCAGTAGCATGTCTAATCTAGCTCTTCACTTGCTTCTCTACTAACCGCAAGACTTTTATCATTTTGTCAGCATCCCTTTGCTGGTCTCTTGCCCTTTTGGGTGACCATGATTGGCCACATAATTTTCAAGACCCAGGGCAAAATAAAATTGCAGGGCCCCTTGCTCAGAAATGATTAAGAATTTCAAGCCAGGGAAAACAGAACATTAAATTAAGCACAGATTCCTTTTGAATGTAGTTCCCTGTGTAACTGCACAAGTTCCATGTCCATGAAGTTGGCCCTGCAGGTGGGCTTCATGAATAAGACCTCGACAGTCCTTTGCAGGAAAGGCACACTCACATATTCTTTGTCTCTAAACAGCTCTGGAATGCAGACCAATTCCCAGTTTTTCACTCTGATGTCAAAGCTGTTAGCTGATCTGTATCAAGCCCTTGGACTTTTCAGAGGAGAGTCAGATAGCAGTACCCAGTGTTCACTGGGATTTAGAGGAAATGTAGTAACATGTCCTGTGGGCTTTCTAAAACCTTTTATCTTGTATTAGTTTTCTATGCCACTATGACAGATTACCACAAGTCTTGTGACTTAGCACAATGCAAATCTACTATTGCACAGGTTTGGAGGTCAGAAGTCTGAGATGGCTGTCACTGGGTGATATGGTTAGGCTTTTTGTCCCCACCAGAATCTCATCTTGAATTGTAATCCCGATAATTCCCACGTGTCAGGGGAGAGAATGAGTGGAGATAATTGAATCATAGGGGCTATTTCCCCCATGCGGTTCTTATGATATCGAGGGAGTTCTCATGAGATCTGATGGTTTTACAAGGGGTTCTTCCCCCTTCACTCAGCACTTCTCCTTCCTGCCGCCTTGTAAAGAAGGCGCCTTGCTTCCCCTTTGCCTTCTGCCATGATTGTAAGTTCCTGAAGCCTCCCCGGCCATGCTGGACTGTGAGTCAATTAAACCTCTATCCTTTATAAATTACCCAGTCTCAGGTGGTTTTTAATAGCAGTGTGAAAACAGACTAATACACTGGGGTAAAATCAAGGCGTTGGCAGAGCTGCATTCCTTCTGGAGGCTCTAGGAAAGAATCTATTTTCTTGCCAGTTATAGCTTCTAAAGGCCACCTGCATTCCTAGTGTGTGGCCCTGTCATTCATCTTTGCAGCCAGGAGTATGGAATCTTCAAATCTCTCCGGGACTCTCTCACCTTTACATCCATTGGCATATTGCTTCTCTCACTCTGACCCTCCTGCCTCCCTCTTATAAAAACCTTTATGATTACATCTGGTCCCTCTGGATAATCTAGGACAATCTCTGCCTTTAAAGATGCTTAATCACATCTGCAGAGACTCTTTTTACCATGTAAGGTATATTTATAGGCTGTGGAGATTAGGATGTAAACATGTTTAGAAGCTCTTTACTTAGCCTACCTCACTTACCTTGCATAAGGAGAGCAGGTCTCCCATCCTTCCTTTTGGTCCTCTTGTCTCTCTAGGTTTGGAGGGGTAGCCCTTGCACCTTTCCCTTTGGAGCTATAGAGTCACAGCACAGCCCTCTGAAGAGATTGCTCTTCTAATCTTGGCTCAACTTTGTTTATTACATTTTTTTTAAAATTATTTTTGATCAATAAATCATAATTGTATACATTTATGAGGTACAGTGTAATGTTTTGATATATGTATACAATGTGATATGATTAATTCAAACTGATTAGCTTATCCATCACCTCACTTACCTGTCATTTTTTATAGTGAGACATCTAAAATGGAGTCTTTTAGTTATTTTGAAATATATATTACTATTGACTATAGTCACCCTACTGTGCAATAAATCTCAAAATATATTTCTTCTGTCTGTCTGAAACTTTGTACCCTTTAATCAACAACTTCCTATTCCCTCTTTTCCCACCCCCAGCCTCTGGTAACCATCATTCTACTCTCCAATTCTGTGAGTTCAACTTTATTAAACTCCACATATAAGGGAGATCATGTGGTATTTGTCTTTCTGTCCTGACTAGTTTCACTTAGCAAAATGTCCTATGGATTCATCTATGTTGTTGAAAATGACAAGGTTTCCTTCTTTTTTAAGGCTGAATAATGTCTCATTGTGTGTGTGTGTGTGTGTCTGTGTGTGTGCGTGTATCACATTTTCTTTATCCAGTCATCTGTTGATAGACACTTAGGTTGTTTCCATAATTTGGCTTTTCTGAATAGTGCTGCAATGAACATGGAGTAGTACAAATATCCCTTTAATATATTGATTTCAGTTCCTTTGGCTATATACCCACACATGGGGTTATGGATAATATAGTAGTTCTATTTTTAGTTTTTTGAGAAACTTTGATACTATTTTCCACAATAACTGTACTAATTTACATTTCTCACTAATAATGTTTAAAAGTTTCTGTTTCTCTGCACCCTCTTCAGTGTGTATCTCTTATCTTTTTGATAAAAGCCATTCTAACAGGTGTAGGGTGATTCTTATTTGCATTTCCCTAATGAGGAGTAATGCTGAGCATTTTCTCATGCACTTATTGACCATTTTTAAGTCTTCTTTTGAGAAATGCATGTTCACATCTCTGGGCATTTTTTATTGTCTTTCTTTGTGTGTGTGGTGGTCTGTTCAGATTTTCTATTTTCTCATGACTCAGTTGTGGTAGCTTGTATGTGTCTAAGAATTTATCTGTTTCTTCTAGGTTATAACATCTGTTAGTATAAAATTATTCATGGTAGTTTCTTATGATCATTTATGTTTTGGTGGTATCAGCTGTAATGTCTCCTCTTTCATTTATAATTTCTATCTTAACTTCCTAGTTAGTATAGCTAAAGGTTTGTCAATTGTGTTTATCTTTTCCAGAAAAAAAATCCTAACTCTTAGCTTTGTTAATTTTTTTCTATTGTTTTCCTGATCTCTATTTTATTTATTTCTTCTCTGATCTTGGTTATTTCCTTCCTTATGCTAATTTTGGGCTTAGTTTGTTCTTCCTTTTGCTAGTTCCTTGAAGTGTGATGTTAAATCTAAGATTGTTTATTTGTGATCTTTCTTTTTTTTTCTTGAGACACCTCACTCTATTGCCCAGGCTGGAGTGCAGTGGCACAATTTTGACTCATTGCAACCTCAAGTTCCCAGGTTCAAGTGATCCTTTCACCTCAGCCTCCCAAGTAGCTGGGACTACAGGGCACACACCACCATGGCCAAGTAATTTTTGTATTTTTGATAGAGGTGGGGTTTTGCCATGTTGCCCAGGCTAGTCTCAAACTCCTGGGCTCAAGCAATCCACCAGCCTTGGCCTCTCAAAGTGCTGGGATTATAGGTGTGAGCCACCGCATCTGGCCCCTTCTTTTTTTGATATAGATGTTTATCACCATAAATTTCTCTCTTAGAAATGCTTTTGCTCCATCTCAAATGTTTTGGTATGTTGTGTTTCCAGTTTAGTTTGTCTCAAGGTAATATTGATTTCATTTTTTATTTGTTCTGCGACCTATTGTTTGTTTAGGAGCGTGTTGTTTAAGTTCCACATATTTGTGTATCTTCCAAGATTTCTCCTGTTATGGATTTCTAGTTTTATGCCATTGTGATCTAAAAAGATATTTAGTATGATTTAAATCATCTTATATTTGTTCAGTCTTGTTTTGTGGACTAACATATGACCTATCCTGGAGAATGTTCCATGTGCACTTGAGAAAATTGGGTGTTTTGCTGCTGTTGGATAGAATGTTCTGTGTATGTCTATTAGGTCTGTTTGATCTAAAGTGCAACTCAAGTCTAATCTTCTTTCCTGATTTTCTGTCAAGATGATCTGTCCATTTTTGAAACTAGGATATTGAGGCCCCCTACTATTACGGTATTGAAATTGATCTTTCCCTTCAGATCATTCAATAATTGCTTTATATATTTAGGTGCTATGATGTTGGGTGCCTATATATTTACAATTGTTGGGTGTTCATGGTGAACTAACACCTTCATTATGTGTAATAACCTTTTTTGCCTCTTTTTATGGTTTCTTACTTAAACTCTACTTTGATATAAGTATAGCTCCCCTTACTCTCTTTTGGTTTCTATTTGTGTGGAATATCATTTTCCATCTCTTTACTTTCAGTCTGTGTTCTTACTAGTAAAGTAGGTCTTTTGTAGACAGCATATGGTTGGAGTTTTTAAAAAATCTATTTAGCCATTTGGTCTTTTTATTAGAGAATTTAATCTAATTTCATTCAAGGTAATTATTGATAAGTAAGAACATACTACTGCCATTTTGTAATTTGTTTTCTGGTTCTGTTGTAGATGGTTTTTTTTCTTCCTCTCTTGCTGTCTTCCTGTGTGGTGTGATGATTTTCCATGTCGATGTGCTTTGAGTCCTTTCCTTTTCTATTTTGTGTAACTACTGTAGGTTTTGTTTTGTGGTTACCGAGAGGCTTACCTAAAATACCTTATCCTTAAAGCAAGCTAGTTTAAGATGACAACTACTTGTCTTTAATCACAATAAAAGACTCTAACACTTTCACCCTTTGCTACCTTTTATGATTTTGATGTCAAAATATACATTTGTTTTTGTAATTTGCACTCCTTTACAACTTGTGGTAGCTACAGTTGTTTTTAATACTTCTTTCTTTTAAACCTAGTAGGGATAAAATTGTTTACACACATTCTTACGGAATAAGAGAATTCTGAGTATGGCTATGTATTCCTTACACCATAGAGGTTTTATTTTACTTTATATGTTTTTTGTTATTAATTAGCAGATTTTCATTTCAGCTTAAAGAACTAAAGAACTCTGTTTAGTAATTCCTGTAAAAAGGCCTAATTGTGATGAACTCTTTTAATTTTTTTGTTGTTGTTTTCTGGGAAATTTTAATTTCCCTCTCATTTCTGAAGGACAGCTTTTCTGAGTAAAAAAATTCGTGTTGGCATGTTATTTTCCTTCAACACTTTTTTTTTAATACTTTAAGTTCTGGGATACATTTATCAGAATGTGCAGGTTTGTTACATAGGTATACACGTGCCATGATGGTTTGCTGCACCTATCTACTTGTCATCTACGTTAGGTATTTCTCCTAATCTTATCCCTCCCTTAGACCCCAACCCCCTGACAGGCCCTGGTGTGTGATGTTCCCCTCCCTGTGTCCATGTGTTCTCATTATTCAACTCCCACTTATGAGTGAGAACATGTGGTATTTGGTTTTCTGTTCCTGTGTTAGTTTACTGAGAATAATGGTTTCTAGCTTCATCCATGTCCCTGCAAAGGACATGAACTCATCCTTTTTTATGGCTGCATCATATTCCATGATGTATATGTGTCACATTTGCTTAATCCAGTCTATCATTGATGGGTATTTGGGTTGGTTCCAAGTTTTTGCTGTTGTGAAGAGTGCTGCAATAAACAAATGTGTGCATGTGTCTTTATAGTAGAATGATTTGTAATCCTTTGGGCATATACCCAGTAATGGGATTGCTGGGTCAAATGATATTTCTGGTTCTAGATCCTTGAGGAATCACCACAGTCTTCCACAATGGTGGAACTAATTTACACTCCCACCAACAGTGTTAAAGCGTTCATATTTCTCCACATTCTCTCCAGCATCTGTTGTTTCCTAACTTTTTAATGATCGCCATTCTAACTGGTGTGAGATGGTATCTCATTGTGGTTTTGATTTGCATTTCTCTAATAACCAGTGATGGTGAGCTTTTTTTCTTGTTTGTTGGCTGCATAAATGTCTTCTTTTGAGAAGTGTCTGTTCATATCCTTTGCCCAATTTTTGATGCAGTTGTTTGTTTTTTTCTTGTAAATTTGTTTAAGTTCTTTGTAGATTCTGCATATTAGTCCTTTGTCAGATGGATAGATTGCAAAATTTTCTCCTTTCTGTAGGTTGCCTGCTTACTCTGATGATAGTTTCATTTGCAGTGCAGATGCTCTTCAGTTTAATTAGATCCCATTTGTCAATTATCTCCTTCAGCACTTTTAATATATCGTACTCCTACTCTCTCCTGGCCTGTAGGGTGTCTGCTGAGAAATCTGCTGAAAGCCATATTAAGGTTGCCTTGATCATGGCATTTCTTATCTCTTGCTACTTTTGATATTTTTTCTTTGTATTTGATTTTTGATAATTTGGTTATGATGGTTATGAGGTGTCTTGGCTAACTCTTTTTTGGCCTTAATTTGGTTGATGACCTCTGAGCTTTCTGTACCTGAATGTTGTCTTTCACCAGATTTGGAAAATTGTCACCCATTACTTCCTTAAATATCATTATCAGCCCTCTTCTCTCTCTTCTCCTCTAGTAACTCCCATTATGTAAAGGTTAGTTTGCTTGATGGTGTCCCATAATTCCTGAATTCATCATTCTTTTCCCTTGTTTTTCTTATTACTCCTCTAACTGGAGAACTTTAAATGTCCTGTCTTCAAGCTCACTGAGTCTTCTGCTTGATGAAGTCTGCTATTGAAGTTTTTAATTGAATTTTTCAGTTCAGTTATCATGTTCTTTATCTTTAGAATTAATGTTTTTATTGTTTCTATTTCTTTGTCAAACTTTTATTTTTTTCATAAATTATTACCTAAATTTTATTTAATTTTCTATTAATATTTTCTGGTAGTTCCCTGAACTTGTTTAAAATGATTATTCTAAATTCTAAACAGTTTTTCAAATAGACTTATTTACACTCAAGTCCTTGTCTCAGTGTTTTTCACATTCATCTTTTGTTTTACGCTTTTCTAATTTCATAATTAAAATATTCCAATAGCAATTAGTGTGTCAACTTTAGTGCTTACAGAAAGTGTTATAATAGCAGTCATGTAGAAAAACAATAATACATCATTTCATATTCTATAAGTTAAAAGATTCATTTCCCTCTGATTAAGAGTTTATTTTGAAAATTCTGGGAAGTTGCTGTTGACTTCTACTCCCTGCTTTGCATCCTGATACCTTGCAGTTTTAACACTTATATGACGTAGTTTAAAATATTCAGTGGCATCTCATGTAAGTTTTTTTCTCCCTTTGGAAATAGAATATTGGAGTAGATAACTCTGTGTGACCTGTTTGATTTTCTGCCCCACATTCATACAGCTGCAGATTCAGCTCTGTGCCAAGCTCTATCATTCATCATGGGGAGTCTAATTAAGGTAGAATCCAGTCAGCTTGTGCTAGGGACTGAATGTTTGTGTCCCCTAAAATTCATATGTTGAATCTCTAACCCCCAGTGTGATGGTATTTGGAGGTGAGACCTTTGGGAGCTGATTAGGTTAGACGAGGTCCTGCAGGTGGAGCCCCCATGCAGGAATTAATGGTCTTATAAGAAGAGATAGGCATAGCTTTCCATCATGCTGGACAAGAGGCAGGACTAGACTGTAGCTCTGACTCGGATGGACAGAGCAGCATGTGGAGGCCCGCATCATGAATTTTAGCTCCGGCACAACTGCAGGAATAAATCAGGAAACCTGAGACCCTCTGAAGGAAGTGGATTGCTCCTGCAGGACCTCGGAGACACACCAAATACTGTGAGTGCCCAAACAGTGGAAGCTGAAAATGGAGATCCTCTGCCCCTGAACACACACCCCCACTGGGAAAAGCAAAGGTCTAGTTTACAGGAGAAGATTCTGACCTTACCTGGAGCTGAGCCAATGTAGAGAGCTGAACACAATACAGGGATAGAGGAAGCAATGGGAAAGGCCCTGTGAGCTTGCTAGGTCCCCAAGCAGGCCATTCCTGCTTGGCACTACAGGGATCCTTCTGGAGGGTGGCCAGAGGCGCAGGGAAAATGCCACAGGGAGAGCAAAACCTCCAGCTGAATTTTGTAACAGTTTGAACTGGTCAAGAAACCTGGCCAGAACTCAGGGGAGGGCATGAATCTGGCATGCAGACTCCAGAGTATGGGGAAGAACTAAAGCCCTACCTTCTTTTGTAGCTGGGAGGCAGGTAGGTTGCAGCAAATTCTCAGCCCTGCTTGCCCACTGCCTGGAAATAGACTTAGTGCTCTTGGGGGTGGGGGCGGAGGGCATGGTGGGAGTGAGACCAGCCCTTTAGATTGTGTGGGAACTGGGTGAGGCCTGTGGCTGCTGGCTTTCCCCCACTTCCCTGACAACCGCATGACTCAGCAGAGGCAGCCATAATCTTCCTAGGTACATAACTCCATTGACCTGGGAACCTCACCCGCATCCCTCACAGCAGCCACAGCAAGATCTGCCCAAGGAGAGTCTGAGCTCAGACATGCCTAGTCCTGCCTCCCACCTGATGGTCCTTTTCTACCCACCCTGGAACTGAACACGAAGGGCATATACTCAGGAGTTCTAGGGCCCTGCCCACCACTAGTTCCTCTCCATTCTACTACAGCTGATGCTCTCTGGAAAGCAACACCTCCTAGCAGGAGGCCAGCCAGCACAAAAATAGAGCATTAAACCACCAAAGCTAAGAACTCTCACAGAGTCCATTTTACCCCCCTGCCATTTTCACCTAAACAGGTGCTGGTATCCACAGCTGAGAGACCCATAGATGGTTCACATCACAGGACTGTGCAGATAACCCCCAGTACCAGCCTGGAGCCTGGCAGATTTGCTGGGTGGCTAGATCCAGAAGAGAGATAACAATACCTACAGCTTGGCACTCAGGAAGCCACATCCATAGGGAAAGGTGGAGAGTACTAATCAAAGGAACACCCCTTGAGACGAAAGAATTTGAACAACAGCCTTCAGCCCTAGACCATCCCTCTGACAGAGCCTACCCAAATGAGAAGGAACCAGAAAACCAACTCTGGTAATATGACAAAATGAGGCTCTTTAACACCCCGCAAAAATCACACTAGCTCACTAGCAATGGATCCCAACCAAGAAGAAATCCTTGATTTACCTGAAAAATAATTCAGGAGGTTAATTATTAAGCTAATCAGGGAGGCACCAGAGAAAGGTGAAGCCAAATGCAAGGAAATCAAAAAAATGATACAAGAGGCGAAGGGTGAAAAATATTCAATGAAATATATAGCATAAATAAAAACATTAAAAACTTCAGGAAACATTGGACACAGGTATAGCAATGCAAAATGCTCTGGAAAGTCTTAGCAATAGAATTGAACAGGTAGAAGAAAGAAATTCAGACTTCAAAGACAAGGTATTTGAATTAACATAATCCAACAAAGGTGAAGAAAAAAGAATAAGAAAATATAAACAAAGCCTCCAAGAAGTCTGGGATTATGTTAAATGACTAAACCTAAGAATAATCCGTGTTCCTGAGGAAAAAGAGAAATCTAAAAGTTTGGAAAACATATTTGGGGGAATAATTGAGGAAAGCTTCCCTGGCCTTGCTAGAGATCTAGACATCCAAATACAAGAAGCACAAAGAAGACCTGGGAAATTAATCACAAAAAAGATCATCGCCTAGGCACATAGTCATCAGGTTATCTAAATTTAAGATGAGGAAAAGAATGATAAAAGCTGTGAGACAGAAGCACCAGGTAACCTATAAAGAAAAACCTATCAGATTAACCACAGATTTATCAGCAGAAACCCCACAAGCTAGAAGTGACTGGGGCCCAATCTTCAGCCTCCTCAAACAAAACAATTATCAGCTGAGAATTTTGTATCCAGAGAAACTAAGCATCATATATAAAGGAAAGATACAGTCTTTTTCTGAAAAACAAATGCTGAAAGAATTTGCCACTACCAAGCCACCACTACCAGACCTGTAAAAGGAGCTCTAAATCTTGAAACAAATCCTGGAAACACATCAAAACAGAACCTCTTTAAAGCATAAATCACACAGGACCTATAAAACAAAAATATGCACTTTAAAAAACAAAACAAAAACAAAACACCATGGTACACAGGCAACAAATAGCATGATAAATGGAATACTACCCCACATTTCAATACTAATATTAAATGTAAATGGCCTAAATGTGCCACTTAAAAAATACAGAACTGTGGAATTGATAAGAATTCACCAACCAACTATCTGTTGCCGTCAAGGGACTCATCTAACTCATAAGGACTCATATAAACTGAAACTAAAAGGGGAAAAAGCATTTCATGCAAATGGACACCAAAAGTGAGCTGGAGTAGCTATTCTTATATCAGACAAAACAAACTTTAAAGAAACAACAGTTAAAAAAGACAAAGAGGGACATTATATAATGGTAAAAGGCCTTGCCCAACAGTAAAATATCACAATCCTAAACATATATGCATCTAACACTGAAGCTCCCAAATTTAGAAAACAATTACTTATAGACCTAAGCAATGAGGTAGACAGCAACACAATAATAGTGGGGGACTTCAGTATTCCACTGACAGCACTAGACAGGTTAATCAAGACAGAAAGTCAACAAAGAAACAATGGATTTAAACTATACCTTGAAACAAATGGACTTAACAGATGTATACAGAACATTCCATGCAACAACCACAGAATACACATTCTATTCAACAGCGCATGGAACTTTCTCAAGATAGATCATATGATAGGCCACAAAATGAGTCTCAATAAATTTAAGAAAACTGAAATTATGGCCAGGCACGGCCATGCCTGAAATCCTAACAGTTTGGGAGGCTGAGGCGGGTGGATCACCTGAGGTCAGGAGTTTGAGACCAGCCTGGCCAACATGGTGAAACCCTGTCTCAACTAAAAATACCAAAAATTAGCCGGGCATAGTGGTGGGCGCCTGTAATCCAAGCTACTCAGGCGGCTGAGACAGGAGAATCGTTTGAACCTGGGAGGCGGAGGTTGCAGTGAACCAAGATCATGCCATTGCACTCCAGCCTGGGCAAGAAGAGCAAAACTGTCTCCAAAAAAAAAAAAAAAAAAAAAAAACTGAAACTACATCAAGCACTGTCTCAGACCACAGAGGAATAAAACTGCAAATAAACTCCAAAATGAACCTTCAAAACCATGCAAATACATGGAAATTAAATAACCTGCTCCTTAATGAGCATTGGATCAAAAATGAAATCAAGATTGGATCAAAAATGAAATTTAAAAAATTCTTCGAACTGAACAACAATAGTAACACAATCTATCAAAACCTCTGCGATACAGCAAAGGCAGTCCTAAGAGGAAAGTCCACAGCCCTAAACACCTACATGAAAAGACTGAAAGCACAAACTGACAATCTAAGGTCATACCTCAAGGAACTAGAGAAACAAGAACAAATCAAACTCAAACTCAGCAGAAGAAAGGAAATAACCAAAATCAGAGCAGAACTAAATGAAATGGAAACAACAACAAAAAACAATACAAAAGATAAATGAAACGAAAAGCTGGTTTTTTGAAAAGGTAAGTTGATAGATCATTAGTAAGATTAACCAAGAAAAGGAGAGAGAAAATCCAAATAACCTCAATAAGAAACGAAATGGGAGATATAACAACTGACATCACAGAAATACAAAAGATCATTCAAGGCTACTATGAACACCTTTATGCACATAAACTAGAAAACCGAGAAGAGATGGAAAATTCCTGGCAAGATACAACCCTCCTAGCTTAAATCAGGAAGAATTAGATACCCTGAACAGACCAATAACAAGCAGTGAGATTGAAATGGTAATTAAACCAACAAAAAAAGTCTAGGACCAGGTGGATTCACAGCAGAATTCTAACAGATATTCAAATGGGAATTGGTAGCAATCCTTTTGATGCTATTCCACAAGATAGAGAAAGAGGGAACCCTCCCTAGTTTATTCTATGATGCCAGCATCACCCTAATACCAAAACCAGGAAAGGACATAACCAAAAAAGAAAACTCAGATGGATATCCCTGATGAACATAGATGCTGAAACCCTTAACAAAATACTAGCTAACTGAATCCAACAACATATAAAAAAGATAATCCACCATGATCAAGTGGGTTTCATACCAGGGATGCAGGGATGGTTTAATATACACAAGTCAATAAATATGATACACCACATAAACAGAATTAAAAATAAAAATCACATGATCATCTCAATAGATGCAGAAGCAGCATATGACAAAATCCAGGATCTCTATATGATTAAAACTCTCAGCAAAATCAGCATACAAGGGACATACCTCAATGTAATAAAAGCCATCTATGACAAACCCCCAGCTAACTTAATACTGAATGGGGAAAAGTTGAAAGCATTCCCCCTGAGAAATGGAGCAGGACAAGGATGCCCACTCTCACCATTCCTCTTCAACATAGTACTGGAAGTCCTAGCCAGAGCAAGCAGACAAGAGAAAAATATAAAGGGCATCCAAATTGGCAAAGAGGAAGTCAAACTGTCACTGTTTGCTGATGATATGATCGTTTGCCTTGAAAACCCTAAAGACTTCTCCAGAAAGCTCCTAGAACTGATAAAAGAATTCAGCAAAGTTTCAGGATACAAAATTAATGTACACAAATCAGTAGCTCTTCTATACACCAACAGTAATCAAGCAGAGAATAAAATCAAGAACTCAACCCCCTTTACAATAGCTGCAAAAAAAAAATACTTAGGAATATAGCTAACCAAGGAGGTGAAAGACTTCTACAAGTAAAACTACAAAACACTGCTGAAAGAAATCATAGATGACACAAACAAATGGAAACACATCCCATACTCATGGATGGGTAGAATCAGTATTGTAAATGACCATACTGTCAAAAGCAATCACAATTTTCAAGCAATTCTCTTCAAAATACTCCCATTATTCTTCACAGATTTAGAAAAAAACAATTCTAAAATTCATATGGAACCAAAAAAGATCCCGCATAGCCAAAGCAAGACTAAGGAGAAGGAACAAATCTGGAGGCATCACACTACCTGATTTTAAACTATACTGTAAGGCCATAGTCACCAAACGGCATGGTACTGGTATAAAAATAGGCACATAGACCAGCAGAATGGAATAGAGAACGCAGAAATAAGCTCAAATATTTACAGCCAACTGATCTTTGACAGAGCAAACAAAAACATAATGTGGGGAAAGGGCACCCTTTTCAACAAATGGTGCTGGGATAATTGACTAGCCACATGTAGGAGAGTGAAACTGGATCCTCATCTCTCGCCTTATATAAAAATCAACTCAAGATGGATTAAGGACTTAAATCTAAGACCTGAAACTATAAAAATTATAGAAGATAACATTGGAAAAACCCTTCTAGAGATTGGCTTAGGCAAGGATTTCATGACCAAGAACTCAAAAGCAAATGCAATAAAAACAAAGATAAATAGTTGGGACTTAATTAAACTAAAGAGCTTTTGCATGGCAAAAGGAACAGTCAGCAGAGTAAACAGACAACCCACAGACTGGGAGAAAATCTTCGCAATCTATACATCTGACAAAGGACTAATATTCAGAATCTACAACAAACTTAAACAAATCAGCAAGAAAGTAACAAACAATCCCATGAAAAAGTCGGCTAAAAACGTGAATAGATAACTCTCAAAAGAAGATATACAAATGGCCAACAAACATATGAAAAAATGATCAAGATCACTAATAATCAGGGAAATGCAAATCAAAACCACAATGCGATACCACCTTACTCCTGCAAGAATGGCCATAATCAAAAAATTAAAAAAACAGGAGATGTTGGCATGGATGTCGTGATCAGGGAACACTTCTACACTGCTGGTGGGAATGTAGACTAGTACAGCCCCCTGGAAAACAGTAGAGATTCCTTGAAGAACTAAAAGTAGAACTACCATTTGATCCAGCAATCCCATTACTGGGTATCTACCCAGAGGAAAAGAAGTCATTATACGAAAAAGATACTGGCACATGCATGTTTATAGCAGCTCAATTTGCAATTGCAAAATCATGGAACCAACCCAAATGCCCATCAATCAACAAGTGGATAAAGAAACTGGTGTATACATGCAATGGAATACTACTCAGCCATAAAAAGGAATGAATTAATGGCATTCACAGTGACCTGGAAGAGATTGAAGACTATTATTTTAAGTGAAGTAACTCAGGAATGGAAAACCAAACAGTGTATGTTCTCACTGATATGTGGGAGCTAAGCTATGAGGACGTAAAGGCATAAGAATGATACAATGGACTTTGGGGACTTGGGGGCAAGGTTGGGATGGGGGTGAGGGATAAAAGACTACAAATATGCTGCAGTGTATACTGCTGAGGTGATGGGCGCACCAAAATCTCACAAATCACCGCTAAAGAACTTACCCAGTTAACCAAACACCACCTGTTCCCCAATAACCTATGGGAAAAAAAGAGATACAGGAGATCTCTCTCCCTCTCTCTCTCTCTCTCTCCCTCCCTCTCCCTCCTTTTCCCTCCCTCTCCCTCTCCCTCTCTTTTTCTGTCTCTTCCTTCCCCTCCCTCCCATGGGAGAAGAGGGTGGTTGTCTGCCTGCAAACCAGAAAGAGAGCCCTCACCAGAAACTGAATTGGCTGGTATCTTGACCTTGGACTTCCAGCCCCCAGAACTGTGAGGAACATATTTCTTTTGTTCAGATCACCTAGTCTATGGTATGCTGTTAAAGCAGCTTGAGCAGAGGAAAACAGCCTGCCTTCCTGTTTTCACTGACTCTGTGCTCTTGATCTGGTACCTGAGCTTGTGCTTCATTCCTGTGACCAATGTCCTACCTTAATTTTCAGTTTCAGGGTCTGAAACCCTGACCTGCAAATGTAGTCCTGGCCAATCTGCACTGAGACACTGTTCTTGTCAAAACCTCCCTGCATAAATCTTTCACTCTAAATTCTTCCCCAAAGCTGGGGCCCATCCAGGGCTTCCACATCTCTTTAAGGCCCTGCCTGCCAAGTCACTATGTTTCTGTGATCTTCCTGTTTACCGGGGAATGCCACTATTACCATTTGTTGGATTTCTTTGGTTCCAAACATGATTTTGCTCTGTCCTCCTCCTTTGCCTATACTAGATCTCTACATTGCGATGTTTTCCTGGACAACCATCATTCCCTTTGCTGCCGAATCGGAATCTAATAGCATCCCTGTCCAAAAGTTATATTTCACTCTTGTCTCAGCCTCTTCTCCTATGGGATATTCTGTAGTGGGTGAAATGCTTGTTTTAATAATATTAATGTATAGATTTCATAAAAGTGAAAAAAGAGACTTTAGAATTAGATACATTTAGAAAATTCTATGCATGTAATAAAATCTGGTGACATTTAAGCACATACATCATTGTAGAGAGCTCTTTTCACAAATAACATATGTTTTCAAAGGCTGAGTTATGCTATTGTTCAGGATAGAAGGTGCTTCCCTTTAAAGTAGGCCTTCTCCCCACCAATTGTCATGAATTTTGCTTGAGTTTTTTGTAATATCTAGCAGATCTCTTTCCTGAGAAAATGTAAGTAGATAAACAAAAACAAAGTTGAGTGCTTTCTTGGGCCAATTTTAGTTTTAAAGAAAATGTCTCTGACAGATCAAACTCAAGATAATTTCAGAATTCTAAACAGGTTCTATAACCTCTATTGGTGAGAGATCTGTATTTGCAGAATCCATAAAGCTTTTAAGGTATAGTTGGTATTGAAACAATAATGACCCTGAAACAGGATATTTCCTGGAGATTAATGACCAGCTGGGAGGGGTTGATGGCCTGAGGTGTAGTTGAGGGCCATTAACCTCAGACAGTCATTAAAGCCCAGGAAATGTCCTATGTCTAGGTCGTTATTGTTATTATAAATTGAAAATGGAAAAAAGAAACAGGCATACAGATTATCTGAAGGGCGACTCCATTTCCAGTGGTTGGAATGGGGAATGTTCTGGGGAGAATTTATTCCCCTGTCCATTAGCCAGCGAATCTCCCTGAATCCGCTGTCACTTCGCCCTTCAACTGATGCGTCTTTGTGCTGAAAATCCCAGAATTTCCCAGATACTGGAGTAAAGAGGACCATTCCCTCATTGCAGCTGCCTTTGCTCAGCGTGACTGGATGAGACAAACAGTAGTGGTGAATTACTTTGCCACTGCTTTTTATTGCATCCTACATTACCATGTACTTGCTTCCCCTGAGATCAACTGTTTTTTTCTCTATTTAGCTGCAGTAAACTTCCCACAGCTAAATTTTAAGCCCTTGACTATTTTGTTTGTGCTTATTTCCCAGATCCTTGTGGGTGAAATCACAGACTATTCACTTAGCAGTTGTGCTGCCTCTAGTCTATAAAATAATAAAATGTTGGAAGATTGCAGAAGGTTCCAGTCACTTTCAGTTATTAGAATACTCTAGTGTTGTCATTTCAAAATTTTTAAATTAAATTCAACGTTCTTTCTTCCCTTTTATTATGTAAATAATTGACTTCTCTTTCCTCCATCTTATGGCCAGGAGGTTTGTTTTTTGTTTTTGTTTTTTTTTAACTCTCAAAATCATGTTCAGGCATTATAGAAGAGGGACAATGGCTAATGCCTCCCTACTTAACTGCTTGTAATGAGGTTGAGTTCTCTACTTGGTTAGTTGTTCTTGCTTGTTTGGCTCAATGTCATCATGAGTTCCCTCTCTGTGGCAGACATGCAGTTGCTGGTCCTTGCATAAATGGGTTCTTCTGAGGGTCTTCAAAGTTCCTCCTTTCCTAGTACATGGTTCCCAAGATGAGAAATTTGCTATATCTTTGCCACTCCCTTAACCCCTCCAAAAGTTGCACACCACAACACCAAGACCCTTTTTCTGATGGTCGGTTCCCTTGGTAAAGTCTGAGAAGACAGTCAGAATTCAACAACATTTATTAGTGTCTACTGGCTCTCAGGAAAGTCATCTATTCAGGCAATGTTAAATGATGGGGTCAGAGAGCTTCATTGCTGCCTCTTCTCTCAACCTCACCATGCTCTCTAATCCTCTTTCCTTTGGCTCAGGTAGCCCAGGTATGCTGGCCAAACAGATTGCCAACTGAAAAATGAATTGCCCGTCTTGCCTTTATGTAGTCACCTCTTATTATTAAAATGAATTCTCTTGACGCTTTCTTCCTTTGATTTTAGGTAGCACGATCACCTACTATCCTTTTCCCTCATGAAATAGTTTCTCTTTATAAAGGTGATCCTCCTCACTACTCTCTAAGTTCTCTTCTTATATTGTCCATGAAGAGGTGGCAGTTGTTGGTAATAAGGCTTTTTTTTAAAAGCAAAACCTCTTAGTAAACTCTTTAGGGATGTTTGATATATTAGAATATGGAGGGGGTTCTTAGCATATTTTAGTCTTCAACTTTGATCTTAAATGCAGCTCTGGGAAAACAGGAAAATTCCTACTTTATATCTAGCTTCAATCCAGAGGAAAAACAAAGGGAGGAGAAGATTAAATGAAATCACTGTAGCTGTTCCTATCCTAAAAGAATGAAATCAGAGTCACATAAGCAAAGATAAATGGGCAGAAACCAATATAAACCATTTGGGAAAAATTGCTGGCCCAGAGGAGAGATGGCTTACCAGAAATCCTAAAAGGAGTGGAGGTGAGAGCCACTGTCCATGTGTGGCAGATGCAATATCAACAGTTAACACAAAACAAAAGTCACAGTTTGCTGCTGTTGGCTCTGAGTGCCTTATCTCTCTCCTGCAAAGAGTAGAACTGAAAACCTAAAGATGGACTAAAATCACAAGTACTAGGGTGAAACAGAGAGCACCAGTGTGCTTTAAGTAAGTTACTATCTTCAGGCCCTAATATATTATATCCTGAGTGCGAAAAAATCCACAAAAATTTGATTACATTTTGCTTATCGTGAAGAGCTTATTTTTTAGTTGCTTCACTTTTTTTCTTGAAAGTTTATTGAAATTCACACAGAACCTGCCAAAATATCAAATTAAGAAAAATAAAAGGAAAGGAAAAGGATTTTGAAAACTCTATCCTAGTGATCTTGATGTCTATTCTAAGCATAATTCTTGACTAGACTGGTAAGTAAATAAAACCATGAGTGGTTATGAGGGGAGTATGATTACTGAGAGCAACACATGAGTTCAAGAAGAACAGTAGCTGAACTAGTCATATCTCTTCCTTGTCTGGTAACGCAAGGTAACATTGAAATATAGTGTATCCTAAATTTCATAGAGCACCTCACATTCTTTCATAGCATTCTCAAAGATAGGATGGGGAAACACGGGTAGATTAATGTTTGCTTATTTGGATTCACAGCTGTTTAAAAAACTATTCATTCATTCAACAAAAATGTTGGATTTATGTATTTTGGGCAACATGCCTAGCCCTCAGGATAGAAGGACAGATAATTAACAGTCAATAAACTTCTGCTGTGTACTACAAGAGGCACATTATACATGGACTCTCTTTTACTTCTCTAACAGATGGGTATCATTGTCTCCATTTTACAAGTGAGGAAGCAGAGGTTCAGAGTTGCTGTCCAAGAGCATCATACATACAGTGGTGCAGCGGAGATTCAAATTGTGATCTGATGATAAGCCGAGATCTTCCTACAACATGATCTCTATTGCTCCAGAGAGAAGAACTAGGATCAATGACTTAAAGTTACCCAGAGAAGAGTCAGCATAAGAAAATTCAGCATAAGATGCTGAGTGAATATCAGGAGGAACTTTTCATCACCTAGAGCCAGAAGCATTCTTGAATATGAAAGGGCTCTGAGCCTTGCCGCTCCCACTCTCACTGCAGGTCTGCAAATAGGAAATGAATGACTACCTGTCACAGAAGCTGTGAATGTGATAGCTGTGTTAGGGAAAATGTTGATCCACATCACCTCCGAAATCCCTTCCAATTAGTGTACCCTTTGAGTCTGTGACATTCTGCACCCTCAAAGAGTCTATATACTTCTGAGAAAATGGGACAAAGGGGAAAGTAACTTTTTAGAAAGAATTTTAAACATTCGTGTTGATTATCAACATCATGCTTATTATAGGCAATTTGGAAAATTCAGGAAAGTAGTAAGAAGAAAAGAAATGCTACACAACAACACAGTGATAGCCACAGTGAACACTTGGTGTCTCTTCTTTCATTTTTCTCCATGTTTATCAAATTTTTCAGTTACAGTTATATTATAAACACAAGTTTTTTAAATTGCCTTTATAATTTAGAGATATAATGAAAATATTTTACTATGCATTAAAAAACTTTTTGTCAATGTCATTTTAATTACATGATTTTTGAAATTTCTTATATGTAATATTTTCTCTCTGATTCAGATAATTTCTTAGGATAGATTTCTTTCCTTTCTTTCTTTTCTTTTCTTTTCTTTTTTTTTTTTGAGATGGAGTCTCACTCTCTTGCCCAGGCTGGAGTGCAGTGGCGTGATCTCTGCTCACCGCAAACTCCGCCTCCTGGGTTCATGCCATTCTCCTGCCTCAGCCTCCCCAGTAGCTGGGACTACAGGCGCCTGCCACCACGCCTGGCTAATTTTTTGTATTTTTTAGCAGAGACGGGGTTTCACCATGTTAGCCAGGATAGTCTCGATCTGCTGACCTCACATTCCGCCTGCCTCGGCCTCCCAAAGTGCTGGGATTACAGGCGTGAGCCACCGCACCCGTCCAGGATAGATTTCTAAATGTAGGATGATAGTAACAAAGTGTTAGCATGTTGAAGTGTCTCTATATATTGGCCAATTTAGTTTTGTAAAAATATTTGCACAGATTTATATTCCTATAAACAGTTTTTGAGAGTTGCTTGTTTTTCCTCAACTTCACTTCCATTTTGGATGATTATTACAACTTTTTGGGTAAACTTCATAGGTAAAAAATGGTTTAGGTAAAATACACTTTAATTGAATTTCTTTGATGATTAACATGGTGTATTTTTAAATTTTCTTAACTAGCTATTTTATCCATTTATTAAATTGCTCATTTTCTTTTTGAGGCAAAATTCTTATCAATTTATATGAGTAATTTATATATTCAGAAAATTACCATTGTTATGCAATGTTTACTTTTTTTCTTATTTTGAATTTTAATATTGTTTAGTTGCAAGAGACAGAAAGCCACTTCAAACTAGCTTAACAAAAATCAGAATTTATTGGATAACGTCACTGAAGGCTCTGGAGAACCGCCTTTACAGAGAGCTGAGTTGAAGGACTTAATAGCATCATTCAGGCTCAGAATCTGTCCGTTGTCACAACTCGGATTTCCTCTGGATTGACCTCATTCAAGCCAACATTTTTTTCTATCTGGAAGCAAAATGATCAGGCAGAAATTCAGCCTTCTCAGCCATCCCTGGGTAAAGAGGATTCTCTTTCCCAGTGGTTTTAATACAACGTCTTGAACTGAGTCTCAGGCATGGCCCATGTGCCTATTTCTGAAATGGTCATTCTGCATAGGGATGTAGAATGTGGGATTGGTCACAATGATCTCAAATGTCCACCACTGGAGGAATGGAGGCAGCTACAATTAAGCCAAGAGGGAACACTGTTTGCCCTAAGGAAAATTAAGGCACAGCTGCCAAATAAATTAGATGTCTATCATAAAATTTTGTTTCAAGGTGTTTTCTTATATAAGAAAACACATTTATCACATTTACTATATATATCACATTTACTATATATATATCTTTTAAAATAAATGCTAATGTTTATTTCTAAGCCATCTATTGACCTTTTTTCTGTCTGTATTTATCAAGATCCATAGAATTGTAGCTATTGTAGCTATTTAATATACTTTGATATTTGGTAGGGTAAGTACATGGTAGGTAGCTTGAATGAAAGGGCATAGAATGACCTGGTGCCAGGAGGCTGATGTACCACAGTGGGTCTGTTTTTACTCAGAGGAGACTGCCTGTACACATGGGCTTTCCTGGAACTGAGGTTACTGAATAGTTGAAAGGAAGTAGAGAGAAAGAAAGGAGGGACATAGAGGCAGAGAATCCAAACATTGCCTAATGCTTTGAAGTATGGCAGTGCCTATGTGTTTCAAAGGATGAGGGGTCTTTTCCATTTGGAGTTCAAGGCAAATTGCTAAGGGAGCAGCTTCTTTTTTTGCACATTTCTTTTTCTTTTCTTTCTTTCTTTTTTTTTCTTTACTTGTTTTTGACATCTCCAAATCAGGCTATCAATGCCACTCATGTTTCAGAGAATGACATCAGTTAGATATTAGCACTTCATGAACTTGCCGTTTCCAGGGCCATTTGGCAGGGAGAGGGGTGATACTTAATGCTGAGAAATTACCCTCTCGTGATCACATCTGAGCCTGCCATGAGGGCTTCTGGAGGTCAGCGAAAGAAGGAGACTCCTGTGCTTCTCAGATAACATCTCCTAAGTGATCCTATTTTATCCCTGTGCAAGGTTGCTTCTGTGTCTACTACAGCTCACAGCATCATAGAAGGGACATCATGCCTCTGTTTATTTATCAAATGTTTATTGAACTCTTAATATGTACTGAGAATTGTGCTTGCTTCTAAGGATTTTAATATAAAGAAGATATCATCTCATTTTTTTAAGGAGTTCATTGTCAGGTTGAACTTCTTAGCTCCTAGCACTTGCTTTCCCAAAGGATTCCCACTTGGAGGGTCTCATGCACTTGACATTGCATGCCAGCACTCCATTTAGAGGTCATAATAAATTGCCTTCCATATTTATACAGACCCTGTAGGCTTCAGGGTTCCCATCTATGCACACTCACTGGCAGGAACTCACACCCTCAATACCTGCTTCCCCTTATCCCAGGCCTGGCTATTTGAAAGTAGGCAATGTTAGAATCGTTTTTGATTTCTACTCTCGATACTTTGCTTATATTTTCAAACTCCATGTGCCCTTTTTGCCGATGTTAATATGACAAGATTTTCCTGCCTCAGAATCTTGAATCTGGGCCCTTCAAAGCCTGGACTTTAACTTACATAGCCCTATTGTTAAATTCTTGGAATGTTTGGTGTTATGGTTTGAATGTTTGTGTCCCTCCACAATTCATGTTGAAACTTAATCCGCAAAGCAACAGTATTAAAAGGCAGGGCCTTAAGGCCACGATGGTGCCAACTTCATGGATGGGAAAAGCGCCTGATAAAAGGGCTGAAGATAACTGTAACAGCTAGGCCGTTTTTTGTCTTTCCATCTCTTCTGCCATGTGAAAACACAACAACCATCCCTTCCAGAGAACACAGCATTCAAAACACCATCTTGGAGGCAGAGACCCAGTTATAACCAGACACTGAACCTGCTAGCACCTTGATTTTGTACTTGTAGCCTCTAGAACTGTGAGAAACAAATTTCTATTGTTTGAAAATTGCCTAATCTTAGGTATTTTGTTATCGCTACACAAACAGACTAAGACATTTACTATTTAATGGTTATATTTTATTCTATTTTTATGAACTGTTGTTGCTAACAGGGACTTTCTGCTTGATCAGAAGACTAACTTGTAATTATCTCAAAATCACCTCATCTCAACACTGCAGAGGCGAAGCTGCTCTGGGTGATTTGCAATGGTGAAAAGATATGCTTCTTTCTTCATTGATTCTATTAAGTGAAAAGATGTTATCTTTGGGGGTGAAAAATCTCCATGTTATTATATGTTCTAATTCATCATGCAATGATCATATTAGCTTTGTCACCTTCTTGCATTTTGTCATCTGAGCCCCACTGAGAGGTGAGGCTATTACCCTTCACAGGAAGGTGGTGACTTACTCATCACAGGGAGGCTACTTCCTGCCCATACTGCTGTGTCTCTCTGGAAGCCTTCCAACTGGGACATCCATCGTTTACAAATTAATTTGCACTGCCTTGGCCAGCATTTAATTCTAACTCAAATTTTTTCTCTTGAAGGCCTTCTGCAAAATTTCAACTATTCCCTTCTGAGTTTCCCTTCCTTGTTGTCCTTTTATTTTTAGTTTCTTTTCAGTTGTATTTATTTATTTATTTACTTTGACAACATCTACCTTTACCAAGTTTATTTATCCTTCAAGCTTATATCATTTTCAAGCTCTTCCAGGAAGCCTAACTGATTACTGTAACTGACTTAAAAGTTACAATATCTAGTTATAGTCTGCTAATTTGGTGATTATTTAACACCTTCTATTACAGCATAGTGGTTAAAGTCACAGGCCTATGGGTCAGATTCTCCAAGTTTTTGAGCTGCTTGACCTTGGGGAAGCTATTTACCATTTCTGGACTTCAATTTCTTTCTTCATCAGTAAAATGGGGCCAAGACTCACCTTTCTTGGCATCATTACACAACAGAGTCTATCTGGTGTTTACATACATAATAAATGCTCGAGCTTAGAAAAGAAAAGGCTTGTAGCTTCTTTGTGACAATTATGGGTTTATTTTGGAAAATATTTTCCTGCTACTTTAGAACAAAATGTCTTATAAATGTTGATTAAGACTGGTCTATAGGTAAAACCTTATTAAATTGAGAGATTATGGACCATAGACTAATGGATTATAATCTCAAATTTTCTAAATTAAAAGTATAACAAGAGACTAATACGATTAATCTCACTGGAGATCAAATCAAAGTAAGAACCATTGTCATGCACTTACCTGACAGATGTCAAAAGAATGAATAGAATATTGTTGAAAGAAGTTCGCTGCACATTAATTATAATTTATTGAAACATTCAGAGTGATTGACTTTTTCATGAGTAATGTTGAAATGAATCTAAAAAGGCTTTTAAAAAGTTTCTTTATGATTTATTTTCTCTTAGATTTTCCTCAACAATCATCTTGATTGTGTTTAATCATAGATGTATAAAGGAGGATTAATTTAGTTCCAGGGATTTTTTTTTGGAGAATTTGTTCTAATGTTGTTTAAGGAGAGTTACTGCCTGGTCCTAATTTGACCTGTCCCTGAGACAAGGCATTCAATTTTATGATTTCACATTCTCCTTTTTCAGAAGTCCCCTTGCTTTGCTGATAAATTCTGTTTGAGTTCTGCCCCAAATGAGGTGTGGAATCTTAGGACCAGATTTCTTAGTTTTTAAAATAAAGGGATGAATTAGATGATTCTCAACCATTCTGAAAGTTAGCATAATTCCTGTAACATCATCAATGATTTTTTTGGTCATGAAAGAAACAATCCATTATCTGTACATCAGTTTTGTGCATTTAAAAAATAACTAATAATGCATATAATTTGATGTCATTTTTGTAATGATCATAATCCAAATATTTGTTTAAGCTTTTTACACTTTAGCATTCAAAGGTTCTCAGCCACTGGCCTTTATAAATGACATGGTGGTGTACAGTACTGCTCCTCTTTCCTGTAACTTCATTTTTTTCCATTTCTTTTTTGGTTAAATTCACACACACACACACATGCACACACACACACATACACGCACAGGTGCACACACACACATACACGCACACACAGGCAGTGGGGCAGGGAGAGAGAATTTTCCCCTTAATTGAATTATATGTTGAAAATCAGTTGGAAGGCTTTGTCAGACAGATGTTTTATGTCGAGGGTCAGTCTCCAGGACACATGTACTCATCATGCCAATGCCTACTAACATAGAAAGTTTTGAATTATTTTGATTGATTCCACAATTCTTATTGCCTTTGATTACATGGCCTTTTATGAAGCAAATTTCTATAAACTGAACAATTTAAAGGAATTAATACTATATCACAATGTAATCTTTTTTGATATTTTAAGACAAAACTTGGGATCCAAACTTAAGTTAAAAACTCAACTATGTTGGCTCCACCAATAGAAATAATGCAACGGAAGTAGTTGAACAAATGTTCACCTTTAAGTGTTCACTAGTTTGCACATGTGCAGGCAGTGAGGACTGTTGGCACTTCACAATTCATTCCGCTGTCTGAATGTTGTCAAATTTTTTTTAGACATCTATTCTGTGCAACTCACTTTTAGAAATGTTACGACGGAAAAATTATATCTTAGAAACAAAGAAGTATGGGGTATAATTTTGTTAATCTGATGTAATTTACCTTCTCTTGTTGCCCTGCTATCAATGGCAAGTTTATATTATTTTTATTTGTTTAACACGTGGAGTCCTTAAAAGATTTAAGAGTTTAAAATCCATGAATACTGATGGTGTTAGGTATGAGGGAGAAAAGAAAAAGATCAACAAATTGGTTGGAAAGCTTGGTAAAGGTTTGGTATCTTCTCATCCCAAAAGGGAGTCCTTCTGTTAAGGTATCAGATGCTTCCCCTTGCCCATTGTCCTGCCCAGGGAGAGAAATTCAATCAGCCAGGATTTTACAGATCTATCCTCTTCCTCCAGGACAGAGGAGGGAAGGCCCGACACCTGACACTTGGAGAGCTTAAGCCTCAGAATAAAAAATTGCCATGAATTTGAATGAAGATAAGAGAAGAGGACAGTGAGAGATGTTCCAATGGTGAGGGCTCGTTGGCGTTGGCGGCTGCCCATCCCTCTTATCTCACCTAATGGCAGGCGCCTGCCAATGTTTATTTGGCCATTGCCATTCACCAGCTGCTCCTCTGCCATGTTGTTTTTCTTCCCAGATGGCAACACGATGTTCCACGATAAAACTGACACAAAAAACAATGCAAAATTTGTCTGAGAGAGGTTTAGCAAGCATGAGAAAAACATCTGATATCTCTCAGAGCCCGCCAAGTTCGCAGCTTACAGTGCCAGAGTAATTATGGGATGATTTGAAGAGAGGCAATGCATGAGGAAGCCACTTCCAAATGTATCAGGTAGGTTTCCAGAAGAGGCAAAACATTCGGCTCTCTTATTCCTCTGGCGCTCTGACAGAATCGATGAGCATAGTCTGTGGCTCCCAGAAGCCTTGTACATTACTAAAGCCTGTGCTTTACCCCATGCCGCCTAATTAATGGCTCACTATTTAAAAAAACTCTTTTATTCAATTAGACTCTGCTTTCAATAAGATAAACACTCCCGCTATCAAAATCCTGGGAAACCAACATTCATAGGCTGCCTTCATGCCAAGGCATCTGTTTTTCTGTGGCCCCTGGCCTCTTGTTCCGTCCAGCCTTGCTTTGGCTGTTTGATTTTGTAAAATCTGAGGACAGTCTCCCTGGTACCTTGTTATGCTGACAGCTATTTCTCCTTTAGCTTCTAAACAATAACACAGAGTAAAGAGAATCATACTATTATTTTTATTGATTACAAAGAGCCACAGATGTTATTTAAAATGAGACATGGACTGGGTCTCATATTCATCACTATTACTTAAACTTTTGCCTTTTATGTGAGTTACCATTACTACATTCTTTGCTAGATTGGATTTTTAGGTGAAAAGCTGGAGAGTTCTTTATTTTAGCCTTGTGTTTCTTTACTTAAGTTAGAACTGCCTCCTGGAGATGATTGCATTCATGTCTATTTGGTTAGTTGTCAGAGTTATTACAGCGTATTTGACTTGCTTTAGAGAATATTGAAACAAAAAAAAAGTTTTAAAAGAATTCTATCTAGTATTTAAGGACTCTGTCCCAAACTGATTCTGTTGTGTAACTATTGGTTTTTAACTGTTGTTAATAATAACGAAGAATAGAAAATGCCCAGTAATCTCTGGTGAAAAACACTCTTTTAGTGAATGAATTAAATCTTTCTGATTTATAAGTGGTATAATGTATTGATAAAATTTAAAATAGATTTTTGCATTTACTTAGTGTGGTAAGAAAGTTTTTCTTTCTTACCTAGTAATATCTAACAGGAAAACATGTTCAAGAAACACTGACACATTCCCACATATAGGAAAAGGCAGTTGAAAGACTCAAGATTTCCTGAAAAAGACCCGAGTTTGGGTCTTAGCTATGCCATTAACATTGGATGAGTCACTTAAACTCTTATAATCTCTATTTCCCTTTATAGAAAATGAAAATATAAGTAATAGTCACCAAATACAACTATTACAAGGATTGAATCAGGTGACAAGTGCAAAAGTGTTTTATAAATTGTAAAGCTTGATATAACTATTGTTACTTATTAATTGGTATTAATTTGTTATTGATGACATCTTTCTCTGGTTAGCTGCATCTTCATAAAATCTTACTTTTTCTTAGACTATAAGTTTCCTTCAATAGGGGATTTCTTTTTCTTTAGTTTTATAATTTGTTACTACAGACTCAGAAATCCTGAGAGGGTAGATTCGTGCAGATTTTATGGCTGTTGTGAATACTTGACCTTCTGAGGGTAGAAGAAAGATCTGAATCTATTAACATTTGAGGTCACACTCTAATTCGCTTTTGTAGGAAGCAACGTAATTTGACATTTCAACCTTTTTGCAGGACAGATTGTTGGGCATTTTTCAAGGTAGCAAGAGCTGAACTTTTCCTTCCAGCATTGAAATTACTTGGCCATCTATATACAGGTGGAATTAATGTAATGTACGCATTCTTGATCCTATTTATGTTGGATCCAAATGATTTGATGGACCTGGAGTAAAGCAAGGTCAGGCTGAGGACTCTTAAAATATTTGAGAGAGAGGTTGATTTTTACTAATCTCTGCCTCTGAGCTCATATTCATCTCAACTAGACCAGTAGTTCTCAGTCCTGGCTTAGAGTCACCTACCTGTATAATAGTTGTGTCCATTTGATTTTGATTCTTCCTAGCTATTGTAGCTTAAATATCTATCATGAAATAAAAAAAGTAACACTAATACTCAGCAGAACTCTGATCAAATATTTAAATGGTTTGGGGTGGTGCCTGGTCATCAAGTTTGTTTAAGCTGCCCAGGTGATTCTAAGGTGCAGCTAGCCTGAGAACTACAAATTTAGAGGTAAGTGGCAATAAATTATTTACCAGTATGTACACAGTGCTTAGGTATTCAGCTAGGTGTGGTTTGACTAGCATGATTTTTGAGTGAGCACTGGAACCAACATTCTGTAACAGTATAAAAATGTTTTTTGAATTATAGCTGTTCACACTAAAATTTTTGATTTTTATGAGCATACATTTATTTAGCTTTTTTGGTATTAAACTTGGTGTTTCCATGCAAAGCATTAAACATGTGCCACAAATTTTAAAATTTGAAACAATGAATAAAATGGGGTATATTTCTAAAGTGGTAAATATTGACCATTTTATACATAGCCACAAACCTGGGGTCCAAGAGGTAAATGGATCCTGAGACCAAAAAGTTTCAGAACCACTGGTCTAATCCATTATGTTACTTTCTTCAGTGTTCTTATCTATTTCTGAAATTATCTTATTGGTTTATGTGTGCATTTACTGTGTGAGTTTCCCAACTAGAACACAGATGCCCCAAGTACAGTTTGTTCACTGCTGTTCTGCCAGTAACTAGAAGTGTTTAACGCCTAATAGGTGTTATGGGCTGAATTACGTAGCCCCAAAATTTATATATTGAGGTCCTAATCCCTAGTACCTCAGAGTGTGACCTCATTTGGAAATAGGGTTGTTGCAGATGTAATTAGTGAAGGTGAAGTCATACTGGAGTAGGATGGGCTCCTAATCCAGTGTGACTGGATAAGAGGATGGCCAAGTGAAGATAGAGACACACAGGGAGGGCGCCATGTGAAGATGGGAGCTATGCCACCCCAAGCCAAGAAACTGTAAGGAGCTAGGAAGAAGTTTTTGACACATCCTTCCCTATCACCTTCAGAGGGAGCATGGCCCTGCCAATACCTTGATTTCAGACTTTTGACCTCCAGAAAAATGACACAATAAATTGCTGTTGTTCTAAGCCACCGAGCTTATGGTACTTGTGATAGCAGCCCTGGGAAACTAATGTAGTCCATAAATATCAATTAAATGCATGAATTGTTTACTGCATCTCATATATTATCACATTCATTTTTCACAATAACCTGATCAAGTACTGTTATTGTTATTCTTTTTCTGCATGTGAGGAAACTGGGGTTTAGAGAGGTTAAGTAACTTGTTTGGGTCTCTGTTTCCATAAGCCAGAGCTCCTAAGCTCTATCCTATGTGGTCTGACATATATACTGTATAATAGGTATTTATAAAAACAGGAAGCTGCTGTGAGTAAGCACAATGTGCAGAAAGAGTATACAACTTGGAAGGCCAGTGTCTGGAATGTTAAATATTTAACCTCTCATTCAGTTTAGATCTTCTCCCTATCTCTGCCCCATGACTCACAGCTCCACTCAGTTTCAGAAACCTGCAGTGGGGAAAAAGGATGTGCAGTCTGTCTTTGCTTTCTGTGTTTACTGTTTTGCGTACTTTTCAAGCTCAGGATGAGGTGAGGGAGAGAAGGGGAAGGAGGAGTAATAGTCTTAATTAGTAGTAGTCATTCATATGATATCATAGCCTTCTGGGTGGCAAATGAGATACTTTGGGGGCTCCTTGGAGACCCCTATTATAGTCTCGTTCCCTGGCAGAGGAGATGCACCCTCTGGCTGATCCGAGGACCTGATTCTTTCTGTTGGAGTCATCATACTCTGAAGGATGGCCACTCGGGCATGGCCCTTTGATGGCAACTCGAGTTCTGCTACTTTCCCTGGCATCCATTCTGACTAAAAGGAACCATTTGGCTCTTTTGTCCCATAAACTCTGGCAGTGCTGTCTGCTCTCACCATAGCCCTTTCTTCTCCTCGACCATAAAAGGCAATAACTCCTGCAAGCCTTGCACATTTGGACTCTTTCCAGACTGCAGTCAGTCTCCAGGCTCTGTGCCCTCCAAATTCTAGGGGTTGCATGTTGAGGTCTCTGAGCGGGTTTCTTGAAGCCTCCCTCACTTGTCTTGAATGGTTGTGGTGGGAAACCTCCTGAGGCAAATGGATTCTAAAGAGAGTTCACAAAGTCATTATAGATTAAATGTTGCTAAGAATGTTACTATGGCCAGAAAAAAAATGAATATAATATAAATGTCCATGTACAACTCATTGATCCCTCATTTTAACATTGTAATCATTTTAAGTAATTCAACTTCTCGTACTAAAAATCTACTATATGATTGGTACTGCACCATGACAAGAGAGTCAGCCCCAAATCCTACATTCATGTCCAACACACTACTTTGGACAATAGCCTGGTGTGCACATTAACGACCTTGGATGAGAGCCAGAAATGGGTAGAGGGCAGAGCACTAGGAGAGACTGAGGCTCACGTGAATGTGTGTGCACTCACATGACCGTGCTTCTAGCCAGGATGAATATTGCTTTGCTGGCACTGGGCTTATCACAGGGCTGTGTGCAGACACGCAAATCTGACTGATCACTCCATGTTTACATACGAAAACTTGAAGAGTTCGTACCATAGCTGGGGGAACAGCCTTGTGCAAGCAAACACAATACAAGGTAATATGTTTTATACTATATCAGCATTTTGGACAAAGCATTACACTTGTTTGATGGCATATCACAGAAAGGAAGTGTGGTTTGGTAGAGGGGACATGGGTTGAATGATCCTCATATGTGTCTCAGCTCCAGAATTTCGTGAGATATGTTACCTTGGACATATTCATTTGAATTCTCTGAGTTTCAGTTTCCTCATCTGTAAAATATGAATAATATGTCTTTATACATGTACATCTACTATATTTAGCTAGCCAGCTTTTTTGCTTTATTCCACATATGATTTAAAACTGTATGAATTTGTATAATAAAATAGACAAAATGAATAAAATTCATGATCATGGAAAATACTGACAAAGTAAGCAGTAAAGACTAGGGGAAAGGTAAAATACAGAAAGTTCCAAAGGCTTAAAAGAATGACTTCTGACTTCTAGATGTAGTTTCTGTCCTTTCTGGAGATTTTCTTAGTTTATTCTCCAGTTTTGGCCAAACCCTTTATTCTGGTTTCTTGGTAGTCAAAGGATTTGGTACCTGCCAATCATGGCTTTAGCAATCTTTCGGTCTGGAGAACAGTGGCCTCTCTCAGAGTCAAAATATGTGACTCTGGTCCCTTTTCCTTGCACATATACTTCTTTTTATGCATAATCTGGCAATTTGGTATGCTTGATAAATTCCGCTGACCAAGTAGGTAGTTCTTTAGTCAGTAGAAAGTTGTCTAATCTATCTCTAAAAAAAAAAAATTGCAACTATCCTTTGGAGAATTTGCTTGGTATTAAATGGGTTTAGAGTGTGGGTATAGTTTTCCTTTATCTAAGAGCAAGGCTTAATATGTCTTCCTTATGAGAGGCTGTTTCTGATTTTCAATTGTGAATTCTCATCTTTAGTTCAATCCCATAATCTTAATGAGATTATTCTGTTTAGTTATCACTATTTCAATGAATTTATTATCTTACCTATTTTATAAAATTTTTACAAAAATGAAATTCCTCTTAGTCCAGGAAGAGAGGCCAACTCTAGGTGAAGTGTGTGGTTCTGGAGAGAGATGGAGAGTTTCCCCCTAACACATCCTTATTCTGTTCCTATCCAAACAGTCATATGGAGACAGGTGACAACCAGGTAATCTGGGCTTCTCTGCACTTCTCTATGTAACATTGGGAATCACTCTGTAAGAATATATCAAGGATATGAGTAAGAATATGTCAAGAAAAGACTTGTTATTTGTAGAAAGCATCATATTTCCCTTGGTCTGATGATCTCACCACTCTGTAGGTGGATATGCATTGGAGAAATCCATAAAACAGAGTGCGCAAGGCCACTTGAAGATGTGGTGGTAGAAATTAGTGCCCCTAAGGACAAAGGTGTTGACAGAAATTTCGGTGGTGGCCTTGGAAACAGAACATGATTTGCACATTTATTCATTAACTTATTCAACAAATATTTGTTCAGCACCTACTGCATATCAGTCAGTGTTCCAGGCACTGGGGATGTATCAGTGATCCAAAAAAAAAAAAAATGGAAAAGGCAAAAATCTCTCATTAAGCTAACATTTTACTTGAGCATCAGACTATGCACAAGATAACTGAGTAAATTATTTAGTGCCAAAACCTAAGGAGAAAAAAGAAAGCATGGGCAGGCAGATGAATCATGAGAAGGGGCGTTCAATCTAGGTATGTGGCCAGGGAAGATCATACTGAGAACTAGAATTTTGAAATAGCCATATGGAATCAGCCAGGCTCTTCCTTGCCTCGAAAGAGAAAATTCAAAGGACTAGAGGTAGTAGTGGATCTGGATTAGAGAGGATAGAGAGGAGGCCAATGTGGCTGGAATAGAGTGAGTGAGCATGATAGTAGGAGTTGAGATTGGAGAGTTAAAGGGACATTGACTTACCTTGACGCCGATGGAGAGCCATTGGAGAGCTTTGAACAGAGAAATTACGTGATCTCACAAACATTTAATAGGTTATCTTAATTACTATAAGAATAGATTGCAAAGACAAAATTGCATATAATTTAGGTAGATATTGCAAAAATTTAGTTAAGAGATGATTGTGGGGATGGTGAGAGATGGTCAAATTTGAATGGATGTTAAGGGTAGAGCCAACAAGATTTGCTGATTAGGTGGTAAGAAATAATTAGGGATGACTCCAAGGCTTTTGGTCTGAGGAAATGAAAGAATCACAGTGATGATGGGAGACATCAGAGAGACATGTCAGCTTCTCCTTTTTTCTTCATCCTTTCTCTATCTTCTGCCTCCACATTGCTTCTTTTGCCTTCTTCAACTCTTTATAGCTTTTTCATTTGTATCTTTCACCTTCAAGCTCAAGATTGTCCCAGTTCTTCCTGTCACATATTATTTACCATATTGTTTATTTTTCCATTTTTTTATTTTTAATTTTTATGCATACATAGTATGTGTATATACTTATGGGGTACATAAGATATTTTGATACAGGCATACAATACATAAGGATCACATCAGGGTAAATGGGGGTATCCATTGCCTCAAACATTTACCCTCTCTGCTATAAACAATCCAATTCTACTCCTTTAGTTATTTTTAAATGTACAATTAAATTATTATTGACTATAGTCACCCTGTTGTGCTATCACATACTAGATCTTATTCATTCTTTCTAACTATTTTTTTGTACCCATTAACCATCTCCACTTCCTTCCCCCCCACCCCACCCACTACCCTTCCCAGCCCCTGGCAACCATCATTCTGTTCCCTATCTCCATAAGTTCAATTGTTTTAATTTCTAGCTCCTGAAAATAAGTGAAAACAGGCAAAGTCTGTTTTTCTGTGCTTGGCTTATTTCACTTAACATAATGACCTCCAGTTCCATCCACGTTCTTGCAAATGACAGGATCTCATTCTTTTTATGGCTGAATAGTACTCCATTGTTCCCCTTACTTTAAATTTGTAGCTACTAAATAAAAGAGCATGACTCAAACTCCCTAAAAGCTAAATTTAATGTGGTAGAAATTATGGCATTTCAATCCAGAGTTTCTATTATCTTCTCTTCTTAATAGATTTTGTGGTGAAACAAAAAAGATCAGTGGACTGGGTATTGGGAAATTTGCATCATTGTTTTGGTTCTGTGATCTTGGGTAACAAGTGAACATGTTTCTGAACTCTAATTTTGTCATCATCCAAACACAACAAAGGAGACATGGCTGGCAAGGTCATTTCTGGAGCTAACATCTAATGAGTAGCTGTTTATGTCTTTATCCTGGACATTTCTATTTGTCAGAAACAACAGGGCTCTATGAATGGTGCAGAATCATTTGATTCAGTTCATGTTGATGAGATGTCACTGATAGTACATAAACATTTATTGGGTACCTATTGTCTTGGTATAATACTCAGTGCTGCAGGAACACCAAACATGAGGAACAGAAGATATTTGCTATAAAGATCAAGACATTCTAATGAGTTATTTATATGACAAACTCAATGAAAAGACATAGTATAGTAAGTCCTATGATGAAAGACCAAAGTTGGATGAGCAGAGATTTATTCTAACTGAACATTATTGATTAGAAGATACTTCAAAAAGTTGACTTTTCAGCTGCACCTTGAAGAATGAGTGAGATTTTTATAAGTAGAAATGAAAAGTAAATTCCAGACTAAATGAAGAGCATTAAAAAGGTAATGCTGATGGGAAAGTACATGAGTATATTTAGGAAATAATGAATAGTTTTGCTTGGAAGTAAGGAATGCATTATAAAGCCTCAACTGCTACCCAGAGGACAGTGGGTACTGATGTCCAGGAAATGGGAAACATCAATTTTGTTTCGGGTTTTCAGACTTCTTTTTCTCTCATGCTGAACTCCACTCCTTACCATCACCAACTTGATTCTACTAATTCTCCCCACTGTCCTCTCAAGCTAAGCTCCTGAACAATGCTTTCCTTCTATTCTTTCAGACATCTGTTTCACTCCAGCTTTTTCAGACTCTTTCTACATCTAGTTCTGTAGTCCACACTGCACAATCCCAGATCTGCAGCCACAGAACAACATTTGGAAACACTGGGTAGTGAATATCTTTGTATGTGAAATCTCCAGACCACTGCATAATCATCATTTAATTTGGGCCTTCCCTAGTCCATTAAAATATCCATATATATCAAAGCCCCTTTTCTTTTATTCCTTTATCATTTAATTCTCTAATATTCTCTCTGTGTGTCACGAGGTCTACAAACAATTCATTGCTTTACTGTTGTCCTTGACAATTTCATGAATTATCTTAAAATGTGTAACTTTAAGCATTGCTTTTTCTGTTTAAGTTCAGCATTGTAAAGATTTACGTAAGTCGTATCAATAACAGAAGAAGGAGATGTAGACACATTTTATTCCTAAACAAGGAATATATATATCACTATTGCTTTATCCAAATCAGACTGTTGAAGACTTGTATGTCTGTACTGTAAGACCACATTAAAAGATTTTTAAGATACAGGAGTCCCTGAGCATGGATGGGGAAAAAATTACATCTTTCTTTTCAATAATCTCTCACTGAAATTGAACATTTCTTTCAATTAGGAATAAGGCAACAAACCACATTAGTTTTAGCAATACCTGCGAATTTGTCACCAATAGAAGTCACACATTTTTACAGCACGTTATAGGTGTTGTAGATCTCGCAAATGTCATTTATGCTCATCTCATCTCTATTTTTAAATTATGGTAGTTATTAAATCAACTGCTAGATATTGATGTGTAACAGGTTAAAGAAATGTAGATTTTACTTAAGACTTGTGGCAAAGGATCAAAAATAAAGGGTAGAAAAAGATAGTTAGGGTAACACATAATAGGACAATATCTTTAAAATTTTAAAGGTAAACAATACCTTCAAATTTGAAAACTTAAAATATATTTAGATATAATTGATTTCTCTGTAATTCTCTGTATTTTACTATATACATTAAACATATTTTTTTCTCAGAAATTATCCACAGATCTCACCAGACTGTCAAAGGAGTCTATGGCACAAAAAAGCTTAGGAATGCTGGATTAGGTAATGTTTGGAATTACAGCTAGAATAATAGATAGATAAATAGAAATACATAGACAGATGGATACCATCACCTTAAAGACAGACTTCCGCCTTTGCCTCTCCTATTTTCATGAAGCAGAGAATGATCCAGCAACAGTGGATACTCTTAAATTGTTGACGATTATAGCCATAACAAAGGACTGGGCATATTTTTCACAAAACCTTCTTTTCTGCATAACTGAATGATTGTTCATGATGAGCAACTAAAAAATGCTTCAGCCCAGAGAGAGAATTTATACCTGGAGCAATCTTGGAAATGTTAATAAACATATTGTATTTAATAACGTATTTTCTTTATTGAGTATGTATTTAGGAAATGGTAACAAATAATTTCTGCAAAAGAGATTTGTCACTTTGTCCCTTGATTTGAATATTTCTCCAAGCAACTATGTTTTATGATTATGTATGTGGGAATATATATATATATATACACACACACACACACACACAAGTACATTTGTACACACAGTTCTATGTGTATACATACATGCAAATACATAGATATCAAGGTTTTATCTATTGTGTAGTTAAGTTATTGTTACTAATGTTAATACTTCAGACCTAAGACTTAAAATGAAATTTTCTCATTACCTTAAAGACTGGTATTCCTTGTTTATGAATCACTCTCTTATCCACTGGTGTTTTAAAAAATAATTTATAAAATGTATAAAATATCCACTATTTAATTACTTTTATCTCATTAGATTTTCTATGTCACATTGCAATTTAGTTATCAGTTTCTCAAATATTATTACAAAAAAGAGGTAAAACTTTGGATTTTTAAAAATTTACTTTTAAAAAAATTGTTGGTTACTGGCAAAGATATTGTTCTATTTATGTGTTACCTTAAGTATCTTTCTCTCCACTAACCTTTTATTTTTGATCCTTTCCCACAACTCCTACTTGGAAGCAGTGTTTCTGTCTTAGCTACTGTGTAAAGCCTTCTTGAACTAGGGAAAGGAGAAGGTATTTTATACCTTCTACATACCCCTTCCAACAAATGTCATTCAAAAGATTAATTTTGTTTTCTATGATCCTGGCAGATATTAAGTAGACTTGAATGTGTCATCCATTACTATCTTGCTGGAATAGGCTTTATTCTACTCATTTATATTGGGGTACCTTTAGTTGGGCTCATGTTTCAACTACTTTCTGTTAATGTCAACCCAGGTAGTCACTGATGTGTACTGAGTTCCACTGTGTGGGAACCATAGTCCTTGGCACCATCCACTGCCTTTCTAGCCTTTACAGTGAGACAGCTGCCAAGGTATCTTGGCTTTGGCAGCTCTTCATTAATTGCTAACTCATGACAAAGAATGGACCTGTCTGATCCAAGTATGCCCAGTAAATCTTCAATACTCTTTTGGGATAACTGCTGATGAAACTTATTTAGGTCTTGCAGGTGACCATTAGGAGCTTATATTGTGCTATGTGTTTTAGGAATATTCTGCTTCATTCTTTTGAATTTCAGAAACTCACATTCAGTAAAGGTATGATATAATATCTGAGGTGTATGTTATTTTTAAAAAATTCACTGTAATTTGTAAAGGAAGCACCTCCAGTACCCATTCATTATACCCCTCGGTAGCACTAATCAGAAAGGTGAAGCCGATATGCAGATTGCCTCAGAAAATGTTTATTGTAAGATACTGCTTAAGACACATTATGGTTGTTCCATGTATACATATGTAACAAACCTGCATGTTGTGCACATGTACCCTAGAACTTAAAGTATAATAAAAAAATCAGTTATCTTTTCAAAAAAAGAAACATCTGTTAATTACATGATAACTTCAGCATTAAATTGAATTTATAGAAGCTCTTTCTAAACTACCAATTTTTAATTTCCCTTAACGTTCTGTTATTTAAAAAAGAAAAAGACACGTTAGGGTTGCTCAAGGATATTTCTCAAAGATGCATTTCCCATGACAATATATTATAAGACTTTATATTGACCTAGTAGGTTTTGAACTTGTTACCTGAGTAGAACTAGCTGTATAACTCTTTGCCAAAGTGTAAGTCTGAGAATTACAACTAACTTTATACATTTTATTAGATTTTTAAAAGGTAGAGACCTACTAAGGAGACCATAAAACTGAGTTCCTCCATTTGCCTTGAAGATTTCTGCCGCCATATTGAATTCTTATTGCTGTGCTCAAGTTCCTAAAAGGAAAGCTACCGAAAATTCGTCAGGAAATTAGAACAAAATAGATTGAAGGAGGAAAATTTATTCCAACAATGATGAAACAGAATATTTTCTCCAAATGAGCTCTGCTGCCTCTCATGATTCTTTCAATCATCAGAGAGCCCCAAATACATGCCAAGCACTGTGGCGTGTTCTGGGGTTGTAAAAATAAACAATATATAGTTCATGCCCTCAAGGAATGGACAAACTCTTTTGTAAATATCTAACTATATAGAGTATAGGACAAGATGAAATAAATGCTAGTGGAGAGAGAGGAAGAGGACAGTAACTGTTGGCCACAACTCATCCTCGGAGGCAGCTTCTAACATGGAGTGCCGTGTGCTCCCTGATGAACTGCTTTTAAAATTCACTTTTCGACTGGAGGGGGTTAGGAGTGAGCCTTGTTTGCCGACCAGGGTTGAGAGATGTATAATGTATAATGAAACTCATTTAATGAGGCTCTCTGAAAGCAGAGGTGCCTTGACTAGAGGAAACTTCCATTTGTCTAGTCATCATTGTGGTTTGCTCATAAGTAAAGGGCTTTGTTGTAAACACATTGTTTTTCCAAAGGGCTTCTTTGATAACAGAAGGGGATTGCAATTCTCCCTGTAGGCCAAAAGAGGGCACTTGGAGCTCTCTGAATAGCTGTTACAGCTGCATCAGAGCAGGGCATTTGGCTCAGATTGTAGGGATGTTTTCCTACTCCCATAGAATAGATCTGATTAAAATATGGTTTTGGAACCTGGAAGGAATGTTGAAGACACAGTTTGTTAGGCTCTGACTTTGGCCTTTTGAAATTGAAGACAGGCGTTTATTTAGGTGTATTTAATATTAGAGAATCATAATCTTATTCCCTGTGTATTTGTAGAGTAGTGATATATTAATATCAAGAGGAGCTGCTGTCTTCATGACTGCAGAAAAAGACTAATATTTATATTCACTCTGAAAACTTACCTTTGTAGACTCTTTGCCAAAGGTCTGTTCAGTGGTGATTTGTTTGGACGTTTGAATATGGAAGACTTCCCTCCTTCCTTTCATTTCTCTTCAAAGTCCTCCATTCTCAGTGTAGAATGTTGAATTGTTTTGAGGTCTATAGGACTATGGCAGCTCGTAAAGTTCTGAGGATGGGGCCATTAAACTTGAAAATACATCCTGAAGGTTGGTTTGTGGAGCTTGTATAAACAAGACTGGCCAACTTTGCACAGTTGTGAGAATTAGCCGGATTCTTGTTTTGCCTTTAAGAGCAATCCTGCCTAGAGGCCAGGATGATCTAGGAGATCTCTTGAGGTAAGATCAAGGACTCTGTGAGAATTTCCATTAATCCTTTAAAAACAAAATAATGAACTGGCCAGAGCATGGATGTGAACTAGGATTCACAAGTTTTAGCCTTCATGCAAAATGGACTGAGTTGCAGAGTGACCTGAGAATCTCATCTTTCTGAACTTTAGTTGTCTCCCAATTAGATGGATAAAATAGAGTTGCTCTTATTCATTTGGTCTTTTCTAATAGGATTAATTTTCACAGGGGCATTAGTGTAAAAGCAATGCTAGGGTATGGGTCACTTTTTGTTTATTTGTTTGTTTTTTTTTATCTCTATCCCTGGCGCCAAACAGTCTCTGGGTCATAGTAGTAAGCTAACAAATATTTTTTGAATGAATAATGGAAATGAAAAGGACAAAGTGATTTTTAAGACGCAACTCTTTACTGTTTGGTGCTCTATTGACTAAATTTTTCCAATAAAGTGATGATAATGATACCAAACATGTAGATAGTGCTTAAGAAGCTCACAAAGCACTTTTATGTATATTATCTCAGTTGTATCCTCAGATCTATAATTGAGGAAACTGGAGTTCTAAAATCTTAAATGGATTTTTGAGGTCATATATAAGTAGGGTGACTATATAATTTGTTGTTCAATGGGGATAGTTTTGAGAGTGAGTGAGAACACCATTAGTAAACATGCCAGTTCAACAGCACAAGCTGGGACTGTTCTGAGAAAATCAGAGTGTATGGTCATCCTATTAATAAGCAACAAAGTGAGAACTTGTCTCTGGGTCTCCTGACTCTGTTCATTACTCTATAGTGTCTCACGGGGTGCGATGTCTGCATCTTCCCATTGTTAAAGATCATAATAAATGATGATCGTGAAGCCTTGCAAGATCCTGTGGTGTCATATGAATCTTTGCGAAACAGAATTGTATTCAACATAGTACGGGTGTTCAGTATATTTTTCTGGTTTTTGCTTTCTGATTGCTTAGAAATGGGCAAACTATAGAAGACTGAAATATTTGATTAACTTAAGTACCCAATCCCCTTATTGTGCTAAATAATAGATTCTTGTATGCTTATACATATTTACATTAATATTTTATATATGCTAGAGTGTAATATTCTTCTCACTTTAAGATTGAGGTAGATATACTAATTTGTCCAATATAACCAGTCTGCCAGCATTATTAAGACTCAACTCTCAGCCCCTATTAACACACAGCCCTACAAACTTTGTGGGAAAAGTAAGATGCTCCTTACCTTACTTTCATGGGTAGATATCTAAGGGTATGAACATACCATCACATTTGCACATTTTTAACTGAATTTTTGTATTTCCTGGCCTCAGTCCTCTTGTTAATGCATATCTATCCCTCACATATTTGGTTTATATGTGGAATCTAACATATTTTGTACCTTCATTAGAATGGTGGAGGTGTGGAGAGGCTCCCACATCTGTAATAAAAACGGCAATTTAGAAGCCAGAGTAAAGTCACTCAGAACAGGATGCCTGGATGTGTGTTATGTTGTGGAGATGTTCTTAGTAAAATACTACAATGTCCATAGGCTCCTGTATTCTCCCTATCATTCAGGCTGCTAACCTATTTCTTGGAGTCTTCCTTTTCCTTTTTACCTCATTTCCAATTATTAATTGCTGTCTGAAATTAGTTAGAATAAATCAGGTTATGCTATGGTAACAACCTAAACTTTTCCATGGCTTCCAACTGCAAATGTTTATTTTTTTGTATGTCCATCATGGGTTGACTGCTCCATGTGGTTGCTGTGGGACCCAGGCTGAGGCATATTCCTTGTGGATACGGGGTGAATTTCGTGGAACAGTGAAAGGAGAAATGGCCAACCACACCCTGGCTCTGAAAGATTTGTCTTGGAAGTGACCCATATTACTGCTTACCTATCGATGTCTCAAGCAAGTTATGTGGTCAAGCATGATGTCCACGAGGTCAAGGGATCAGGGCACAAAGAGGAAAAGTGGACTATTCGATGAAAAAGTAATGCAATTTAGACTTAGCTGAAATATTTTGTTGGGATCACATCTCTCTTCAGAGGACGATTGGAATTTTCACTTCTTATCCTTTATCAATTAGTATTTGACTTCACAAAAATAGTTTGAGGTTAAAAAGATTCCCATCTTACTAAGATTTCTGTGCTATTTTGCATGTCTCTTCTCCAACCAATATTTTCTTATCACATACTAGGGGCAAATAATCAAGTTAAAGTACTAGTCCTACCTTAAGGAAAATTACAATGGTTTAAAAACTCGTAAATTTAGGTAGCTATACAAACATATATATGTTCGTAATTCCACACTCTAGAGAACTTCTTCCCACTGGGTTCACCAGATAGTTTTGATTTTGGATTCTAGGTTTTTGTATTATGCAGGAATACTCATTAAACAAAAAAGTCACATTACATTTCCTTATTCCAAGGGGGTGTTATTTTGTTAACATTGTCTCATTATAACATGGTATCTTGAAGTTTTTTCTTTACCTTTGTCAGCTCCCATACAAATTTTCCCAGAATAGGGGCAGTTAGGTGTCTGCCTAGTGCCTCAGTCTTATACTTCTTTTGGAAAAGGCAGAAACTGGGTTTGTAAACTCTCCTTTTTTTCACTTGATGGTGAAGTTTGCTGAGGTGCGGGTGAGCAAGAAACTGCCTTGGCATGCTATGAAAACTCTTGGAGATGCCACATGCATGAGTGTCCATGGAACTTGTTGGAGGATGTGTCCTTCTGGGTTCTACGCATCACTGGCCAGGAAACCACTAGCTGGCCACTGCATGGTCTGGGCAAGAAAAAAAACAAAAACAAACAAAAAAACAGAACCAGGAAGAAAAGCCCCCTGGTCTTGTCCTTCCAGCGTCCTCTACGCAAAGCCTAGCTTTGTGTCATTTGGCAAGGAGAAAGTTTACAAGATCCAGCTCTCCCGTGACAATGCTGAGCAAAGAAATATTATGTATTAGGAAGTGAGAAGCAGTAAGTTGATAACTAGCACAGTAACTCTGTAATTTGCTCCCTAAACCAGAAAGCAAAAGGTACAGTTGTTAATATTTATATGGAGCCATTAAGTGTACACTAGAACTGTCTTGGGAGAAACTAGAGACATAGAACCGCCCTATGTGGGAGCCAAGTCTTGAGGAGTGAATAGAACCTGGGTGTGGGGAAAATGAGAATCAGTAAGGAACACTACTGGTAGAGGCAAGGAAGAGTACAGGTGAAGAAATGGGTGCTGGAGGTATGGAGCAGATAAGTTTGGTGTGCGGTATGAGAGAGAAGTACAGGCATCCTCAACTTAGGATGGTTCAACTTGTGATTGTTTGACTACGATGGTGCAAAAGTGATGCGTGTTCAGTAGAAACCATACTTCAAGTAACAATACAACCATTCCGTTTTTCACTTTCAGCACAGTATTCAATAAATTACATAAGATATTCAACGTTTTATTATAGAGTAGGCCTTGTGCCAAATGATTCACCCGCTACCAGCTAATGTAAGTGTTCTGAGCACGTTTAAGGTAGACAGGGCTAAGCTATGATGTTTGGTAGATTAAGTGTATTGAATACATTTTTGACTTGACATTTTCAACGTACAATGGGTTTATTGGGGTATAGCCTCATCGTAAGTTGAGGAGAATCTGTAAGTATAAAGATGAAATCGTAGTAATTTTTTCAGTAATGTTTTGCATAAAAGGATTAACAGATCTATCTTATTATCTTAATATCAAATCTCATAAATTTGGAGTTATTTCTTACAAGAGTGTGCATTCCTCTTTCCATGAGTCCCATCTTCAGGACTTGAAGTGCCTTCATCAAACATTTATTGTGCTGTGTGACATACTGAGAATTTGCTGCCTTCTGTAGGCCTACAGTTCAGTTGTTGAGAAAAGTGTGCTTGGTTGGATCTCTTGAAAACAGATGGAGAAAACAGAGGAGAATTTGTTCTTTGTAAATCTTTGGTTGTGGTTTTATTTTTAGTTTGTAAAACTTATATATCTAGATAAGAGAAAATTTAAAAAAAGTTGAAAGCTCACCTTCCTGTAATATATGGTATGATTTATACCAAAAGGAAGTCTATGTAGGTTATTCTTCAGGTGTTTGCGTGTATGTATGGGTGAGAGAGAGAATAAGATTAGAATACCCTTAGCTTACATTCTAGGAACATATAATTTCTAGAGCTAAAGGAGGTAATTTTTTCCAGCTTCTTTCATCACCTAAATTCAGCCCCCAGTAATCAGCTTTCTTACAAGAAGCCTGTTACCAAGGTTCTTTACATAGATGGTGAAGAAACAGAGGCCCAAACTCATGGGAAGTAGTTTGCTCAATCCGCCAGCTAATTTGTGGTGGAGGCAGGATTTCTGCTTTTCCGGTCACATCCTTTCTTTCCGACCAGGGTTTCTTTCTTCTCTCTAAGCCCAGGGAGGCATACTTATCAGAACTTCAGTAACTGAATTTCACATGTAAGTGCAATTGATTTTAGCCAAAAGGCCGAGAAGCGATACGTGTAAGTGAAAATGAGCCCCTGAGATAGGCCTCCGGACATCTGCTGTCTAGATAAAGGGATGCTGGATTCAATTGCTATGTTTCTGGGCACAGACCCCACAGAATAATCGTTCCTTCTTTTCAGTGCTCTCTGTTAATCTACTTTTGTTCCTTTCCTTTCTTTCACAACTCCCCCAAATCTCAATTATTTCCCTCTCCTCTGTAGAAGTTTTACAGGTTTAGAGACCAGGGAGTGTGTTCCTTTGGAAGGCAAGGGTCATACTCCAGACACTAATAGGTCCCCGTCTTGTGTCACTTCTCTAGCCATGAGTCTCCACACTGGTCCATCCGCTCTAGAGTATTTCCTGATCCTCTAGTCCCTAGGGTTCCCAGTGTAACCCTGACATCTGGTAAACCATGTTAGAAAAGCTTTTTCTGGAATTTCTGTACATCTTATACATTCCAGATAATAAATGAAAAGTATTTGGGAAAAAAATGAGAAATGAACAATTCTCAAAAGTTTATTTTAGATTGATTTATTGGCTGACCTCTCTGTACCTTTCTAACAAAATTGCTATTAAAAACAGGCCCATCTATTCCAATTCACCATATGTGACCCCATTAAATTCATGGTCAGCTTTCCATTGTATGGAACTCTATAGAGATTTGCAGCCATATTTCCAGCATTTAATTTCCCCAATAAGAGCCAATGACTTTAATGATAAATGAAAATGAGGGAAAACACTTTTTAAAATTTCCATTTCATAAATTATTATAAAATGTTTGAAAATAACTTGATCAAAATCAACCTGTAGATAATTGTGAAATATTTATCCATTTTTCTACCTGTCCCATGTTTTTTGGGGTAGTATCCAACCAGAAAGAGCAAAGGTTGTGGTTTATTTATTTATTTACTTATTGATTTAGTCTTTGTCTCTGACATTAGTCATTGCTTCCTGTGGGTAGTCATTACTTCCTGCACTAAACATTAAATGAATGAAACATTTATGAAATCTTAGGACTGGATAGTTATTCCCAGTTTTGTAAATCCATGTTTCCTGAACTTTTAAAATAAATTCATAAAAATTTGCAAGGCAGTTTTATTAACTGGGAAAATTTCAACAAAATATACAAGAATGTTTAAGGAAAAATAATCTGGTTTGAACTAATAGCTGTGTGATCTTGTCAGAAAGTCTTACTTTGTCGATAGCGCGGAAAACTATAAATAAAGTGGCATCTCCAAAATTTTGAAAAGAGTCACACCACTCTTTCCTTCTGCCTGATTTTAAAATATGTGATAAAGTCAGAGAATTGGAAAAACCTCTCTTCCCATACCCTGTCTGGCTAATTCAGACCAACTGGGAAAAATCACATGATGGACAACACATCAAAAATTCAGGCTAAAAAACTGCCAAATCTATGAATAGCGATATGGGAACCAGCCCAAGGCTTGTGTGTAGAAGGGTGACAGATAAAAATAGTGCCCTAAATTTTTCAAAGGTGATTTGAAACCTCCCAAGTATAGATGACCTTGCTACTGAAAATAAGATGACAAGGGCAAAGTTGAAATTGTGACCCCTTTCAGGGGTCTATAGACTTAAACTAATGTTCAAGAGAGAAGGGCTGCTTCCCCCTGCGCCCTCCCCCCCCATCAGCAAGCTTCACACAGCCATGGAACATTTCTTTTTCTTTGACGAATTCTTAATATATTTATCCTTCTCTTCTGCTCCTTTTAAGAAAAGAAGGCAGCAGCCCAGGATCATGAGTTTTCAAAGCATTCCATTTTCTGTTCCCTCCTGTTCATGAAAGCAACGTCCAGAAGACAAGAGGTAGGTTCAGCATCAAAATAAAATAACAACAACAAAAAAATTCTCCCACGATAAACCATTTCTTCTCTTTTTTGCTGGACATTCTTCATTCATTCATACCTCTGTCTCTACACTGTGCCTGATGTCAGCAGAGATGTGCCTTGCAGCTGCTTCAATAGAAAAGTTTTCAAAGCTCACTGCTCCCCACATCAGTTAGATACAAAGATAAAGTCCACACCACATTTTATTATTTGGTGTTTTCAGAATGGCAGAGAGTGCAGGAGGAAGTGGTGGTGTTTTTCAGTGCCCATTTCTAAAGTTCTTTGCATGTCTTCCATGCCCTGCTGTTGATTAAAATATCTTCACGTGTCTCTAAGGTTCTCGAAGCTGGATGGGGAGCGTTTGGTGACAGTGTGGAAAACCATTAGTGAGATTTCTTTTGGTGACAGACAGATGTAAATGTATCCATCTAATTCTTTACTCTCAGGTCTCTGTCTGCAGATGGATGTTAATAATTAGCAGTTGCATCTCCTCCCTCTTTATTAAATTGGATTCTCCATAAATTCATCATTTCTTTTTTATTTTCTCAAAGTAGCAGCAGCCCTGACAGCCTCCCTTTGTTCTTGTGCTATAAATAATTTATAACACAGAAGTATCTCTTCTTAGTCTTAAAACATAAACTAATGGAATAACACAACATATTGGCCCAAACTACCTTCCACTTGGAGGAAAAGCAACCTCGGAGTGGGGGAGAGATGAAGAGCTTTATTCCTAACAAAGGGAAACCAAAGATCACGTGGAAAAAAACATTTCTTCACCTGAATGTAGGTTTTTTGTTTTGTTTTGTTTTAATCCTGCTCTTCCTTTCTAGAGTCTAGCAATGTAAGGGAGTTCTAGACAGCACAAGCAAATCTTCTTTTGTGATTTCTTTTCCAAATAGTGTACCTTGCTCAAATTTCCAAATACATAATATATTACATTAAGCTATACAGAAAGGAGACTATTATTCCATCAAAATCTCCACAGATGTTAAAAACATACCATGGTACATTTATTCAACAACTGTATGCTCATAACCCATGCACAATCTTTAAACACCAAATTACAGGGATTTGGTCCAAATTAGCAATAAAATACAATGTGTTTGCCCTCTACTGGGTAGTAATGACTGTGTAGTTTTCCTTGCATACCCAGTGGCCTTGTAGGCAGCTTCATAATGGTTTTATTTAGTCACTAACACAGTGTTATAAACAAATATGGCTAAGATTTGTGTTAATTAAGGTAAATAGAACAATGTTGAATCAGTTTTTCTAAGCTAAGATCATCCATGGAGGGGTTTTAAAATTTTTCTTACATTGCTCTACGCTTGCACATCACATCACAGGAGATAGCTTGTAAGTCATCATTTGATATCCTGGAAATATATTCAGGTTGTAGATAAATAACCCGCCTAACAATGCTAATGCAGAATATCTGGCATGTAATTTAGATAGGAATCTGAACACCTCCTTACATCAGCTGTTAAGATTTTGCACTGAAGCAGAAATAACGTCTTATCTTCCATCTGGAACTGGGACATAGAAGGGGTGACACAAGTTATTTACAGAGTTACTGCAAAACAAGAGCAGTAACAGAGTAACTACAAAGCAACTCCCTGGATTACCGCTGCAATATAATGCCAGATAAATAATCATGCCAGGGTAAATAAATTGGGAGATGCCTTATTTTATAGAGCATAAATGTAACTCTCATTCCTATTGGCGTGGAGTGTTCCTTCGCATGTTGATTTCCGAAGCATCTTTCCAAGTCCGAGCTGACCCTGCAGAGTATTAAAGTGTGCATAAAACACTCATGCCATTTCTACTTCTCAGGAGGTTGGAGGAGGAAGCCACATCCACTGCTGGGGATGGAGCCTCCATATAGTCCAGAAAGACAGTCTGAAAGACAAATATACCTTTAGATTTAAACCGATGGAATGAAGAGACTGGGTTAGACTGGAGAGGAATCTGGCTGGCTTTCCAGGTCAGGTCCTCTCTCATGGTCTCAATTGTCTTGCTCTTGGCAAATGATTTATTTTTCTCTTAAAAATAGGGTGGGATTAATATCTTGACTTGGGGCTTTGGAATGTTTTCTCCCCACAAATAGTGGCCAGTCAGCATTATTGGTTGGAGTGATTCCAGCATGAAGCATTAAGTGTGCCTGTGTGTGTGTTGTGTATGTGTGTGTGTGTTTGTCATGGTACTGGAGGACGACAAAATAATTACTAACTTGTACACAGCCTAACAATTAAGAAGAAATAAAATCCTTTCTTTGGCTTAAAAACATTCTACATAAGTACTGCAGCTCCTCCCCTTCCCACTGGCCCACTCACAGGATCTTTCTGGGCTCTGCCTGTATCTCTAGGGTCTTTCTGGGGTAGGAATGTAGCAACAAATCTCAGAGAAAAAATTTTTTATTTAAAGCACAGAATGTGAAGTGCTCTAGTGTCTACTTTTTTGCTGTTGTTGGAAATTGACATAAGTTACTTGACAGCGTGTATGTATGTGGGGGTGGGCGTGAGGAGAGAGGTAGGGAAGCAGGACCAGAACACTGCCTCCTTTGGTGTAGAGGTTTCACATGAGGAAATCATGGCATTGACTTCAAAAGAAGACAATTTGCTGCCACTGAAAGAATGAAATGGAGAAAGAAGAAAATTCCCCAGAACTTAATTAATAGCTAATATTCAATTTAATAATGGTCTGGTGTGATCAGAGCATCTTCTAAAATTCTGGAATTTTCTTAACTGCCTACTGTGTCATAACACATAAGGCAGGGCATTTGTTTCTCCATTCAGGTCCTTGCCATCTTGCTAATTCTGTACTTGGCTAAATGGCTGAAGATGTTTTGGTTTGTAAGGCAATTCTTGCTCCCAGCTGCATTAAACTGCTATTATTAATTACCTCCTTTGGCCTAACATTATGCCTTTATAACACATGAGTTGTCAGGCCCTCTGCGATTATTGGAAGGCTGTGCCATACACAAAGGCATTAAGCTTAAAACAATAGAGGCTGCTTATTTGATAGGAGAAGATGTCAGGTGGAGACTAGCACAGTTGGCTGGAACTGACTTGAAGCTCGTCATAAGGAAATAAGGGGTGAGGTGATCACAGCACAGCATTAACAGCATGTGAGAGACACACAATTCTACATGGCAGCTTCCATCATGCATTTCCCACGCAAGAAGGGGGGAAATGGGCTCTGAGTAAATGATGGGTGAATACAGAATCAATTGTCATGTATGACAAGACACTTTCTCTCTTTGTTTAATATATAAATCAAGAGCACTTATGAATTGATATTAATTAAAATAATGTATGTGCTTTCTTTCAACAGTAACATCAGCCTTGTTAAAAACGGAACGCTAAATCTTCATTAGACTTTCAGTATTAAAAATCTTGCATGAAATATGAATTAACATCTAACTTGTTGCTAGCTAGATTAAAGGGGAGAGAATGCAATAGGCACTTAGCACTGTGGACAAAAGCAGAAGCAGCTTTCCCAAACCTGGGAATAAGTGAATATCCTGAGGCTGCCTGCATCATTGTCCATCACTACCTCCTAGCAGGAATGATTGCTAACCAGGTGAAATTATGGAATGCTATTGCTTCCATCGAATCAAGATCATATCAAAAGGCAAATGCGTAGCGAGTCAACAAATCAACAAAATGCCCAAACATAAAAATTTAGCTCTTAAAAGTGCTTAGAGTTCTGTCTATAGATGTGGAGACATGAGTAAAATGTTCTTTGTTTTAGAAGAAAGCACATACACATTTCACTGCTTCACAATCTTTTCCACACATAGAAAAATTATGAAAAGCTCAAAGTGTTGTTACTTAGCTTTGTTGGATATTGGAAGTCAGTGACTACTTGCCAGGGAACAGGTGTGTGAAACACTTTTGTTCATTCTCTTCACATAGATGGATATTTGATGTCTTCTGATCTCGTTGCATTGGTGGCCTGAAATTAAAATAGATAATTGGAATGACCAGGCTGAGACCTCATATTGCATCCAAAAATACATTATGAAACTTCAATGATCTTATTGGCATTGTGTTGTCTTAGGTGAAAGCCACTCATAAACATACTTGCTTATAAAGTACACCATCGATCTTATAATTACATTCCACCTGGATTTCTACGTTTGGAAAATGTGATTGAATTTTAGACGTCTCCGGGGGTAGTGTGTACGTGCACAGCAAAACCACAAGGTGGTGGTATGGTGTCATCGTATTTTTTAAGAACAACAAGAAAAGGGGGTTTGTTTAATGAGCTTGCACTCACAAGCCTGCTCATCTAGTGAACTGTGACTTTTCAAATACCAACCTATTAATGTCAAAGGCAATACTGAAGGGAACAGTTCTGTTTGATTTAAAAAATACAGACAATGTGAAGTCCACTATGGCCTAGTATCTATCACCTATGGGGCTCCATTCATGCCTAATGCTTTATTCAAGTAAGACCTAGTTTTTATATATCAGATTAATACATATCTACAGCTTTGCACCTTTCTCGTTTGATTTTTTTATCATCAGGGCTCACCGGGGCCATTTTCATTCCCTTACTATAGCATCTGCAAGCAGGTGGATTAGAGATAACTCTCATTGTGCTTTGTTTTCCTCCCGACACTGTCATTAATCATTCCTTAAGCCACACTTCAACTTCTAGTAATCAGGACTGGCTGCTCCTGAGCTGCACAAGAATTGCCTCTCACAGTGTAATATGGAATTGGAAGCGAATGGCTAAGGCCAGACGCCTCTTCTGCATTCCCCATCTATCTCATCATTTAGGTATTTATCCATCTAGGGCTTGTACGGAGAGCACCTCTCTCCTTCCCATGAGGACACAGATTGCAACAGAGGATCAGATTTGTTACCCAGGCTTTGGGCTTTGATTGTCCTCTTATAAGTTCGGGATTAAAGTGAAATTTCCCACAGGGCTATGCAGGATTTGCTAGCATTTAACTGTTTAACCTGGCTGTTTGTGAATGAGAATCCTGTGGTCAACTATTCCGTAGAGAATATTATGGTAAGCTGAGCCTGAATGGTACACATTCCGGTGTGTTCCTGTAAAGATGGGCGCAGTTGATTCCAATTAACTTCATGTCTGATATTGGCTGTTTTCATGTACACAGACAGCAGGGATACTAAGGTAAAAAGAAAGTCAAAGCATTCCCTTTTATAAAATATGGATGTGGGCTTTAAATAAATGCAAATCTTCTCCCTCAAAATTGTGATTTCCGCTTATGGTTTTTACACTAATTGGAGAATTAATCAGTCTTGCATTGGGTTGTTTTCTATTTTATGTAATTTTTTCATGTTCTCTAATGTGTTTATCAATTTCAATCTAAAGAGGATTTGATTCCTTATTCAACATACCTTTGAATATGACCAAAACAGAAACAGAGTTATGAATTTATTTACATTTATTATTTTCATAATGAAAAATATGTACTTAGAATGTCTTAGCTTATATGTAGAAGTTAAACAGACACAATTTCCTGATTCTTTGTTATTTCTGAAGAGAAAGGTTTTTCTAATGTGTTCCTTATTCCCAAAACCAGAGCAATGAGAAATTGGGGGAAGAACTGTTCAAAAATCAAGTCTATATTGTCTGTCTGTTTGTTTAGATTTGGATTTACTTGAAGGATTTGAAAAAGTCAAAATCATTCTGCTACCTAGTTTTCAGGGTTGTGTACCCATCCACTGTAGTTATTCTATTTAATGTGAATATGTTTTTTAAAATGCCTAAACAGACAGTGTTCATTTTATGTGTTTCATCAAAAGAAACAGAACAATGAGGCAACAGAAATATAGAATTTAGCAAACCATTTTAAGCTTATGGTGAAATCTGTCTTTTGCAAGAGAAGCAACCAAATCATTAAAACATTTTATTCTTCCCCAAATCCTCCATTATATTTCTTAACCTTAATTTTGTGATGCCAACAAGTAAACAAAAATAGCTTTAAAAAACTACACTTAAAATTTTTAAAAATATTGGTCACGACAGATTGAAACATTTAAAAAATTATTTCAAGCATTTCACTGGAAATTCTTTTGCAATGGCTAGCGTAGGTGGCAGATTGATCATTTTGGGGGAGGCAAGGAATAGGAAGTGAGGAGGTTACAGTGATCTCTAGACTAATTTATTTGTTTTGCTGCATTGAAGTCAGATACCCTCTTATTAGGGAGCAGCTTTCAAAGCAGTCAGGAAGGACACCGATCTTGAGCTTGGTGAGAGCTTTGCTTGGGGTTACAAAACAAGCACACGGCAGGGTCAGTGCTAAATATCTTTAACCCCGTTAAGGAGGCAACTGAATTAGGGCTGTGGGGGAAAAAGTCCCTCCCCCCTGAAATGCAAGAGAAATCTCCAGATTCACATGAGTAACTTTCAGCTGGGTATTATGCTCCTGAAGTAACCTCTTCATTCCCATTGTTTTAGTGTGAAATCATTTCCTCAGGAGATAATTAGAGTTGCTCCATTTATTACATTAAATGATTAGCATGCACTTGAAATGATCCAGTGTATTTTCCTTTATTGCTGATGACTCTTAAATATGGGCCTCCATTCTTAACGGATAAATTAAAGTTGTCTTGGCTCTTTGTAACCGACTATGTAGCCAAACAAGAGAGACTTTCTTTTCCAAACATAGGCCAGGTGTGCTGTGGCTGAGGTCTAGGTCTGAAGAGATCCTATTCATATAGATGTCCCACCTGGTTCAACAAAGAGCTTGATAACATTGCTTAAAGGTTTTCTCTACTAGCCCCTTAATAAAAATGCTTTTAATGACAGTACTTTATCTGGCATTACTCATCCTATGTGTGGAGTAAGTAAGTTTAACATAAAGTGACCCAAGATCACATTTCAAAAAACTGCCTCACTGGAAAGGCATGCACATTATCTGAGTAAGCAATATGCCCTACAAAGCCATGGAAAAATGATATTTTAAGAATTACCAAATATAGATTTCATTTGGATGCAAGTGCTTTTCGCTGTCTTTGAACTAACCTGGTTGTGTAACTGACAGAGTCATCTAAAATCCACTGGAAAGTTCGGATCAAGCAGGCACTGCCTGGTAAATAGGCACCATTGCATATGTAATTAGAGAAATGAGAGATAAACTGGGTGCATCTTATATTTGGTTTATATATTGAGATTTACAAGAAATAATAAATGGAATTTAAGTGTTATGTTTGTTAAAAAATTTAAATCGGTATTTAGGTATGAGATGTAAACATGCACAGATGTAAAGACAAACTATGATGAAGACCTACCAGTTTCACATTCGTCTACTCTAAATGTGTGAGTATCTCTCATAAATTTCATTGTTAAGAGAGAATTTTACTTGAAGAGAAGAGTTTTAAAGAACATAATTGAAAAAATTTCCTGCAAACTTCCAATAGTTTTATATATTTTTGAGGATGAGGAGAAATTTTTCTGCCACCTAGACACGATGATTCAAAACTCTGTCATTTTGCTGTCATTGATTTGTTTATGTATTTGTTGTGTTCTAATAGCATTGTTATTTTCAAGAAAACACCGTGAGATGCTGTGGGAAGTTTCTGGTTCATGGCAATAACTGGAGAACGAAAAAGGAAAAGTGGAACAGACCGGGGGATGGGGGTGAAGTCAAGACTGTGCACTGACATTGTGGCCACAGTGATCCTTTCGTGAACAGGGTCGGGGGGCTGTTTTCATTCTCACACTCGGGTTTCTCAGGTATAGAGAATAGAGAATAAGTTACCAGAAATCAGGTATTTCTTTAGCAAGTGAGAAGAGGAATTTAATACTTCTCTCATATAATGCATTCACTGCTTCTCTCTGATAATTCATATCCCAGGAATGTTCACATAAATTCTCTGTAAACAGTAGCTAGCATTTTACCACCACAGAGCCAAATAAAAAACACCCATGGAAAAGTTATTTGTATCAGAACTATGATCTTCAGAAAGGAGGCCTGTCAATATTAATTGGAGGAGAATTTATTTTAGACCTAAAATGCTAGGATAGCAGCAATAATAACAACAACAAAAGACTTTTTTTGTTGTGCTTTGTTTTCTTGAGGGCAATCTTCACTCTCAAGCAATCTGAGCAACTGTGCAGAATTTCTTTCTGAAAGTTATTTAAAATATAATAAATTATAAATTATAAATTGTTATGCTCTGGTTAAATATTTAAATGACTTAAAAATTTTTGCATTTTCCTATTCACTTTAGCAGACAAGCATTTTCCATATTTAGTCTTTTATATGATAGCAAAATGCTGCGGGGCTCTGGCTGAGACACAGTAACTTTGGGAAAAACCCGATTTCTGAAGACCCAAGGTGTAATAACATTCTCTCAGCAACATCTCACATTGTCTTCCTGTTCGTGTTTACTCAGATGAGGCATACCATTGCAGAGGAGGAGAGAGGTTTCTAGATCATCTGGTCACATTTTAGATCAATAGCGACTCAGGTCCATAGACAGGACAGGATTCATCTGGACACACATGGTGGTCATGCCAGGACTTCTACCCAGTCCTCTAACTCTCCGTCTGGTGCTCCTTCTGCTACCATGGTAATACAGACTACAACAGAGAAATACCCAAAATGTCTTCTCCAGCCTCCAGCCTCTAGTTGGAAATGTTATTTACACATGGGAAATTCAGAGCATTCCAGTATGATTAGGTATGATCCTTATTGATGAATATTGCCACCAAATATGATTTTAATTCTATGCAACACAGATTTTATTTCAATTGCTTTAAGTGGATAATGGTCAAATTGTATTACCTTTCAGCTAGCCACACCAAAGAATCTTTGGGAGATGGCAAATTCAATTAATATAAAGGCATTGGCAATCTATTTATAGGAAGTCTATCTTTAATTTCTTTAAGAACTTCTGAGAGCACTGTCAAACCATGGCATTTGGAATTGGAGGAGATGTATTATCCAAAGAGTGCTATAATGTTGTTTAGCTTTGACAGGAGAATTCTCAGGGAAAGGATGCTTGAAAGTCTTCATCAGTGTCCTTTTGGAGAAATGATCTATCTGCAAATGATGGAGATGGAGGATAGGCTTAAATTGCACTTCTTTTCATAACTCTGTGAATTTCTTTTTAGTGTATGTCCCCTTTTCAAAAGATGAAGTTATAACAGTTCTAATACTTGTGGCATGGAAGGTTACAATGACTGAATACCATCTCTCTCAAACATTTATTCCATTTAAACAAAAATACCTGATAGAGAGCATTTCCATTATTCAAAAGAAATCACACAATATAATGGTTTCTAGCACTCCTTTTGTAATAGCTTATTTAAATATTTGGGGCTGCAATTCAAATTTCTACTTTGTCAGACTTCACAGAAATACTTTATTCCACTGATTACATTTTTATTCTTTATGTTACTCTAAATAGCCTTTGATTTCTTAGAGCACCAGAAGTAAAAATCAGGTTTGCAGTCATGCGAAACACAAAATTCCTCTTCATGCATTTACTTTTTGTAAAAACAAAACCAAAAAACAAACAAACAAACAAAAAAAGGTAATACATACAAAAACAAAAGAATAAAAAGCTTTCCTACCATTAATTTAACAAAAATTTAGATATAGTATATTAAAGAACAACTATGTTCTGTGGATTATTTTGTATTTTAGACACTTAAATTTTATACAAATGAAGTTTTCTTTAGGTGGAGATCTTGTTTCTGCCAACAGCCTATTGTGATGTTAGACATTTATGGAGACAACCAAAACCCCCAGTTGATGTTTTTAGTGATTACATCAAATTAAAGATAACCCCACCCCAAAAAGCAAATCTCATAAATAAACATGAATTCACAAAATCTGGCTGAAGTCTTAACTTCTAATAAGCTTGCATTTTAGGCAGTGTTTTAAGTTTAAAGAAGAATGACTGTAGCCAGTGTGGCTGACACATCAGGGTGGCATCACTTCTCTTTATTAAAACTTTATCCCATAACTTATAGTCTTGAAAAAGCTTCATAGTACTTCTGTGCACTTTTACAGAAAAAAAGAGAAACAAAGCTAAAATGAGATGGTAACATAATATATTTTGTTTATTTCAAAAGTGCTTTAAATTTTGCCTTTATACAAATAAGAAAAAATCTGCTAAAATTAATGCACAGAAAAAGAGCAATTCAGTTACTACAAAGAAGATGATATAAGCAGCCAATATCAAAGGAATTCAGACTCTGGGGCTGGTACATTTTGCTTTTTTTGCCTGAGTCCCTTTCAGGTGAAAATGGAGCACCTATCGTAGAATATGGGATATTTGACTTTATTATGATAATGCTGCAGCCGCTAAAGGAAAGATTCATGGAAACATACCAGTGTGCGCCTTGGTATAATAGAAGTAAAAGACTCCATAGTTACAATATATAATTTAGCCATGCAAATACGGACTTAGGTGTGCAGTGATTTATCCATTTGCAATAGCCTGAAATTTTTTGAGAGGATTTTAAAAGACTTTATTGTCTAAAAATGAATATTTATAATGCTTTAGAGATAGTGGTTACTTACCAGCTAGGCAGTGATGTTTGGGACCAATAAAGAATGACATGAAAAAAACATACTTAGAAAAACTTCCGAGTGGGTTTTGGATAGATTCTGTGAAGATATGTGCCAAATTACTTGAATTGATGGAACAGCTTTTAAAATTTGATACTCATATTTACCTTTGTTTCGTGTGTGTGTGTGAGCGTGTGTGTGTGTGCGTGTGTATACATAAAGCCTATGAAACTATTGAGTTTTATTCAGATATTCTTAATGTCAATTAAAGTACTCATCTATTTATTGTTTATTTTTTATTTCCAGGAAATTTAATATCTTCCTCTTAAGATCATGTGAAAATGTTTTTATATGTTGAAACAGAAACATTGAAATTCATTAAGAACAAAGCTCTGGCATATTAATTTGTCTGCCAGTTCTCAGCCTAGTGTGAATTCATCTGCTTGTAAGACTTGAAAGTAGATATCAAAATAGAAATACTCAGTAATGGTTTCAGTACCATTAACGGAGTTACCTTTTATTAAAAATGCAATGCATAATAATCTTGAGATAGTTATGATATGAATATACTGATTAGTATATTAAAAAACAGTTTTCCCTCCCACATTTTATCCTAAATCCATATGAAGGAGCATTGTTACTTGCAAAGTTTCAAATATTTGACTTATATGCACTTAAAAGACATATTCCCCTTGAAACAACAAGTACAAAATGTCCAAAGACATGGTAAATATATAGTTTCTTAATTGCAAAGCCAAAGTAGATTACACACAGCCTTGCAAAATCTAAGACATCTGCTTTGTTTGAGACAAGAAGAAAGACATCTGGGGGCCTGAATGTTTCCTTGTGACCTGCTCCAGTGTGAGTAACCTTGTAGTTAACTAGGCATTTAGTCAGGTCCCGGAAAGATCATTGCCTGGATTCTGCCTCAGAGGCTGATGGGGACCAAGGCCAAAGCTAAAATGTCATACCCAAAAGATCATTGAAGCCAGGCAGTCGGGGTGGAAATGTCAGAACTGGGGCAGTGTAATAACAGCCGTCAACCATTTATCTCTCAAGCAATCACAAAACTACACATATGAAATAATTGATGGAGCAGAAAAAAATTTAAAACCTAAAAATAAAAATGTCAGCACCAAATCTTCATGAATCTCTTTTTTTTTTTTTTTCTGGACTAATTTGTAATCCTGTTATTGCGTTCAAATATCCTTAAATGCTGGGATTTTTCATCATACAGGAAACCTTTGGTGACTTCATATGGTATCGGTAGAATAAATTCACATTTTAAAAATTTCAATTATGGGCTTCTGCAATTACATTTGACACTGACTTCTCTAACTGCAAAGAAGCCACAATAAAGTAGCTCTTCTGCTGTTGGGTTATATTCCTGGATAATGTTATGTGTGTTCAGTCTAGCACAGAGTAGTTTATTTGCTCAAAGCTGCTTCCTTGATGTTTGGGTTTATTTGCTTGTTCATCGGCCAAAATGAGCGCCCTTCTCCTGGGGTTCCTGTCCCCCGCGTGACTTTGTAACAGAGTCCAGATGCAGCGTGAGGGCTTGTGCTGTTTGACAAACAAAACCAAACCCCAAACTGCCTGTGAGTTGTTGATAAATCTTTCCATTGGAATTATACTTGTCTAAGTGGCAGAGATACAAGATTCACTTCTTATTCAGTATTTGAATGCGTGGAAGGCACAGTTAATTGCTCCCCATAGGCAGGAATTTGGCAGAGAGAAAGCAGCGCGTTTTAATCGGTCTGTCTAGCTGTATTTTAAAGCACCTCTTGCCACAGTGCCTGCATATTCGTGTTGGCATTAATAGAACAAAAATGTGTATTGGACTTGAAAGGTGTTTTGATGGTAGGTAAACACATTTATTTTTCACCTGATTCTGTTTTCTGTACTCACGCTGCCAAAAAGGCAGCTGAGAGAATGGTGCTTGCATGAGGGGGAATTAAAAACTCAGAGTTTCTTTCACAGCACTACCTTTAGAACGAGAATATAGGGTTAATTTAATTAAGTGACAAAACGTCCAATGTTGGAGTTTAGAAAACAGACCCAAGACCAAAGAAGAGAGGATTTTGTTCTTAAAAAAAGGAAAGCAGCTTCAAGTGAACCAAAGGCTTTATTTTAAAAATATTTGATTTCTTGATGAAAAAAGTGATTTTACATGTTTATGAGAAAATCATTTTTTATTAAAAAATACTAACATCACATGGGACTGATTCTTATTGTAGAGAAAAACAGTCTAAGCTGCTGGACTACAAAATGTTGTGAGCACCACAATATCGAAATTCAGTGTTGATTTATGAACAAAATCAAGAATAATTAAATTGGAAAACTTTTATATTCCTTTAGTGTAGCACTTTTTGCTGATCTCTCTTAGATATACCCTAGGAAGAGCTCTTTCACTGTAAAAATGCCTGATATTCAAATATCTTATGTTTGACACATCTTCTATGGTAAATTGTTTCTGCTTTTTTTTTTCCCCAAATATCATCTCACATCAGTATGCTGCATTTTACCTTGAAAACTCCTTCTCATGTTTTTCTCATCTTGAAATAATATGAGCTTTAGAGGCAGGCAAACAGTTATGATACAGGCCCTTCTCTTTACTCATTATAGGCCTTTAGGCATGCTTGACTCTCCTGTACCCAGCCTTTTTCAATGACCAGTGGAAGTAGCAACACCTGCCCTGCCTTGCCACGTGCCTCCCAGGTTGAAACACAATCAGGTCGTTTGGCTTCCATGGAAGGCAACTCTTTTCTCCTTGCCTGAAATGATACAGCGTTTGTTAGTTTGCATCAGTTTTTTAAAATGTCAGTAGCATATAATAGCAGTAAGCAAAGTTTTTTGCTTTGTCAAGAAATTAACAATGTAGCAAAATAAAAATAAGTACTAACAGCCTGCTGTGTGATGAGATGCTGGAAGCGAGTGAAATTGAGGCTGCTGTCTTGACAGTTGAGAGAGCAGACTCTTCAAGAAGGAAGAAAAAAAGAATTTTTTCTATAAATTTAAAGAATTTCTCCCAATTATGTCTCGGTAAGAATACTTTTCTAATGTTTAAGAGCGGTATCCTCTATTACCATGCTCATTATAGCGAAATGTAAGAATGCATGAGTGGTGGGTGTTTTGTTGTGACACCTGAACTATTTGTAAATATTGTTCACAGCTTTCTTAGCATATTTTAGCAAGGCAACATTTCAGCAAAGTATAATTTATTACACATGATATAGATGGTGAGCTTCCCAACCCATTTGCTGTAGACCTGTTTGCACAGAAGAAAGCTGACATTAGGCGTATTAGAGCAAAGTAGAAAATTTCAGTCTATGGGTCTGGAGCCCTGAAGTGGTTGCTTTGCCTTTATAAAACCACCAGTGGGACCAAGAGACTGGCTTTACTTGATGTTGGGGTTCCAAGTAATAAAAATGCTAGCATGGTCAGGGGGAAGACTGTAATTTTTTCTCTATTAATATGCCATGTGTATATGTATGCATGCATGTATGTATTTATGTGTATATGTATATATGTATGTGTGTATGTATGTATTTTTGCCCAGGCAGCTTCCTCTGGCTGTGGTATGCAACCCCAATTCCACTTTGCATGGTATTTTCTTTTTGCATTTTCTACATGAAAAAAATATATACAGCCTTCACCCTGATGGCTCATTTGGCTTTGCTTTATTCTTTTAAATTTTCCTCAAAGGGAGGTAAAGGTCATGGAAAAAGAGTTAGGGTGATTTCTTGTCTTTTCTCTGCCTGCTTTAAGTGACAATGAAAACAAATTTTACTTTAGCTAGGTGTTTTTTTTTTGTTTTTTTTTTTGCTGTCATTTTGGAAGAAAAAAAGAGTTGGAACTATTTTGAAAAGGGGTTTTGTTTTCAGAATACAAGTTAACAGCGAATTATTTGGACAGTAAAGCCTGTTTGTTTTCAGTAAAGGAAGGCTTAGGAAAACTAATCTCTCTCCCCTCCTTTTCTTCTCCTCCTCCTCCTCTTTTTCTCCCTGTACTATGGGGAATTAAGTTAGTTTCACAGGAAAGTCACAGTGATTGAGTGTCTATTATGTTCCAGACACTGGAGTAGTAACTTTACAGTAGCTCTGTGAGGTAAGTGGATTATTCCCATTTTACAGAGTGGGAGACAGAGACTTATAGAGCTAAAATGACTTGTCTGAGAGCACACCGCCAGTGACAGACATGCCAGGTTTTCAACGTAAGGTTGTCTGGCTTCAAAACCATGGTTCTTTTCCCTCTTCCACAATGCCTCTAAAGTAAGGGCAAATTGCAGAGGAGCGGTTCTCAAATAGGGCTGCGAATCAAAATAACCTCCTGCAAAACTTGAAAAAAGTTCAAATGCTTGATTTTCATTCCTTGACAAGCTATGCCTGTGACCGTTAATTCTGGGCATCAGCATCACCTGTGCTGTTTCAAAAAATTCCATGCCAGTTTCCCACCCTAAGTCTACTAAATTAGTTTTCAGGAATGGAAATCAAGTATTTGATAAATAAGACAAAGAATAAGACAATTCTGAAGACAGAAGACATTTGTGTTAAGTTGGCACTAGATTCAGTACCTATTGGTCTTTAGTATAGCTGATAGGCTCTTTCATCTAAGTTTCCATTTGTAATATTTTTGCATCTATTTTTCTGGGACAGATAATCCAGATGGCCACTGATAAATGCTGGTAGAGTGACTGTTAGAATTGTTTTTAGAGCCATTTTGTCTGTCGAGGAGAACAACCACCATAAGCAAAATGGTTGAGGGTGCTTATTTAGTCACCCATCACAGACGTAACTTGGCGATTTCTTCAGCTGAGAGTATTTGTTTAGTTGAGCATCATTCTCAGTGGTTCCAAGAGTCTATACCTGATTCCCAGTGCCATCACTATCAGCCTCAGGAGGCAAAGGTGAGAAAGCCTTATTTGTCTAACTCCAAATTTGCTATTCAGTTTATTAATTTCATATAATAGGAAAATGAACAGTGACCAGAACCTCTCTTTTAACCATCTAGAAGTCTTGTTTATTGCTTTCACCATGCATTACTAAATCATGTGGAGTTTGAGTAGAACTATGTATGCCTTGTTTACCCTTGCTTCTGGGCATTGAACAATCATAAATGAACTTCCATAATGAATTTTCTGGATATAGGCTAAAATACTTTTTTTCTACAGTCTTTCAGTTAGTGGTTCATGCCAATAAATTGACTGTAGTGTGGAAGCTAGCAGAATATGAAAATGTTTGGCTTATGGCTTACTAAAACTGGAAAAATGACACATATTGCTGATTTCATTTACCTTAGTGCACCTCCCAAGTCTCAAAGATCTATTTGCGGGCATTTTGCCATCATGAATATAACTGATCTCATGAGGATTACTCAAACAGCAACTCAGGAAAACATCTTTAGAGAAATCTGATCTTAACCTCAAAGTGTATTTACCAAGCAATATTGAAATTAAACTAAAATGGAAGGATACTTTAAAAATCAATAGCTCAGTGGTGCCATTCATAGTCTGATACCGGTATTTGCTGTCTTATTAAATAAGTTTGCTATTTTATAAAGTATTCCTGGCATTTTCAGACAACATGCCTGTGCATAACATCTGCACATATCTTAGTTAAAAACACTATCCAATGAGGTTTTACAATGAAAATGTTCCATCCTACTCTTTACATGCCTTTTCTGGCACCTCATCCCCTACTTCCCCAGAAACAAAGGCATACAATGCTGAAGCAGCTGAGGCATATCTATTCTGTAACAGAGAAGTGAGTGATTTTGCATGACTGTCCTTAATGGTACCAGCACGGATCTCTGCCTGGCTGAACCCAGCAAAGGCTTGGTAATTCATGGGTGACTTCCATTCTCTCCTGCTGTCTAAGTGAAAACTTACATTGAAAAAGGCCCTCAGTTTATATATAAAGTATAAGCAGCAAAGGTGTGCTGTCTTAATTTTCAGTCTAACCCTCAAGACATCCTCCATGGCATCAGTTTTAAAGCAGAAACCAAAACTACATTTTCCTATTCAATAATAAGCTATGGAAGTTGCATGGGGTCGAGTCTCTAGGAAATCCCCTCTTTCTTTGAAAAAATGTCATTGGTAAGATAGGAGATTGGCACCACAATGAGCAAAATATAGTGCGGGCTGATACGCATTGTCAGGTAGAATTTGGTTTGAGACACTGACTTTTGTCTGCATGGTGTCTCCGTTCCAAAGAAGATGGAAGATGCAAAATTGCAAGTTTCCAATCTCTGGTTAATGTGGTCTATACAACTGAATAATGTATAAGGAGATGTTCCTTTGATAATGTCACAATTATTCATTGTACAGCCATAAACTCAAATATTCACATTAACAGCTAGGTATTATTTTTCTTCTCTGAAATTAAGTGAGCGGCATCAGTGGTCATAAATGAGAGCATTCATCAAAGGCGGAGCTATGGCAGAGGATTAAGTGAATGCTGATGAAGTGTCCAGATTCCCATAACTTGGAATGGAGCTGCATTCAGCATTCCTTTATTATCCATCTGCCACATAACAAAAAGTCTCCTATATTTAATGCAGGTTTGCCCTAGGCCACGTAATAGGATTAGGAATAATTTCTACAAATTTACAAAAACAAATCACATGGGAAGGCTTAGAATTTGCTAATAATTTCTCCATAGCTGGGAGATCAAAGGGATGTAAGAGTCCCTAGCCAGGCGGTAGTTTGACCCTGGCCAGGCTTTTTTAATGAAAGGGTTAATCTTCTCCGAGGTGACCATAGAGGAGCAAATAGTGTGACCAAAGGCAGATTCAGGCCTCCAAAAAACAAGGAAGAAAATAGTCTGAAAAGTACAACAGCAAGAAAACATTTACAGAATCACGCGACGTTTTCTGGTTTAGATAAAATAAAACTGCAGAACCTCATTGAAAGGGGCAAGACAAAGGACTAGAGCTGGCTGAGAAACAAACCCAGGAAAGATCAAAACGCCCCACCATTGCCTTGAGGAATAAAAGAAATTAGGCTGCTTGCTTGTCCTTTTAAAGGTTTTCCCATCGTGGTCAGGTAAGGGCCGCCATCCATCTCTTAGCCCACTCACACTGTTCCTGTTGAACTTTGGGAGGCAGCCCACCTGGCAGGGGTCTGCTACATGCCATTTCAAGTGCACCACTTTATAAATAGGAAGATTGGGATAGAAAATCATGAATTCTTACATGGACTTTCTCCAATCTTAAAGGGAAATGGAGGTGAACAAAGGCATATTAAAAATAATGAAGGCAGCTGGGACTAATGGCATTGCTCCTGTGTCTTTCAAGATCTTTATTACTAATTCAGATAAGTGGAAACCCGTAGCCCAAATCTGCTATCCCGCCTTTTCTTCCAAGTGGCTGTAATAACGAAGCCAGGGCTCACACATATCAAGGGCCCCACCAGTCCTTTTTCCTAGCAATGGTTATGGGATCCCATTGCCAGCCTGCATGATTTGTTCTCAAGACATCCTGAACACAATGCTGGGCTTCTCCTTTACCTATTGTGCTACTCAGCAAATGGAGGGGTTAAATATAGAATCTGTCTAGTGCATGAGACATGCTGGATACTTTTAATATAGTCTTGCTGAGAGTCCACTTAGCCTTTGTTGGAGGTGAGAGGCTTCCTATTACTAAGCCTCACCACCTGAGTGTGGATCCAGCCAGAGGGAAATAAAAGTTGCCTGTCTTTTCAATTTTATTACCTGTTGGTCTGTTAAGACTAAGGTTGAAGTTGGAGGTGAAGGTCCTTCTTGGAAAACTCACTAAAAGAAATCAGCTTGGGAGAAAAGGAAGGAGTCTGAGAAAAAGAATGGTCTCAGTAGTCAAAACAATGGTCTCGAAGTAATTTTTTTTTTCAGAGTTACACCTTTCTTTTGACTTCTATCTAGTAAGAAGCAGGCTGATGGGCTTCTTTCTGGGAAGAGTTCAGAAGAAATCAACTCCTTTCCCCCAGTGCCCTCTGATCATCTCACTCCTTTCCCCAGAATTAAGGGAAAACTGATCATGAATTGTTCCAGGGCCCTGGGGGCGTTGGTGGAAGATAGATGCCAAGATAGACTTCTGAAACCTCAATATCCTGCTTGCCAATTCCATGCATGCTAAATTTCTTAGTATCAACAGTGTGGAAGAATGGATGGTTCTTCTGGCAGAAACAGTAGACCTGAGACAAAACATATAGACTATCTTGGTACTCAATGGCTTACTGACTTATGTATGTAGGAGGTCCTAAGTTCACCAGGTCTTGTCATTTTCATCTTCTCTCTCTCAAATTTATCTTTTCCCTGCTATTCTCACTGCCGCAGTTCAGACACTGAGAATTTCCAATCTGGTCCTTACTTCACACTTTCACAGCATCCAACTGCAAGTATGGTCCAATATATTTATACTGAACTGAATTCAGTTCCTCAATAAATGATTTTCTTCAACATTTTTATGATTTCACTCATTCTATCCTTCCATTCAAAATGTTTTCCTTCTTGTTCACATGGTAAAAACTTCAAACCTCAAATGTGAGTTTCTCCATGAAGTGATTTCAGTCAGGAATACAACTAGTCAGCATTAAAGTGAAAAGCTACGAAGTCAAATTTAGGTTCATTCATGGTCAGACTGTCTTCTATTTGGTAAGTGCTTTGCCCATCTGTATCAGCTACTGTTCTAAGTGCTATATGTGTATCCACTGATTTAATTCTTACATGAGTCTATGATGGGAAAACATTTATTATTTATGCATGCATTTTAGACAAGGAAACTGATGCTTAGAGAAGTTAGATACTCTGGTTATATCTGGTAATTGGTAGAGTCAGGCTTTGAACCCAGGCCTGCATGTTATGTTAGACTGTTTGTCAGTTCCCCTTATTTTCTGGCTAACTCTTGTACTTAAAGTCTTTGAGATGAGAGGGATCTTGGTGGTAACTGAGTTGTGTAGCTTTTTTTTTTTTTTTTGCTTTCAGATGATTAAACTGAGGCTCTGAGACAGTGAATGACTTAATCTAGGTTACACAGCCAATGGCAGAGCTTGGGTAAGAGAACCCAGGTGCAAGACTGTCCAGAATTCTTTCCCTGAAAGCAAGTATATTTTCCCGCCCCCCTCAACTAGAAATCTCCACCCCTCCCCCAACTAGAAATCCCTGTGCCTCCCCCAAGTAGAAATCCCTGCCTCTCTCTTAACATTAATTTCTGTCACTTCTTTTAATGTACATTAGACAAATCAATTTGTTCAGCAATCTTTAAAAGCCCACCACGATGTTAAATTTCGGCGATGTGAAGATGAATAGAACATAGTTTCTCCCTACCCTTGGAACACTTACTGTCCACAGGGGGCAAGGTGTAGAGACAGAGTTGCAAACCACTAAGAACAGTGCTGTGAATGGAGGTTTGCATCCAGTGTGCTGTGACAGCACAAAGGAGGAAGACATCTCTTCATGATAAAGTCAGGAATCACTTCATGGAGGAACTCACATTTGACATTTGAAGTTCTTACCATGTGAACAAGGAGAAGGAAGACATTTTGAATGGAAGGATAGTGTGTTCAGAATTGGTTGCTTCCAGTAGGTTCTTGGTCTCACTGACTTCAAGAATGATGCCACGGACCCTCACAGTGAGTGTTACAGTTCTTAAAGATGGTGTGTCCAGAGTTTTTTCCTTCAGGTGTTCAGATGTGTCCAGAGTTTCTTCCTTCTGGTGAGTTCGTGGTCTTGCTGACTTCAGGAGTAAAGCCTCAGACCTTTGCAGTGAGTGTTACAGCTCTTAAAGGCAGTGTGGACCCAAAGAGTGAGCAGCAGCAAGATTTACTGTGAAGAGTGAAAGAACAAAGCTTCCACAGCACGGAAGGGGACCCAAGCAGGTTGTCGCTGCTGGCTCCTGTGGCCAGCTTTCATTCCCTTATTTTGGCCAGCTTTTATTCCCTTATTTTGCCCCACCCACGTCCTGCTGATTGGTCCATTTTACACAGCACTGATTGGTCCATTTTACAGAGTGCTGATTGGTGCATTTATAAACCTTTAGAAAGACACAGAGTGCTGATTGGTGCCTTTTTACAGAGTGCGGATTGGTGTGTTCACAAACCTTTAGCTAGACACAGAGCGCTGATTGGTGTGTTTTTACAGAGTGCTGATTGGTGCATTTACAAACCTTTAGCTAGACACAGAGCGCTGATTGGTGTGTTTTTACAGAGTGCTGATTGGTGCGTTTACAAACCTTTAGCTAGACACAGAGCGTTGATTGGTGCATTTTTACAGAGTGCTGATTGGTGCGTTTACAAACCTTTAGCTAGACACAGAGTGCTGATTGGTGTGTTTATGATCCTTTGGCTAGACAGAAAAGTTCTCCAAGTCCCCACCCTACCCAGAAGCCCAGCTGGCTTCAACTCTCAATAGAATGCATGAAATCATAAAACTATTCAAGAAAATGATGCACTGAGGAACTGAATTCAGCTCGGTATAAATATATTGGACCATACTTGCAGTTGAATGCTGTGAAAGCATGAAGTAGGGGCCAGGTAGGAAATTCTGACTGAACTGCAGCAGTAAGAATAGTGGGGAGAAGACAAATTTGAGAGAGAGATGATGAGAATGACAGGACCAGGTGACATGGGAGAAGACAAAGAGGGCTTCCTACATTTCTTTCTTGGGTGGCTAGGTAGATTTAAACCGAAATGAGAAATATGTTGTAGCAGAGTAAATTGATAAGGTAATTATATTTTGAGTGTCTGTTAGACACCCAGGTGCATCTGTCTAACTGACTGTGGGAAATAAGGGTCTGGAGCTCCAGGGATGCAACTGAGTGGAGAAGATGAAGATGTGAGTACATTGATGGTAAGGGAAACTTTGAAATAGAGATCTTTTGAAGAAGAGTGTATAGAATGATAAGACAGGGATGATAAGAATGCTTCAGGGTTGGACAGTATACCAGAAGCCTGAAAACAAACCAGAGATAGAGGGCGTTTACAGAGAAGCAAGAAAATAACCCAAAGAGAAAGACTTATGACGTAGAAGGAACAAAAGGAAGGGTGTTAATAAGAGTGTTGTCAGTGGTGTTGCTCAGAGGTCAGAAAAATTAAGGACTGAAAAGTAGCCATTAGGTATACCAACTATTAAGAATGGGGATTGGAATACGAACAATTTTAGAAGTCTGTTTGTAGGAGCTGCATAAGTGAATGAATGCTTAAGAGGAAAAATAGAGAACAAAATTAGAAAATGAAAGGAAGGCCAGAGATAAGGAATTGAGGTCCATTAGGCCCTCTGTAGGCCAAGGGGAAGGAGCTGGAAAAGGGGGCAAGGCTGGAGACAATGAAGCAAAATCCCGGGGTTAGGAAGAGTTGGAATCAAGGGCACTTGTGGTCAGGCTGGCTTAGTAACAACTCAGCCTCGTTGGACATGTGAATAGCACAACATCTTTTCCTCAAACTGTCTTTCTTTGTAGCCCATGATTTATCTGAAGATGTGTGGAGCTTCCTGGAAGGGACCTGGGGGGGACCGGAATTGTAGAGTCTGGTGATAAAATGGGGAAGGGAGTATTTGGAAGTCTTATTACAGGGGACATACTTTCTGATGGTAGAAGGTAGGGATGAGGAGAGGGGCTGAATGGAAGTCATATTTTAGGGGAAAGGTGAGAGAAAAGAAAACGCTACCTGCCCATAATGGAAGATGGAATCTGGCAAAGGAAGGCTAACTCAGTGGCAGGTCCTCAGGGCTAAATGCAATCTTGGGAATGATGTTGCAGCTCTCATGGAATTTCTGTAACCCAAGGATGAAAGAGGCGTGCCTGCTCATTGAAATATCCCTTTCTCAAAATACCAGAATATTTTGGACTAAGCCACTTAGCCCCCTTGTGGAGCTATCCATATATAGGTCTAGGGAAGTTGTCTTCATTCTCCCTCCTTTTTAACTAGCACAAAAGGTACAGTGGTGCTATTTCTCCTCTGTCCTTTGATAGGCATAGAGTGTACAGTAATTTAGCTTGACGGGTGGCAGTCATAGTTGGACTTCTGGTGGGAATGACAAAGCTTGTCTGAGAGAAAATCTGTCTCACAGAGATCTGAAACCTTCTCTGGGGCTCTGATGACACTCAAAGTCACCATTACACAGAAGCAAGGGGGGAAGGAGGGCTTTTGTTTTGCAAAAGCATCGTTGGCCACTGGGCAGGAGCCCACATAGAGTTTATGGTGGCTGCTTTGGTGGTGACCCTGGCAGCTTTATTGGAGGGGCTGGTGATGCAGTGCCAGCTCTCAGTATTCCAGGCAGGTCTCCAAGTTTGGTTGGCTGGGACCAATTTAAGAAAACACTGAGAGCAAGTATTTATGCTTCTCAAGCGATGGAATGGAGTATTTAAAAGCCACACAGTCCTGAATTCCAATCAAAATTCTTCCAAGTACTGAGGCAAGTTATTGAACTTATTGAATTTGAGAGTGGGACCTGAGTGAATGGAGCTTGGAGATATTGAGATTAGAATATTAATATTAATGGCTACATTTATGTTATAGGTTAGGGGAACTCAGGCATTGCAATTTAATTAAATTGTTTTCCATCATACACTTAGGCGTAGTAAGCAAGTTTACTCAAAGTTAAAAAGAGAGGAGCAACAGTTAATTCCATCAGAATGCTGCTGAAGCTGGACGTGGTGGCTCACGCCTGTAATCCCAGCACTTTGGGAGGCCGAGTCGGCTGGATCACGAGGTCAGGAAATTGAGACCATCCTGGCTAACACGGTGAAACCCTGTCTCTACTAAAAATACAAAAATTAGCTGGGCGTGGTGGCGGGCACCTGTAGTCCTAGCTGCTGGGGAGGCTGAGGCAGGAGAATGGCGTGAACCCGGGAGGCAGAGCTTGCAGTGAGCTGAGATGGCACCACTGCACTCCAGCCTGGATGACAGAGCAAGACTCTGTCTCAAAAAAAAAAAAAAAAAAAATGCTGCTGAGCTTTCAAAGCAAAATGATTCCTAATCTGTACACTCAATCTGTAGCATATCTTGTTCAGACACTTACTCTTCCCCAGTTTCTTCTTACCCCAATTTTATTCTGTCTTCAGGCAGTTATTTGTCATTCTAAAGGAAGATAACAGATACATCTATCAACTGTTTACTTTGCTACTTATTTCAATTCTACTGAATTCTAAAAATTTCACAGAGGTCCAGATACACTGACTCATGCCTGTAATCCCAGCACTTTGGGAGATAAGGTGGGAGGACTACTTGAGCCTGGGAGTTGAGACTACGCTGGGCAGCATAGTGAGATCCCATCTTTACAAAAAAATAAAAAAATAAGCTGGATGTGGTGGTGCCAACCTGTAGTTCCAGCAACTTGGAGGCTGAGGGCTGAGGTGGGAGGATTGTTTGAGTCCAGGAGGTCAAGTTTACAGTGTACTGTGATTGTGTCACTGCATTCTGGTCTGGGTGACGGAGTGACACTTTGTCTCAAAGAAAAAAAAATCACAGAGGTAGAAGAGACAGCTGTCTTGGCTGATTCACAGCTGTCATTGTGGTTATCAAAGTGTGTTTTTTGGAACAGCTTCTCATTGGATGTTAATGTATCACATACAATAAGGATAGTTATTTCATAGTTTGGGAAAGCCTGACTAATCATGTTTCATTTCTATAGTAATATAGCTTCCCCAAGACTGACTATGCTAACATGCATTTGGATCTTTCAAACTTATTTGACCCTGTAAAATATGAAAATGTGAAAGACATACTTTCCTTCAGAATTGTTGCAGAAATTGTGTATCATGGATCAAACTTTGGGAAATTGTTTCCAGGAAAATGTGGGGCAGCTTGGACTTTTGGGACCTGAGATATTGAAGTGGAAAGAGTCCTGTAGAATCTTCTAGAGTGAGAAAAGAAAAAGATTGAGACATTTTTAGGAACTAGCTTTTGGTGTTTCATGCTTTCTAATATGATTCCAATTGATTCCATTTGCACTTTAATCAGAACCAGGAAAATTGGAATGTGGGAATTCCAGTAACTCCCAGGCAAAATTCCTCATGTTATTCCTCTATGAGTGGTAGGGCAATACAGTACTGTGTAGTTTTTATACCAAAGACTGACTGGCTGTGTGTTTTTCTTAAACGAATGCCAGCAATTTCTGGCAATGGCAAATGCTATAGCAAATACTCCAAACAATGATCAGTGCAAGGGATATGATATATTTTATCAAAATATCTAAAATAAGTCATAAAGTGTTGTTTGGAGATATTTTTACAAGGACTTTTGTCTTCTGCACATTCCAAATCTTTCAGGTGTTCTGAATGATTATCCTTTAGCCTAGGCATGATGGGAATTCTCTTCTTCAGAGCACACTTTCATTCACTATTCCAGTTACACTAGATAGCCCATGTGAAAACTTACCCAATTAGTGATTCTTAACCAGGGGTAGGTAAGCATACACAATTCTACACAGCTATGTACAAATATATGACACTTGCCCCATACGCACAGATTCTGATTCAGTAAGATTTAAGAGGGCCTCCTAAGTTTGTGTTTTTGCAGTGACCCCTGGGTGATTCTAATGTACACCTTGAGCCGAGAACCCTTGGGATGGATATAATGAAAATAGCAGAAATAGACTATTTTTCATTTATGAAACAACATGGTATGCTAGACCTCACACAGTTCTCATTGATGATAGTGAAAAATGTGCATTTTAAAGTAAAAATGATGATCAGACATCTTTATTTGTATCTGTGTCTCATATTCTAAATCCTTTGGAGGCAAATTTGGTAAAGTGGCAAAGTGAGAAGAACAGGCAAGATGCTGATTCACCTGCCTGTAGGTTGTATGTATAAAACTCCCTTTATTGAGGCAACTTCTGCGAGTGTGGCTTATAGGTACTTTTGATTTAGGGAAATATGATATTTCAGGGTAAGGCAAATAAGGAACACTAGACTCTCTGGGGAAAGCTATATCAAGAGAGGTGATAATGAGAGGAAAGTAATGGAGCTGAGCATTCATATCTTGGTTTGATATTCACATCAGCTCATTCTACTCAGATCATTGGTACAACCACCAGTGATAATATTTTGGATTTGCAAATAACAGAGAACCTTAAGCCACCCAAATGTTCCCAAGGGGACATTGCTTAAAAAATGACAGTGAGAAAATGGGATGTTTGTCAAATTAGAGTACCAAATTCTATCATCCTTTGGTGGGGGTAGGAGGAAATCCTGGTTAACAAAGTGTTACAACATCTCTGAATCTCCTAAATAAGCTTTCTAGGATGCAATGATGAAATGATAGCTTATTCTGCAGAGAGGAAGATCCAATTATCTTCATAGTAACAATTCTACCTTCTTCTGTTTTTCTGATCTGCTAGCAAGCTAAGAGAATAGCTTTTGAGAGAAAAAGTTGAAATTTCATTAATGGCTGATGGAATGGCTGAGATAATAATCTATCTACAACATCTGTCACCCTCCTTATCTCTTGGGTGGATTCAGACCTGCCCTAGAATGAGAGGAGAAGGTGGACCCTATATAGCTTAGAGCATGGGTTTCCTTTGAGTATCCTTGGCTTAAAAGCTAATATCCTCAATCACACAGCACCTTTGAGAACCTTGGATTCCAGTATTGTTTCTCTCAAGAACTAACCACCTTAATCCCCATTTGTTAATCCTTCAGGGGAAGTGTGCATGATTTTATTATATTTTGTTCATGATTATATGTATATTCAAACCATAGGGGAAATGAATGACATTATCTATTAATCTGTTTTATTTAAAAAGAATCATTTGCCTAAATTTCTCTAAGCAGGACCTGACTGGAATCTCACATCACTACCCCCACCCCCAAATACGCAACTCAAATGTTACAACATAATTGAAATTAGATTAAAAAATTAAATGACATTTTGCGAACTGTTTAAAAGGGTCAGCAATGTGTTTGAGCACTATGAGATTAACCTTTGCTCATTTGGGAAAATGCAGACTTCAATAGGGATTCTGTGGCTGAGGTTGCACTTGCTAAAAGTTTAAAACAGTAATTTTTTCCTAAGAAAGGTCATCTTGAGCTAAAATGTCAAATAAATTATTTAGATTACTGAATTAGAAAAGTGAGGATCTGACAGGCTGAATTTTTTATGCACATTAGCCACAGCCAGGGTCTTTCTATGCTCTTTTTATTAGGTAAAGTGCACCCCCTTGCCTCTTATTAAAAATCTCTCCATTTAGTCCAATACACTTCCTTTGATAGATGACTGCTGCTTTTGAGCATCCACATCCATGAGGCTGCTGAATTCATATGGCTTGTGTCCATTTTGCATTCCTCCTATTACAGATTCTAGCAAAGAGACACACGAGTCACAGAGAAAAGAACATATACATAAGCACACACATGAGCACACACACCAACCATAAATGTTTGTATGTATGCACACAAATACATAATGATATCTCCTCAAGCATGTACACAAACATGTATAATGTATATATATATTCTTTAAGCAAGATAACATTTGACTTCAGAAAAATAAAAATGCTCTTCGAAGATAATATACGCTCCTTGACTTACGATGGGATTACATCCCGGAAAGTCCGTGGTATGTTGAAAACATTTTAAGTAGAAAATGCATTTAATAACCCCAAAAACTCATCTTAAAGTTGAAAAATCTAACCTGAACCACTGTAATTCTGAAATGTGTTTTTAATAGACAATGACTAATATCAGATTGTTCCCACTTAGGAAATAATACCAAAAATGTAAATGGCTTTGTGACCATGTGACTGAAGGAATTCTCCTGGATGCAAAAGTACTCTTTGAAGGAACCTCTAGGTGCCACTGCCATCTTGTGTATATGGCAGTTTTCTGGTTAGCGCTTCTTTTATAGAGCACTGTGAGCCTTTTAAAATATTTTTTTATTGTAGGTAGGTGATGCTGGTACTAGTTCTACTTTACACATAAGAATTTGAGTTATAGAGCTGTCAAAATTGTTGATAAGGCTTGGTTACTATCACATTTTCACATGTGAGTCCTAATATTGGCTCCTGGCTCCTTCTCCACCAGAATATCTATGTCAAATCTGTGGTTTCTTAAGCAGATAAGTTCTTTTGAAAGTTTAGTTGAATGTTTTGGTGCCTATAGGTGGAAATGTACCTGGTATTCCCAAGTGTCTTCATACTTTATACATAAAATACAGAGTATTCTCTATTTTTGTGAGCTTTTTGCTTATACTTCTTATGTTTCTGGCATATATATATATATATATATATATATTTTTTTTTTTTTTAATTCCCCTTTTTAGAAAACTTTATTCTCTAGAATAGTTATTTTTCCAAGCTGCTTTTTCATATCTATCTCAAGAAATTCTCTTTACTTGGCTAAGAATCCTAAGGCTTGTACAATCCTGGGGTAGAGTTGAGATTAGAATTCAAAATTTAGAGATTCTTGTTTCTACATCTGCGGTTGAATTACATTCATTTCTTTTCCTCCTCCTCCATCTATACTTTTCATCTCCCCTTCCCCATTTTTCCTTTATTTCCTCTTCTTCTTTGGCTGTCTATAGACCTTTTGCTTATTTGGATAATGTTTGTGCCCTGTATTTCCCGGCCTCCTTGGAGTTGGGCAGAGTTTATGACTATTTCTGGCTACTGGAATGTGGATAGAAAGGAAGTATGTCACTTCCGGGTTAAAGACCTGAGAAGCCCTCCTGCACCCCTCTAGCTGCTTCTTCTATTACCATGGCAATTGAAGAGGGGCCTTAGCAGTGATGATAGGACTAAAACTTTGAAGCTGACCATGAGGAGATGCCCTGAAAAGGCACACATGCCTGCAGTAGACTTTCCATTAGCAACACATTAATTTTTATTTGATTAAATATTTGAGGTTTTGGAATTGTTTGTTACCACAGGATAATCTAGTTTATTTTGACTAAAATAGATTAAGGGTGACTCTTTATTCAGAATTTGATATTCAATGAAAATACAGTACATTTATTCAGAATTTTATATTCATGAAAATACAGTACATTTTATTGTTCCCATCTTGACCCTTCATTCTAACCGTTGCCCTCTTATATGGGGTCTCTGAGTATCCAAATTCATATAACGTGTGCGTTTTTTTCTTCTGCCCTCAATGATTTTTTTTTAGTAACATTCTTATATATTGCCTAAACTTGACATCTCCCTGAGTGTAATAACAAAAACCAGGAAGTGCTGACACGTGCAAAAAAATGTTAAATCCCAATATTTCTTCCATTTATTTGAAGAAAAGATGTCCTGGCAATTGTGGGATTTACAAATGTCCAATTCTGGAGAAAGGGTTCAAAAAAGAAGAAAATGAAAAGATTTCAAAATGTGTATTTCTTTTATACCCCTGTAAAAATAAAGACATATTGCTTTATCCGTGGCCCATTAGGTCACTGAAATTTGGAATGCATGACTGTGGTTTTTAATTGATCTTTAATTTGAATGCATCTGAGAAGTAGTCTAGGAATTGCTGGGCCCTAAATATAATTTTCCAAATATCTGAATTTCTGGCACTGAAGTTGCACTAACTTTAAGAGCTTATAAAATTGGCTGATGCGATACAAAGGATAGCTCAAACTTTCCCAAGTTTAAATTCCTCCTAGGGGGTAATACTCTCTCAGGGATAATATATTCCTAAGCAACTTACATAAGTCAAGAAAAGGCCTGTTTTTATTTGTGACCCAGGCTTTTGTATGTTTATGTGTGTGTATTTACCTGGGTATAATCTTGATTTACATGGTATTCCCTAGAATGGTCTCATGACCAAATGACATTTGAATATCCCTAGAATAAAAGCTTTCAGTGACTCCTGAATTAAATCTAAAACCCTTTGTCTCTGCGCTTTTCTTTTTTTCTTTTTTTTTTTTTTGAGATGGAGTCTCACTCTGTTGCCCAGGCTGGAGTGCAGTGGCGCAATCTTGGCTCACTGCAAGCTCCGCCTCCCAGGTTCATGCCATTCTCCTGCCTCGGCCTCCTGAGTAGCTGGGACTACAGACGCCCGCCACCATACCGGGCTAATTTTTGTATTTTTAGTAGAGACGGGGTTTCACTGTGTTAGCCAGGATGGTCTCGATCTCCTGACCTCATGATCTGCTGGCCTTGGCCTCCCAAATTGCTGGGATTATAGGCATGAGCCACCATGCCTAGCCACGTTTTTCTATAATATAGTCTTTCTCTGTGCAAACTGCTTTCATTAGATACATTCTGTGATCTACTTGACGAGCTCATTCTGATCTTAGAGCCTTTGTTCATATTGTTTAGTAACTTGGAATTATCTTTCTTCTTCCTTCACTCCTGTCTATGAATTATCCATTCTTTAAGAGCTAGCTCCAAGCCTAACTCTTCCACTAAGCTTCTTTTATTACTAAAGGCAACAAATTTCTAGCAGCTGCCCTTGGTACTGAATTATGCCTTAAATATGTTATCCAATAAATAATAAATTACATGTGGGTGGTCCAAAGGATGGGGGTGGAGATGGAAAAATTGTTTACATATGGGTCCAGGAAATGGACCCATATGAAAACTGAGGGATGACCGATCAGTCAGGAAGGAGAAGACACAAGAAAATGAGTGTATCAGTCCGTTATTGCCTGGCTGCAAATACCTGTTATGGGCTAATTTATAAAGAAAGGAGGTTTAATTGTTTCACATTTCTGCAGGTTGTACAGGAAGCATGTTACTGACATCATTTTGGTTTCTGGGGAGGCCTCAGGAAACTTACAATCAGGATGGAAGGCAAAGGGGGAGTGGGCAGGTCACATGGCCAGAGCAGGAGCAACAGAGAGAGTGGGGAGGTGCCACAAACTTTTAAACAACCAGATCTCTTGTGAGAACTCACTGTTGCAAGGACAGTACCAAGGGGATGGTACTAATCATTGATAAGAAATCTTCCCCCATGATCCAATTCAGTTCCCACCAGGCCCCATCTTGAGGATTGCAATTGAACATGAGATTTGTGTGGGGACACAGATTCAAACCATTTTTGAGTGTTTTTGAGTGAGAGTTGATAATGAATAAACCAAAAAACAGTTATATATGGGCATAATGGGGCTAATTTCCTTATTGCTCAGTGTCTGCTGGGATGTTCCTTTTCCTTGTAGTTTAGCCTCCCTCATGGAACTAAAAGTGAGCATCTCAAGAGACTGTTGACCAAGTTTCTAACTCCCTCTAATAAGGCCAGACTAAGGTTTTCTTAGGTTCTCTTTGCAATGAAAAGCTATGTTGCCATTAGTTGAGAATATAGTTAGAATGGGTGGAAGGCTTCCATATGTTCTGCCATAGTGTAGGTATCACCCATTCCACAAACAATAGGCCTCTCTGTTGCTGAGGAAATTAGTCAGGATTCTTAGTTGCGAGTAACAGAAACACAACCCAAACTAATTTAAACAAATGGGAATTTATTGGCTCATGAAACAAAGGATTCCTGTGGCTAATTTTTCAAAAGAAGGAAGGTTCTGTTGTGAACATACCAATACATTTCCACTAAATCAAAAGCACAGTATGTCCCACAACAAATGTTCTGGCTTCCCCTCTCTAATCACTAGGACAGAACCTAGAGCTATAGTGTACAAAAATGTTCTCTTCCAGGCTGGGTACAGCAGGGAGTGCTAGGATTCAGGGATGAATGGGCGGAAAGTGTATAGGGAAGGAAGATGCTGGAGCAGATAAATTCCCTGGCTCAGAAACTCATGTTCAAGTTGATGAGCTCTAGTGGTGTAAATGTGACAGGCTATTGTCCGAATGACTTCCCCTAGCATGTGAAGCTTGCTAGATGTAAACCTGAAATCCACAGGACTCACCAGAAGAAAACCTGCCCAGTCCTGTTGTGTAGACTGTGGCTTTTCCATGTGTTCTGGATTTAAAATGAGGGTGGTGGATGAGAGCAGGAAACCTGTGCGTGTGTGCATGTGTGTGTGTATGTTATGTGTGTGTGATATCCATGATTTCAATAAAATGGTGTATTTTAAGTGGAGCCATGATTAGTTGGATTAAGACAACTTTGATTTGAGGAGGTACTTGTGAGAAGGAAGAAAGCTGCATCTGAGATGCTTTTGCAATGCACAGTTTACACTTGTCCTCTGGTATTGATCTGGGATTCGTGGTGTGCAAGAAAGGAGTGGTTCTTGTTCTGAAGTGCTCGCCCAAACTGGGATATAAACAGGGCTTCCTAGTTAAAGCTGACCGTAGGAGCAGTAAATTTCATACAGGCATGGGAGAATCCAAAGAGCCTGAATTTCCTCCACTGTAGCCATCAGAAGTCCCTCACTATCTCCACGTGGTCACAAGGGCTTATCTCTTCTAGCTTGTAGAGAAACCCTGTCTTCCTTTGTAGAGTCAGGAATGGATCTCTCTCTCTCTTTTCTAAGTTTCACAGGACATTGATATACAAATGGACTAAAGGTGGGCTCTGTATATAGCTCCTAGGTTGTTACTTCTTCACAGCAGGCGAGGACTATTAGCTTAAACCCCATGGTGCCAAACTCAATCCTTACATACCCAGTTGCTTTAAATATATTCCAAATAAGCATGTTTTAAGCCATTTAGAGTCTGTCTTCTTTACCTACACCACAAAACTATACCTAATACCTGCCATCCATAGATAAGATAACCGTTATAGCTATAAATGACCTCAAATCACGGCTGCTTTTCATAGGTCTCTAGCCCAGCGACTGCTAGACACATAAGCCCCATCTCTGATTCCTTGCTCCCCTGGAAGTTCTCTTGCCCTCTTTTGCCTTCTGGGTGTTAATCCCATGCTGCTATTTCTGTCAGGTCTTCTACTCATCCTGGAAGGAAAAGGAGCTTCTTCTCTCATGCGACTGTGTCCCAATACTGGCCAATAAAACTTACTGTTCAGTACTGACATCTTGTAGTTCTGTCTTTTCCTTAATCAGTCCTGAAATCCCTGAACTCACCATAGACACCCCTACATTTTCTCCAGGAATAGTCAGAAGTGATATTAGAAGTATTTACCAACTTTTAGACCCTGAGTCCTTCCAATTAGAATGGATGTCTGACCACTCAAAATAGACACCATCTATAAACAACTGATACAGCTGTTCTGATTGATTATCAGCCCTGCATAAAAGTGTTTGCGGATGGGGCTTCAGCTGGTTGGCTCAAATACATCTTTAATTAGATTGGATGCCACCAGACATCCAAATGGATTAGGTTTATTTGCTTTTTTATTCATTCAAGAATGTTCTAAGGGCTTACAATATGCCATGTGCTGTCCTGAAGCTCTGCCAACCAGTGCCAATTGTAGCCGTCAGAATACTGTCTAGTACATGTGATTGAGACTTCATAGGTCTGGCTGGGCTGACATGCATGTGACATTCTCTAGGTAGAGGATCCTACAGGGACTGTGGCCTTCAGAGCTGGGCCTTGTGGACAAGGTGGGGTTGAAACAATGGTTCTGGATCCCTAGAATACACACGAGCTCTCAGCCAAGTTGTGAACATACAGGCCCACCAAACTACCTAGGAAGCCTGAAGATGCTTAGGTTCCAAAGTTTGACCAGAAAATCTCTAGATGATGACTTTAGACTTCTAGAATCACTTCTGTGCCTTATGATAGATTTTCCCCCCATTCTAGATAGTTTAACTCTTCTAGGGGCAACTTGTGAAAATATAGCATGATAAAACTCCTTGTCTGGGAGTTTCCTGGTTTAAACAGTTGCCACGCTAACATTGGAGGCATAAGTCTACTATAAATTGACTTCAGATATTGGAGCATTTGGGCTGGATTAAAGGTGAATAGCACTTTTGGCTTAAATACACCTGCCATTCCTGGGATCCAGTTGAATCTAGGATCTTCCGTTAGGTGGTGTTGTGGACTGAATTTTGTCCCACTAAATCCATAGGTTGAAGAGATCTACCTCTAATGTGACTGTGGAGACATGACCTTTAAAGAAGTGAATAAGGTTAAGTGAGGGCATAACGGTGTAAGCCTATTTCAATTGGACTGGTATCCCTATAAGAAGAGGTAGAATCACCAAGGATATGTGAGTACAGAGGAGAAAAGGCCATGTTTGAGAATAGAAGGTGGCTGTTTGCAAGCTAAGGAGAGAGATCTCATAGAAACTGAATGTGCTGACCCCTTGATCTTGGACTTCCAACCATAGTTATTTTCACCATAACTATGATAAAATACATTTATGTTGTTTAAGCCCCACCAATATGTAGTATTTTGTTATGGCACCCCTAGCAGATTAATACAGGTGGGTGGTCAGCAGAAGGGCCATATTTACAACCCATATGAGAAATAGATATAAGAAACTTCTGAAGTATGAAACTAATGGAGATACATAATAGTTTAGGGAGCCATCACTTAAAACAGCCTATATGTTAGGTTGTCGGGATGTAAAGAACAGATATCCCATGGAAACACAAGAATAAAGGACCTTATGGATGTGGTCCTGTCTTCAAGGAAGCTGTAGACTTCCAGCAATAGGTTGCACGGTATTTTTTTTCATTTCAAATTTTATTATAAAGGATACATGTGCAGGTTTGTTACATGGGTAGATTGTGTGATGCTGAGGATTAGGGTCCCAATGATTCTGCCACCCAGGGCATAAACATAGTATCCAACAGGTGGGTCTTCAACTCCTGTCCTCCTCCTCCCTCCCCTGTCTAGTGATCCCCAGTGTCTATTGTTCCCATCTTTACAGTCATGGGTATTCAGTGTTTAGCTCCTGCTTATAAGTGAGAACATGGAATATTTGGTTTTCTATTTTTATGTTAGGTCACTTAGAATAATGGCCTCCACCTCCCTCCATGCAAAGGGCATGATCTCATCCCTTTTTATGGCTGAATAGTAGTCCATGGTGTATATGTACCATATTTTCTTTATCTAATCCATTGTTGATGGGAACTTAGGTTGATTTCATGTCTTCGCTATTGTGAATAGCACTGCATTGAATATATGGATGCATGTGTCTTTTTGATAGAATACATTCTTTTCCTTTGGGTATATACCCAGTAGTGGGATTGCTGGGTCTAATGGTAGTTCTATTTTAAGTTCCTTGAGAAACTTCCAAACTGTTTTCCACAGTGACTGGACTAGTTTGGATTTCCACAACAGTATATAAGCATTCCTTTTTCTCCCAACCTCACCAGCATCTGTTATTTTTTCACTTTTTAATAATAGCCATTCTGACTGGTGCAAAATAATATCTCATTGTGGTTTAGATTTGCATTTCTCTAATGATTAGTGATGTTGAGCATTTTTTCATATGTTAGTTGGCTGCTTGTATGTCTTCTTTTGAGAATTGCCTGTTCATGTCTGTTGCCTATTTTTAAAATTAGATTGCTTTTTGCTTGTTGATTTGTTTAAATTCCTTGTAGATTCTGGATTTTAGACTTTTTTTTTTTTTTTTTTTTTTCTGACAGACTCTCACTTTGTCACCCAGGCTGGAGTGCAGTGGCACAATCTCGGCTCACTGTGACCCCCACCTCCTGGGTTCAAGAGATACTCCTGCCTCAGCTTCCCGAGTAGCTGGGACTACAGGCACAGGCCATCATGCCTGCCTAATTTTTGTATTTTTAATAGAGAGGGAGTTTCACCATGTTGGCCAGGTTGATTTCAAACTCCTGACCTTGGGTGATCCGCCTGCCTCAGCCTCCAAAGTGCTGGGATTACAAGAGTGAGCCAATGCACCCAGCCTAGACCTTTGTTAGATACACAGTTTGGAAATATTTTCTCCCATTCTGTAGGCAGTCTTTACTCTGTTGATAATTTATTTTGTTGGGGCACATGGTCTTTAGTGCTCCATCACCAATGTGACTAAACTTGACTTTGGTATGTGTCTTTCTGGCAAACTTTAAAATCCTTATTATTTTCGGTAATCTGCATATATTTTCTCTTTTCTATATGTTCCATTAAACTTCAGCTGGCAATGTGGGGCCATTTAATGTGTCTGATTTTTCCTCAACTTCTGCTCCCATCAATCACTAGCCTATTTGTTCCATAATTCAAAATATTTAGATTTCTTTAGAGTTCTGGCTACTCTTTGAGTTGCAGGGACCTGCACTAGAGAATTCTCTGGCCCTATCGCCTCTCACTGGAAGTGGATAGAGCAGAACCACAACTCTTTGTTACCTGAGGGCTAACAAGTGGGTTGTATTTGGGAAGGTAATCTAGCCTCAGTCTGTTGGCATCATCCATATCTCCTAAGGGAAAAAGACTATAGCCCAAGAACACACCTTTGGATCACTCAAAAATGTAATAATTTGATTTTACACCAGGATAAGATACTACTATTGATTCAGGCCCATATGTACAAAAGGCAGAGTATGAATGAATATATGGATATAAAACTAAGATCCAGGAACTATGTCTTACTCCTCACCACCCCTCTGCAAGATGTTGTGAAAGCTGTTCTTCATTAGGTACCATGGCACTGTTTAGACATTGGAGGAGCTAAAAGTCTGAATATAACCAATGAGTTCAAGCATTATTTAGTCTTGCAAAGGGTTCAAGCATTATTTAATCTTGCATTCATTGCCCTCCTACAAGGGTATATGTTATGCTCCCTGGAGGCACAGCTTCATTAAGGCCCAGCCCCTTGGAGCCACTGTGGAAGGTTGATTCTTTGGAGTGCCAGGCATGCATCAAGCACTTCATTACATTTAGGGCATGTTCAGAAGATCAGAAATACTTCTTATCTTGACTTAACTAGGAACTGAGCAGCTTGTGAAACTGGCCAAATAAATTAGAAATTGAGGCAGCCCATCCTAGTTTTCTAAAAATTGTTTAGGTGTACTTATTGGAGGTATGGCCAGATGTGGCACTGTACCTTGTTGGCAAGGTTAAGTCATGTGTACTTACAGCAGTCAACCTCACCAAGGTGTTCCCCAGGTGTCTCGAGAGGGATCTGTTTTCACTACGAAGAGGTCATCTCTCATCAATGAATGAAAAGTTCTCATCGCATTCCTGAGAACTAGAACATTCAGCACACTCACATGCTTTTACATTCCATTATTTTCATGTGCCTCAAGGATGATGGGCTGATGGGGTAAAATCTAGTTCCCAACTGTGGGATTGAGTTATAATCAGAATGCACAAGAAAAAATGCAGGAGTTAGAAGAAATGGGGGCCACTTGGGCTCTCTACTGACTTATCTGTCCAAGGGAATGCCCAGAAGAGGAGAGAGTAGAATCAGGATCCAAAAATTGAGATAAAGATTAGAAGCAGGTTAGTGTAAACAAGCTGGAAGATCTGCGCAGCAGAGGGCTTGGAGAATGATCAACAGTAATAGGTAGGCTGAGACCAGCACCTAATAAGAGGGTGAAGCAGTATACTTCTGGAGAAAAATATGTGCAAGTTAACAGGTTTCTGGAACATTTTACATATGGCCAGCACTAATGGTGGGCCAGGGCCAGGGCCAGGTAATTAAAGGGACATAGCTGAAAGAAACCACATCCATTTTATTCCCTCGGAAATCTCATTAGACTTATAGTTAGCTACATAATTGAACAGTTATTTCATATCTAAACTCTTTCAAATTGGTTTTCTATCCTCACAACATATGACGCAATCCACTGAAAACATAATGGGTTGTGTAGGAATGTTTCTTGATTGACTGATGAATAGAGTCCCTTATTTAGAGAGATTTCCATGTAATTGAACCACTGTCTATTCATTTTTTGTTTGCAAATATTTTTCCAAGGGAGTATTCAATCTCTTTCTCATATACATCCACGTTATATCTCTCATGCATGTTTTGTTGCCTGCTTCATAATACAAATAAATTTCTCACTTGCCTCTTCTGCCTAGAGTGGGGACAGTAGGTGATATTTCTGGTACTGAATTACCCATTGATGCATCTGCCTGGACCTGGAGATGGAGAGTGAAATATGAAGACTACTGCTGGAGGGAAGCTATTTAATTTTGGGTTGTGGCCACAGCAAAACATGACATGGGGCAACACTAGGAAAGCAGCATGGGATGAATTTGTTTGTCATATTGTATTTTTGAAAGATTGACTCATAAATTTCACTTTAGCCATTAACAACATGCAGCCATTACTCAAACTATTTATCAGTTGCCAAAAAATTAATGTATCCTGGTGGCTCAAACCTTGAATAATTGTGGGAGGACCTGAGGAGAGATGGGAAAAAATTCCCCCATAATTGTGAGAGGGTTTGTTTTTTGTCCTTTCCTTCCTTCAGCAGTAGTAATACACCCACATTTCTAGTATCAGGACCTCCCTGATTCAGTCCTTTGAAAGGTCCTAAACTACTCTCCTTATTTTTGTGTTAAAAGCTGTCATGGGTTCAGTTAAAGCATAATTTTGCATGTATAGGGTTTGAGGGGGTGGGGAACAACTGCATGATTGCAGCTCATCTTTATGATTTCTGGCCAGTTGTTTCTTTTTTTAAGGACTGATTAATGGTCAGGCATCATCTGACTATTCCTAAACCTCTGATGGCTAGCAGAGGTGGTGAAACAGCTATTCCCAAACTCCAGAAACTGGCTTCCCATGGCTCTAAGAGCCGGGCAGAAATTCAACTTTGGGGAAGATGTTCTCTTGGTTCTGCAAGAGGTAGTTTTGAAGAACTCTCTCATTTTAGCCAGAAAGCTCTCATTCATAAACTTGATATTGACTGTTGTTGACATTGTTGAAAAAAATGGAAAGGCCTTCAGAATGGGATGTTGGCTTCTGTTAAAAAATTTGAAGGGTGGTCTCATGGTTCTTGCAAGAGATTTTTTTCAATGAAGAAATTTGGGATTTCTTTTGGTGGGTGTGGTGACAGGAGTTTGTGGGTTCTGGGACTCAGGGGGAGAAAAATATGGGAGAGAACTCTGTGTTAGAAAGCAGATCCCTAAAACAGGGTGGAAGGCCAGAGGACCAGGGAGAAGAATGGTCAGGAGGATTTCTCTGTGACAGAACTGTAGGTCAGCTAAAGGGGAAATGAACTAGTTTGAGAAAAATATTCTTAAGACAATGGACTGTCTTACAGTCTACTGTTTTGTTGAGCGATCCTTCTTTGCTTATCAGGAAGCAACTGATATACTTTGGGTGCTATATCAGTCAGGGTTCTCCAGAGAAACAGACCCCCTCTCCCCGACCATCCACACACATTTTAAGGAAATTAGCTTATGTAATTGTAGAGGCTTGCAAGTTTGAAGTTTGTAGGACAAGCTGGTAGGTTAGCAACTTGACAGGAGTGGACATTGCAGTTTTTAGGCAGAAGTTCTCCAGGAAACCTCAGTTTTGCTTTTCAGGTCTTCCAGCAGATTGGATGAGGCCCATTCACATTACCAAGAGCAATCTCCTTTTCTTAAAGTCAACTGATTGTGAATATTAACCACACCTACAACATACTTTTTATAGCATCACCTAGATTAGTGTTTGATTACATTACTGGGTACTAGAGCCTAGACAAGTTAATACATAAAACTACCATAAGCATTAATATCCACGTTCAAATAGTTTATAGTGTGATAGTTCTACAGCCCTCAGTTATGTTCCTGTCTCACCTTCATCTTTACAGGCCCGGTCTTTCCTCCCACTCTCCTCTTGGAGGTCCTGCTCACATATTTTAAGAACTCTTGTTGAATGTTTTCTCTTTTGCATTTAGCGTTCTTATTGCTGTTGGGAATATTACCCCAAATTCACTAGCACATTTGGTCTGTTTCTTCAGGAAATAGTCTACAATAACTCCTAGCCCTGATGGTTTCCTAAATTGTAACTGATAGCTTAGTCCAAGTCCATTATTTATTCATTCATTTAATCCTTCATTTATCAACGATGATTTTTAGTACTGACTGTATATAAATATACTATAAGTCCTGATGCATATATAAGGATGAATAAGACATCTTTATATTCTTTTTATTCCCTGCATTACTATTTAGCTGACCACAGAGAAACACATTTACTAGTATTCTGCTCACTTTGAAAGCCTTTTAAATCTTCCTGCATTTTATCCCCATTGACTGGGTTTTCTATAACCTAAAAGATATCAGTATTGTCTGCAAGTATGAGGATTTTATTAGATACTCCCTCATCTAGATCATTTATAAACATGCTTTGGCTTTGATCCTTAGGAATTTTCAGCATTTAAACCTATCCATCTAAAGAAGAACTTATTTATTCCCACTCTTTGTAATTTATGTTAGCTTCTTACTTAGACCGGAATGTTCCTTCAAGCCCATTGTGACTTCTTTAAGTTAAATATTTACTGAAGTGTAACACACATACAGAAAAATAATCATGTGATGAATTTTCGCCAAGTGAACAGGCCCATGTGACCACTACCCAGTTCCAGAATTAGTTATCAGCGCTGCCCCAAATCCTCCTCATCCCCCATCTTCATTGCACACCCCTGAAAGTGAACAGAAGCTTTCTGATATCATAATTAGTTGCTTTTGCCTGTTTTTAACTGCATATAAATGAAGTTATACAGAATGTGCATTTTTAGTCTTTTTTTTTGTCTCATAACACTATTTCTGAGAGACACAATGTTGCTACGGCCATGTTGTTTGGAGGAGCAGCCGTTGGTTCATCCTCAGTACTCTAAAATATTACACCATGTATCCATACACAATTTGTTTATCCATTCTACTGTTAATGAAAATTTGAGTTGTTTGCCTTTTGGCTATTTAGTGCTACTCTGGACATTTGGATGTGGACGTGTATGTGTTTCTGTCAGATATATACCTGGGAGTGGAATTGTTAAGTCATAGGGCGTATTCGGCTTTAGCAGAGATCGGCAAAAAATTTTCCAAACAGATACACGTGTTTATAAGCATTCCTGTTGTTTCATGTTCCTATCAACATTTAGTACAATCAGCTTCCAAATTTTACCCTTTTGTTATTGGGGTTTGAATCTCCTTTTCCTAATTAGTAATGATGTTGAATACTCTTAATAGGCTTACTGGCCATTTTGGTACTCTTTTTGAAATGCCCTTTTTTTTTGAGATGGAGTCCCACTCTGTTTCCCAGGCTGGAGCGCAGTGGTGTGATCTTGGCTCACTGCAACCTCTGCCTCCTGGGTTCAAGTGATTCTCCTTCCTCAGCCTCCCGAGTAGCTGGGATTACAGGTTTGTGCCACCACAACCGGCTAATTTTTGTATTTTGAGTAGAGATGGGGTTTAACCATGTTGGTCAGGCTTGTCTCAAACTCCTGACCTCGTGATCCACCCGCCTTGGCCTCCCAAAGTGCTGGGACTACAGGCGTGAGCCACTGCACTGGGCCTTGAAATGCCTTTGTAAGTCTTTTGCCTTTTTCCCCCCCATGGCTTTATTTTTTAAAATCAATTTGTTGGAGTTATTTATGTGTTATTGATACAAATTAGCTATCAGGTGTATATTGCAAATACTTCTCATATTCTGTGACTTGCCTCTTCAAAATGGTGTCTTTTGATAAAGATAAATTCTTAATTTTAATGTCCAGTATATCAACTTTATATTTTATGATTAGCATTTTGTTTACTGTTTTTAAAAATAGTTTTCTTCCACAAGATATCCTATGTTGTCTTCTAAGGATTTATTGTTTTTACTTTTATATTTAAATCTACTGTTGACCTGGAACTGATTATTTTACATATAGTGTGAGTCTGGGACCAATTTTTTTTTTTCCGTAAGGACATCCAATTGACCTAACAGTACTTGAAAAACTAGGATTTCTCCATTGCCTTTAGTATAATATTTGTTAAATAACCACATACATGTGAATCTGTTTTTGGACTTTTAAATTATGTCCATTGATCTATTTATAGTTCTTTGGGTCAATATTATTTAGATTGCTTGTACATTTCTCTCACTAATTCTTTCTACTTATTTTATCACTGCTGTAAGGAAATATAATTTTTCTATGTTGATACTGAATCAGGGATTCTACTAAATTCAGTTGTTAATTCTGTGTATATGTAGGTTCTTCTGGAATTTCTTGTTGTTTGTAAATAGTTACAGTTATATTTCTTCCTTTCCCTTTCTTATATCTTGCTTTTCTTATTTCCTGCTGGGATTTTCAGTAAAATGTCAAGAGAACTGACAAGAGCAGACATCTTCATTTCAGTTTCACTATTAGGAGGAAAGATTTCAATAGTTCATTATTATTACCTCTGCTGTAGGGTTTTTTTAGATACTCTTTATAAAACTTAAAAGTTCCATTTAGTGCTCGATATAATATGTTATTAAAAAATGACAATTAAAACAGTGAGATACCACTACACACTTACTAAATATAAAAATCCAAAACAGTGACAACACCCAATGCTAGTGAGAACATTGAGCAACAGGAACTCTCAGTCATTTCTACTAGTAATGCAAAATGGTACAGTCACTTTGGAAGATAATTTGAGAGTTTCTTGGGAAGCTAAAAATACTCTTACCATATGATACAGTGATCACACTCCTTTGTATTTACCCAAATGAACTGAAAACTTATGTCCACACAAAAACCTGCACATGGATGTTTATAGCAGCTTTACTCATAATTGCCAAGACTTGAAAGTATCAAGATGTCCATCAGTAGGTGAATGGATAAATTGTGGTACATCCAGACAATGAAATATTATTTAGCGCTGAAAGGAAATCAGCTATGAACCCATGAAAAGACATGGAAGAAACTTAAATGCATATTTCTAAGTGAAATAAGCCAATCTGAAAAGGCTACATGCTGCAGGGTTCCAACTACATGGAATAGGCAAAACCATGAGACAGTGGAAAGATCAGTGGTTAAGAATAATCATCAAAGGATCACAAATAATCAAATGTTGGGGCCAAGAGTGGTGGCTCACGCCTGTAATCCTAGCACTTCGGGAGGCCGAGGCGGGCGGATCACCAGAGGTCAGGAGTTTGAGACCAACCTGGTCAACATAGTAAAACCCCGTCTCTACTAAAAATACAAAAATTAGCTGGGTGTGGTGGCGCGTGCCTGTAATCCCAGCTACTCGGGAGGCTGAGGCAGGAGAATCACTTGAACCTGGGAGGCAGAGGTTGCAGTGAGCCAAGATCTTGCCACTGCACTCCGGCTTGGGTGGCCTAGCAAGACTCTGTCTCTAAATAAATAAATGATCATCAAATGTTGACTTTTCCTACTTGATTAATATCCGCTTTTATCTTTGAGTTTAATTTACTGTTTTTTAGAGTTGTATATTGGACTCATTGATTTTAGCCTCTCCTCTTTTAAAAATATCCATTTTAAGTCTGTAAGTCTTCCTCTAAGCATAGCTTTAGATTTGTTTATACTTTTAGGGGAGTGAAACTATTTTGTATAATACTGTAATGGTGGGTATATGTCACTATATATATGTTCAAACTGATAAAATGTACAACAAGAGTAAACTCTAATGTAAACTATGAACTTTCAGTGATAATTATGTGTTCATGTAACTTTATTGGTTGTAACAAATGGTACCACTGTGGGATGTTGATAGTGGGGCAGGTTGTGCATTTCTGGAGGTAGGGGGAACATGAGAACTCTCAGTACTTTCTGCTCAATTTTTCTGTGAACCTAAAATTGCTCTAAAATATAAAGCTATTAAGTGCATATTTAATATATAAAATATATAATTACATGTATAGTTATTTTTTGACATATATAAAGTTAGCTAGAACTCATCTGGTCATCTGGTTCTGGTGACAATTTTAATAGTAATTAAAATAAAATAGATTTTTCAATAGTAAGAAATGTTACCTTTTATTTCTTTCTATCTGATTTTAAAGTTAATGTGACTTTTTATTGTGAATGCATGATACGTTTTATCAAATGTTTCTGTTGAGAAGATGCTATGGTTTGAACTTAGTTTTTCCCCATAAAAATTATGTCGAGGCTTTGTCCCTAATGTAACAGTGTTGAGAGGTGGTGAGACCTGTAAGAGGCATCTGCGATCCACCTGCATGAAGGGATTAATGCAGTTTTGTGGTAGTGAGTGAGTTCTTGCTCTTTCAAGACTTGATTAGTTACTATGAAAGTGAGTTGTTATGTGAGGCTGCCTCTCGTGTTTGGTCTCCTTGCAGATGTCCAGTTTCCCTTCCACTTGCGCCATGCTATGATACAGCATGAGGCCCTCACCCAGAAGCTGACCAAAAGCAGCTGCCTGATCTTGGACTTCCTGCCTCCAGAACTGTGAGCTAAATAAACCTCTTTTCTTTATAAATTACCTGGTATCAAATATACTGTTATAGCAATAGAAAAAAGACTAAACAAAGAATAATTTTTTTCTCTTTTATTCTTCACTAATATAGGTTAACTACATTGATTTTTTTTAATGTAAACTAATCGAACATCTCTGGAATAAACCCCACTTGGTCATGACATAGTTGTTTTAAATCTCACTGGATTCAATTTGATTCAATATACAAATTTTGTATATTTTTTTACGTTTACATTTATTATTGAAAGTGGTCTGTAGTTTTCTTTTCTTGTAATGTCCTTGCCATATTTTTCTGTCAAGGTTATTCTGTGCTGATAACATGAGTTGATAAGTGTTATCTCTTCTGGAAGTGTTTGTGCAAGTTTGGTAGGATTTTATTTTTAAATGTTTGATAGAATTCACTAGCAAAGCCCAGGGTTTTGTTTGTAGGTATGTCTTTAATTGGTGATTTAATTTTGTTTTTTAGATACAGAAATTTTACATATTTTTATTTCTTTCTGTGTCATTCTTGGTAAGTGTATTTTTTTCTGGAAGTTTGTCCATTTTATCCAAATTGTCCGATTTATTAACAGACAGTAGTTCAGAATATTATTTATATCTTTTTAAATATCCAATATAGTATGGATATGTGTCCCTGCCCAAATCTCATAGTGAATTGTAATCCCCAGTATTGGAGGTAGGGCCTGGTGGGAGGTGATTGGATCATGGGGGTTGATTTCTCATGAATGGTTTAACACCATCCCTGTGGTGCTGTTCTTGCTGTAGTGAGTGACTTCTTGTGAGATCTGAGTGTTTAAAACTGTGGCACCTCACTCCCTCTCTCTCACTCCTACATTCATCAGGTGACATGCAAGCTCCCGCTTTACCTTCTGCCATGATTGTAAGCTTCCAGAGCCCTCCTCAGAAGCAGATGCTGATGTTATGCTTCCTGTACAGCCTTTAGAACCATGAGCCAATTAAACCTCTTTCCTTATAAATTACCCAGTCTCAGTTATTTATTTATAGCAATGCAAGAATGGCCTAATACAATATCCTAGAATCTAGTAGTAGCATCCCTTTTTGAATATCTGACATTGCTAAATATGGCATTCTCTTTGTTCTTGATCAGTCTTATTAGAGGACTTATCTTTTTGTTATCTTCTTAAATAATCAAAATTTTAAGGTTTTTCTGTATTTTATGTTTATTTTCGACCTCATTAATATCTGCTTTCAGCTTTGGGTTTAATTTACTGTTCTTTTTTAGAGTTGTATACTTAGCTCATTGATTTTAGCCACTCTTCTTTTAAAAATATACATTTTATGGCTATACATTTTCCTCTAAGCATAGCTTTAGCTCCGTCCCAAATTAATTCAGTTCAAATAATTTTCTAATTTCCATTGCTATTTCTTCTTTGACCATGAGTTACATAAAAGTACGCTGCTTTAATTTATAAATACTTGAGAATTTTATAGTATTTTTTTGCTATTGATTTCTAGCTTTATTCCCTTCTTTTTTTTTCCTTATTAAGTTACAATGAAATGTTTACTTGTTTTGTCCCCTCAGTCTCCCAGATGTCTGTGTCTCTTTCAGTGTTTCCTGCATTTCCTATGCTTTCTATTCTCCATTCTACTGCCCTATCTTCCAATTCATTAACTTACTCTTTAGCTGAGTCTAATCTACTTTTAAATCTATCTATTGAATTCTTATTTTCAATTATTATATTTTATAGTTCCAGAATTTCAATTATCTATCTATCTATCTATCTATCTATCTACCTATCTATCTATCTATTCTTTTTGAGACAGAATCTTGCTCTGTCGCCCAGGCTGGAGTGCAGTGGTGCAATCTCGGCTCACTGCAGCCTCCACCTCCTGGGTTCAAGTGATTCTCCTGCCTCAGCCTCCTGAGTAGCTGGGACTACAGGCACACGCCACCATGCCTAGCTAATTTTTGTATTTTTAGTAGAGACAGGGTTTCACTATGTTGACCAAGATGGTCTCGATCTCCTGACTTTGTGACCTGCCTGTCTCAGCCTCCCAAAGTGCTGGGATTACAGGAGTGAGCCACCGCGCCCAGCCTCAATTATATTATTTTTGTAGGTTCTAGTTCTTGGTCATAATTTCTATTTTGTTATCTACTTTCCTGACAAATTAATCACAGTTACTTAAAAATTCTTGTTTGTTAACATTTGAGTTACCTATGGGTCTATTTTTATTGTCTGTTTTTCTTCCTTCTTCATTTTATTTCTCAGCATGCTCATTAATTTTTGATGAAATGCTGAACATTTCATGTAAAAACTTTTAGAGACTCTGGGTGCAAACCCAGTGCAAAGTGCTGAGCTAATTTTTTTGGTAGTCCCTTTTTTCTGAGATATAGCCCTTTATGATCCCAGTTGTTTTCTCCCTAGTCCCATGAAATTGCCAAAAGTTCTGCTGGTTTCTCTGGTACCAAGCAGTGGATCTTCTACCTGACTTCTTGTCCTCTTTCTGGGCCTAGAGTTGGCAAACTCCCTAAGAAGAAAAGAAGAAGCAGGCAGATGACGAATTTATATCAGTGAGCTTTTCTTCTCTCCAGGATGATGTCTCTTCAAGTTCTGGTTGCCTTATCACATGTTTGATCTTAGCTGGAAGTGAAAGCCTTTTATTTTATTGATATAACCTTTGCATTAGAATGTTGAATAATATCTAGAAAGATTATTTGTCCTGTAATTGTTTAATTCTAATGAAGTTATTTATAAATGCATATTCAAAAGCACAGATATTGGAATTTGGCTCCTCTAGCAATAATTTCAATACTTTATGGATGTTTCCTTACCCTTAGTCATAAAAGAAAGGTAGATAAAAAGCATAATTTGTTCAACCATTTACACAGAAAAAGAAGACATAATGCTATTAACATAGGGATAATTTCATGTTTCCATAGCAATTTGCTACGAATAAAATCCTAGCTTTTATGTTTATTTCTTACAACACTTATTTGGGAAAGAAGTTAGATGAATTCTGGAATTAGGGTAGAAGATTGTTATGTGCCAAATTAAAAATTAGTAGGAGAGTTTTCTGTCTTGGCACCAGGACTTTTTCACTGTAAAATAATTTTTGAAAAGTTTTTGCAAGGCAGTATCTCCTGGAGGAAAATTCTTAGACATAGAACGTGACAATAGATGGTCACAGGAAATCCTTTCTGGTTGTGTCACTCTAGGAAAGTCCCTATCCTCTGTGACCCTCAGTGCCATCATGTATAAAATGGAGAGAATAGATCCTGCTCTTCTTATCTCATGGGATTTTTGTGAAGACTGAAAGAGATCATGTGCGCAAATGTAGTCTAAAACAACCTGTTTATACATAGGTGGCATAACAGTTTCTTAGACTCAGATATTTAAAGTTCAAGTGGTTTCTCTGCTCTGAACCCTTGATTTGAAATTGTTTATCTGTCTATTCTATATTAGGGTGTACTAGATTGTTGCTTCTCTAAATGCAAAGGTTAAACCAAAATCTGCTCTGCACCCAAATTTCACAACTAAATCCAAGCTAAACAAAGCATTCTGTCTGCTTCCTGCTGTCTTATTACTCCTGATATCTCCCCAGTTACAGCTAACACTTTATATCTATAATCCTTTTAACCTCTCCTCAGCCTCATTTTACATCCCTATGTGTCCCTGCCATAGTTTATTATCCTCCTCCTGTTTGGATTAAAGGTGTTAAACTGCAAGGGCTTCTTTGAAACCCAGTTAAGACACTATTCTCAGCCCCAGCTAATAGTACTCAATTATATTTGCATGGTAAAGTTTTTTCTCTACTGTTTCCCCCAACTGAAAGATCACAAACACAAAACGGGGAGTAGCCCTTGGCATTCCTATCACCTACTCTGTTTTCTTTTCCTTCTTATCTAGACACACTTTTGCTTGTACAGGGCTGGCTTTCTTTTCCCTGCTCCCTAGACGATTTTGGCCCATTTTCAACTCTCATTCTTTTTGTGGCATTGGGAGTAGTTAGTCATTTGTGCATCAGTGAGAAGAGGGATTTAGTGAATAGGAAGACCATAGACTTTCCTCTTTGGTCCTTCCTTCCTTGACAAAGTAAATCCCACTGAAAAACAGCATTAATAGAGCATGACGGTTTGAAGAATAGAGCCCTAACTGTTGACATTTCTGTTGTCAAGCTAGGTATTATGCTGTGATAAAGAAAAGACGCATTTTTTAAAAAGACAATCTCCATGGCATTAGGTTTATTAGTGCAATATCATTGTCATTGTTCTCGATTCCCCAATACACTTAAGGGCCTATCAATATTTCCATTAAAAAATCCCATTTGCTGTCATTTAAAAGTAGCCTGGCTATGTCAGATCATTTAAACTGAAATTATAGATCAATTATTTTTAGGTTTGTTATTGAACGTCAAGGGTGGTTAAATTCACTGAATTTGTAGGGGTTGGATAGTCTCTGTTCTGGAAGAAAATGGTCAGTGTAAAGACAGGACATTTTGCAGGTCCTAGGGAGAAGATAAGACATTTAACTTAACATGAATCACTGTTAGTTATCCATGTGTATCAATGAAAGAATAGGTTTACTTATCGGGATCAGAAATGTAAATGACCCCAAATAATCTTAGTTCTTCATTTAAGAGATATGAAAGCTAATTGCTCACTAGATATAATAAAAAGAGGTCAGCACCCTCTGGCCTCAGCGGTGATACAGCCATCTATTGAGCACTCACATGGCACATGTCATGTTAGGTAATAAGCACAGTAACCGAACAAGTTAGGCCTATAGTAGTTTACAGATGAGGAAACTGAGATTCCAGTAAGTTAAAAAAACTTTCCACATTAAGCAGCTAATGGGTTTGATGCCAAAGCCCTTAATTTTCTTTTGTACCACTGAAACACATAAAGTGATTTTTCTACTACCACCTGGCCATGGTTTCTCTATCCTGTTTGGCAACTGGGGATAGGCTGTCCACATTGAAAGGTGCTTCCTGCTTCCGCCTGAAATGGTCATTGATATGTGGATAACATGAGAAAGAGATCATATTTTTTAAGATCCCATAGTTTTCTTTTATCTCATTCATTAATTTGGCCGAAACACTTTTTTTACTGCCACCCACAATGTATGCAAGTGTTCCTTTTATCATCTAACCTAAAATAGATATTGTTACTTTTTTTGTATTTTTGCTAGTATGATTCTTTTACAGTGATGTCCCTTGTCAAACACTGACCTCACCACTAGTGAATTTCACTATCATTTCAGCATATCCTTGTAGGTCCTTTGAATCGCTGCTTTGTGAATTGTCTGTTCACATCCTTTATCTTACGTTTTCCCTGATTTATTTGCCTTTTATCTTATTTTGGTTATATTTTAATTTAACAGTTGTTGGAAAATAGATTGGGCTTTTGGATATATGTTAATTAAGCACAGATATGCCAGGTGTCACTAAATCAGCCCATACATTGGAGTGGTAAATCTTGAGAAAATTGGGAGATTCTTGTACATCTTTCTCTAACATACTCTGAAAAAGTGGGGTTCTCAGCATTGAGATAAGCCTTTTCTCTTCTAAAAATTACAAGAGGGGCTTGCTATAGTGTCTACTCTGTGGATTTTTACAGTTGCTTGTGGTAGGTATCTACATAGAAATTATAGCTTAAGCATCAGCTGTGATAAAACTGGCATGATACTTATTCAAGTCAATCATATTACTTTTTCACATCACAGTGATACTATTTAAAGCCAATTAAATGGAATTCAAATCAGGATTTTTTTCGTTGAAAAGCACATGTGTCTTCATTGAAGACTATTTTCTTGCTAAATTGGATGTTTTACCTTTGAGCTATTGAAATCTTTTTTTTTAAATCTTGTAAATAGAGGAACATTCTTCTGGTATTCCAACACTAAAATAAAATGTATGCTTGCTTTAAAAAAATATAATCTTCAAGCTGAGAGCAAGTAGGGTTAATTTCAGAGACTGTTACTTAAGATGGATAGTTTTATCCATATGGGTATAAATATAAAGTTTGTTACCATTGTATTTGAAGACTTTTTGGAAAAATATGCTTTTAACATAAGACACTAATACTGAATGTCTACTGGAGACCTTTTATTTCTTGTTCTAGGTTCAAATATATTTGGGGAACTTGATTTCCTTCATGTGGATTTTGTGTTTCTCAGTAAATAAAGATCAGATTGAGTTTCTTGTTTTCTGTAGGACTATCTGAGTTATGATTTCTTAGCATGGAATTTCATCCTTTCCAGTGTGTTTACAGACCCCTTGAATAACAATCACCAATAAAAAATAAAAGACGGTGGCTGATATAGTATATGCCTGCTGTTTACCAGATACTATGCTAAGCATTTAACATGGATTATTCTATTTAATCCTCACACGGGATACAGGTAGTCTTTTCATCACTGAATTTCCAGGACATTCAGGCCTTGGGGAAGTTAAGTAACTTGCCCAAAGTCACACAACTGGTAAGTGTTAGTGCTCTGGGTTTTTTTGTTTGCTTGTTTTTCAGGTACAATACACTCTCAGGGAAAGCTTTATTGTAAACAAGAGGGAACTTAAATCCTCACCAAATTATCTTCTTGATAACTTTGTTAATAATTTGAACTCATTATCACTAATTTTACCTTATATTGAGGCTCCATGAACGCTCCCACTTGGAGAGGAAAGATCAGCTCTGCCACTTTTCTGCTTGTTCACTTGTGCGTGTATTTTCTTAAATCCTTGATGTATATGCAGGAAAATTTTTAACTGCTCTCATGTTTTGAAGGTTAATTTAGTTGGTAGTAGGTAATATTCAGAAGTCTACAAATCCAGAAATAGTGACCTGCCTGGAATTCATCTTAATTGCTGAAGGCGGACTCCTGTGTGAGGACCCCACTAGACCTGCAAGAGAGCACTTCTCTTCCCTCCACATGCTTCTGCAACTCAAGGTGACATGTGGTTACCTGGTTTCATAGGCACTAAGGGAGAGAGCTGGTAGTAATTATTTGTTAAATATTTTATTTTTTCCCTTAATTTTCTGAAACATACATATGCAGTAAAGTGCATAAAATGGAAATGTAAAATTGATGAATAACTACAAAATATAAGCTGTGTAATAAACACTGTGGTCAAAAAGTAGAATAATGGCAGCTCTTCAGGATCACTTCTGGTCTTGAACTCTAGGCCTCAAGTGATCCACCCTCATTGGCCTCCCAAAGTGCTGGGATTACAGGAATGAGCCCCTCACTGCGCCCGGCCTTCAGAATCCCTTCTATTACTACCTCTCCCTTACCCCTAGAGGTAATCACTATCCCGGCTTTCATGGTAATTGATTGCTTGCTTTTCTGTTTGGTTTTATCACCTATGTATATATCTATTATCAATAAGGTTAGGTTAGTGTCTTTTTGAACCTTATATAAAAAGCATCATACACTATAAACTCTTGCTTAAATTAAGCTTGTTATATGTCTTGCTTTTCTCTCTTAATGTTAAGTTTGTAAAATTCATCCATGTTGTATGTGTAGCTGAACGTTTTCTGTAATTTGTGCTGTATAGTATAAAATTATAGCTTAGACTTTCTGTAAAACATATGTGCACTTCAAAGTTGTGAATACAATATTAGGTATAAGGACTTAGAGGTGAATCCATGCCAGTGAGATGCCCCACAGCTTAAATTTATTTAGCTTCATAGTAAAACTGCTTTTTGTCTTGGGTAATATAGCCAGAAGTTGAATACTAGTCTCAGTTCTAAGGTTTGCATATATTCATCTTTTGTTGGATAAGGGCCAAATCATATTCCAGTGTTTGCACCAATTTGGACTAATATTAACAGTGTATGAATTTCTGTTTTTTTTTTCACATTCTTGCTAATACTTAGTACATTCAGAATTGTTTGTTTTTTACCTGTCTGGTGGGCATGCATTGGTATCTCTTGTGTAAATCACTGATTACAAATGAGATTGAGCAACTTTTCATATTGTCTTAGTTTGGGCTCCCTAAAACACAGAGCTTGGGGGTGAAGGCTTATGTGCTATTTCTTTAGTGGGAGTGTAATTCAAGGAAGCAGCACTGAGGCATCAGGAGAGTGAAGCAGGAAAAGAGAAAGAGCTAACTCAAGGATGCATTTTAAACTAGCTGCCTCTGTTTTCTTGTGCAAACACTTGCTTGATCTCATGGGACCGTCTTCTGAGAGATTGTATAAAGGATCATTTCTCATGAAAACCTGTGGGTGCATGCTAGTGTTAGGAGGAAAGCAAATGAGAAAGAAGGAAGAAGAATGTATTCATTGGCTCCTCTCTTCCTCTGGTCAAAGATTGATCCCATGGGACTTTGATCTCCATACACTTCTGGTCTGTGCATATGTGGGTGCTAAGTGGTCCTAACTATCAAATGAAAAGCCCCTTTGAGAAGGAGGTGAGAAGTGCTTTGTATGGGTTTGATATTAGGTGCCACTGGGTTGTGTCCCCATGCAGTTGGTCAGAGTCCCTTCAGAGTGGTGGCCTTGGCAATGGCTGGGGCTGAAACAAGTGGCAAGATGTTGTGGAGACAGTTAAGGTCAAGGAGATATTAGGTACATGCATATTTATTGGGCCATTGGGATTTTTTATTTTGTGAAATATCTGTTCAATTTTGGGGGTCTATTGTTATGTTGGATTATCTGTTATTAATTGGCAGAAATTCTTTATATATTCTGGATACTAGTCTTGGAGGTAGATGTCTTGCAAATAACTTTTACTAATCTCTGGGTTATTTTTAACTTTTTATGGTATCTTTTCATGAAGAAAAGATCTGAATTTTAATTGATCAAATATTTCAATCTTTCCAGGTTACTGCTTTTTTGGTGTCTTATTTGAGAAATCATTCCCAAACTCAGAGGAAATTGAGATAATCACTTCTATTATCTTCTACAAACTTTAAAGTTTTATTGTTCACACTTACAATGGATTTTTGTGTTCAGTGTGACTCTTATGCCCATATGGATATTCCATGTTACTAATATATTTTATTTAAGAAACAAGGTTATTTCCCAATGCTCTGAAGGGTTATCTCTCTCATAAGTCAAGCTTTTATGCGTGTATAGGAATGTTTCTTGGTTCTCCTTGGAGAAATTTGTTTATCTGAGTGCCAACAACATATTAGTTACTATATCTTTTCATAGGTTTTGAGACCTGGTAAAGCATGTCTTCCTACCTTGTATGTCTTCTGGAGTATTTTGACTATTATTTTATCTGTGAATTTCCATCAGCTTGTTAAGTTTCATAAGAAATATAAATCATTCTACTGTAAAGACACATGCACACATGTGTTTATTGCAGCACTATTTATAATAGCAAAGACATGGAACCAACAAAATGCCCATCAGTGATAGACTGGATAAAGAAAATGTGGCACATATACATCATGGAATATTATGCAGCCATAAAAAGGAATGAGATCATGTCCTTTGTAGGGACAAGGATGAAGCTGGAAGCCATCATCCTCAGCAAACCAGCAGAGGAACAGAAAACCGAACACCACATGTTCTCACTCATAAGCGGGAGTTGAACAATGAGAACACATGGACATAGGGAGGGTAACATCACACACCGAGGCCTGTTGGGGAATGGGGGGCAAGGGGAGGGAGAGCATCAGGACAAATAGCTAATGCATGTGGGACTTAATAGCTAAATGACAGGTTTATAGGTGCAGCAAACCACCATGGCACACGTATACCTATGTAACAAACCTGCACGTTCTGCATATGTATCCCAGAATTTAGAGTAAAATAAAATAATATTATTATTCCTGTTTCACAGATGAGGAAATTAAGCTGCTTGTCCAATGTTAGCTGACTTGTAACAGAGCCAGGATTCAAATCCAGGTTGTGTTATACTGTATCCTAATGTAATATTAAGTAAAAATTAAAAATACCAAAGAAAATTTAAAAAAAGAAATCTATTGGGATTTTGATTGAGATTGCTTTGGATTTATTAATCTTGGAGAATGACAAATTTACAATATTGAGTCCTCCAATACATGAATATTGAATATATCTCCATTCTTTTAAATCTTCTTTAATGTTTTCCAGTATGTTTTATTTTCCACTTTCTCTTTATGGGAAAGAGGATTTTTTTTTAAAGAAAGGGCTATTTTTTGCAAAAATTAGCCAAGTGTGGTGGCTCATGCCTGTAATCCCAGCTACTTGGGAGGCTGAGGCAGGAGAAAGGCTTGAACCCAGGAGGCGAAGTTTACAGTGAGCCAAGATTGTGCCACTGCACTCTAACCTGCTGAGCAACAGAGCAAGACTCCGTCTCAAAAACAAACAAACAAAAAAACAAAAAAACACGAAAAACAAACAAACAAAACCTAAAGCATTGTTTTAAAAGTTTCCAGACACTTCTCACTCAGATGGAGACCAAAAATCACCTTTGACAGTGACTTTTATTCTTCATTCTTGGAAGGATCACTTGGATGGCCTCTGTCTACCCAGACATGGAGGTGCCTAATTGCTCTGTGGAGTGGATCGTGCAAACCTTTTGTTGTTTGACAAAGTCTCTGCTCTATAATCTTTAAGGTGTTGGGTTTGGGGAAGTAGAGAGGAGGCACATCCTTACACAGGGCTCAGGGAACCTCCAAGGAAGCAGAGACTTCAATCTCTTACCTTTGGAATTTAAGGTAGCTGTGGTTACAAGCACAGGCTCTGGAGCCAGTCTTCCTAGGTTCAAATCCTCCCGCCCCTGCCAGTTACTAGCTGTGCTACCTAATCTCTTGATATCTCCATTCCTTCATCAGAAAAATGTGGCAAAAGTTGATAGGATTCCTATGAGAATTAAATGAACAAAGTACTTAGAACAGGCTTTTAAGTATTAGTGTCATTACTGTTTCTGTTATTGAAGAACTGCTTTGAGAACTGAGGTGGTGCTGACTGATGTCTGAGGCTGGCTTGCATGGATACCAGGAATTTCCAAGATGGAACTCACATCAGGAAGGGATTGTCTGGGCTCGTGGCCATGGATCAACATAGGACCTTGCTTGTTGGTTTCAGGGCAACCTTTGGATGAGGCTGGAAATCGCTCCTGCTTCTGCTAGTCTGCATGGGCTTAGGGCACTGAGTAGGTGAATGCAATTAAAAGAACTATAGTCATAAGGGCCCTGCTATGAAGTACCACAGAGAGAGGGATCTTTCTCCTTTTAAGAAACTTCACGGTCTGAGCAGCAGGATCATTGAAAACCAGAGTAGACAATGACACAGGGTCTTCAAGAAACTATCTGGTAGCAGCATTAAACAATGACAATGAAAGTCAGGACTGATCAGAGTCACAGTTTTCTCTCCTCTTGGAAAAACTTCCAGAATTCATGGGGGCAATTCTGGGCAAGTGGGCATTTAAGTAATAAAATTAAAGATGTGTAAAAAAAAAAAAAAAAAAAGAAAGTGGTATTTTTGGACTCTTTTGTTACATTTACTTCTAGGTATCTCATATTTGTGATACAATTTTAAGTGGTATTTTAAGTTTTATTTCATATTCTGTTTCTGATATTTAGATACATAATTTTTTCATAGTGACCTTATATCTTGACAACTTGTTGGGCTCTTTAATTAATGCTAAAATGTATAAGTATAGCTTTTTTTTTTTACACATTTTGTTATTTGCTAATAATAACTTTTTTCCTTCCTCATGTGCTGTGTAGGATTTCTAGATCAATACAGAAAAGATTTTCAGTTTTATCAAAGGCTTTTTCTGAATTTATTGAGATGGCCATATAATTTTTCTTCTTTAACCTGTTAAGGTGGTAAATTATATTGATTGATTTTCTAATATTAAAGATACCTTACAGTCCTTGAATAAACTTTACTTACTTACGGTATCTTATCCTCTTTGTATATTGCTATATTTAGTTTGCTTATATTTTATTTTAAAATTGTAAATCTGGGTTCATGACTGAGGGTTGTCTTTTAATTTCCCTTTCCTATACACTCTTTGTGAGAGTTTGGTATCAAGTTATGCTAGCCTCTGAAAATTTGTTAAAGAGTAGTTCTTCTTTTCCTGTTCTCTGGGATAATTCATATATGTTTAGCGATATATTTTTCCTTAAATGTTTGGCATATCTCAATGGTGAAATCATTTGGGCTTCACATTTTCTTTGCGGGAAAGTGATTTTGACTCAGTGATTTAATGGCTGTACATGAGAGTGATATTTTAAATCTTGTTATTAACATGAGATAGAGAATAGGCATAGGTCAACTAGAGTGCACACCTGATGGGTCAAATGGTTATCAGCTGTAAATAAATGATATGACTATAAGTGCTTATAAGATGAGCATTAGCCCTTCTTTCCAGACTACTTAGGGTTTGTGTTTCTTTTTGTATACATTTTAGTAAGTTATATTTTTCTAGGGATTTGTGCATTTTGTTTAAATTTTTAGTTGACTGGCGTAAAGTTATCTATAGTCACCTTTATATCATTTTGATTATAGGATCAGGCAAATATTGAGCATATTTGAAGAGGTATATGTTCTTTTGATGTTGTTGAAAAGTAACATCTCTGTAGTGAAAAGCTAGTGCTTAAGCCACATGAAAATTTTCTGTATTATTTGTGAATGTTAGGTATACTCTCCAGAATGTTTTTACTTTGCTTTCTTCATATCTGTATCATTTGCAATGCCATTTTCTAAAATGCAGGTATATTCAGTTTATGCCCTTGTTTAAATGTAACTTGATCCCCAAATGACAACAGTGTCACTGCTCACTGACCTGGACATCTCTGGAAGCCCTTGAGACTCAGGGGATCTAAATGATTAAACAAATTTTATAATAATACTAAAATATCGTTTATGTTTTTCACTCTTATTTTCTCATGGATCTGTAGTGGAATTTTTCAATGTCTCTATGATATCACAACAGACTGAATGCAGAAACAGAGAATTCAGTTACTTTTCACTAAGCCAGATATTAATGAGAATATTTCAAAAATAGAAAACTAAATTTTTCTTGCTAAATTTTTTGAGGAAACATACAGTTATTTTTCTGTTAAAACATTTATGTTATCACATCATGGGTTTAGTATCATTAAAGATGAATTAGTAAGTACATATTTTAACTGTTACTCAGTTTTAACTTTTAATATGGTAAACATTGATAGATATAACACACATAAAAGGAAGTTCTTTGGGATCGTCAATAGTTTTTAAGAGTAGAAAGAGATTCTGAGACCAAAAAGTTTGAGAGCCACTGGCTTACAGGATCAAATCCATGTTCTTTAGCAAGGTAGACAAGGCCCTGCTTGATCCAGTTTTGCTCAGTCTTTATCACTAAGCCCTCCACTAGAATGTGTGCAGAAAGGTCCAGTTTCTCTGGACCTTTGCTCTTGCTAGCTCATCTAACCAGGATACCTTATCTTCTTTGTCTTCCTTTTAGACTCCTACTCATCTTCTCAAGATCTCTCTCAGGAGTTTTCTCTGTGGAACCTTCCAGGAGCTCAACACACCTCCCCTCCTGTCACTCCCCTACTCCTTTCCTTGTGTCACTGGCACCTTGTACTTATCTGTCGAGTATCACATCACACTGCAGTTTCAAATACATGATACACTACTTGCATTATGTGAGTTTGCTTTATGTGAATTTGGAATAGCAAGCCCATTCTGTTTAGACTTTGTGTTAATCTGTGTAAGCTGCAGTTTGGAATGGAGTAATTGGCGGTGATGCTTATTCTTCTTCTATCACCACATGGCACCTATTTTCTAGAGCTTTGGATTCCCACTGTGTTCGTGTTTACCCCCTTGCAAGATTCTTGCATGGTATTCTGGCTTCATGTAAAGTCAGGACAGAAATATTTTACTACTGGGGAGCAGAGTAGGTAGGTAGTATGTGTTCAATAAATCTGAAATGAATCAGTGGGTGGATAAGTAGAGATGATGAATGTAAAAAGAAGTAAATGAGAGATTTAAACTTTATGAAAACATCAGCTTCACACTCTAGTTTTTAAAATCTTGTGGCATATGTCAGATATACAGTAACTAAAAAGGTGGCCACTTGCAAGTCAGAGAGAATTCCTAAGGGTTTTAAAAAATATGAATTGTTTCCAAAGGGTTTCAGGAAATTTAGAGGCTCAAATCTCTCCCTGGAGTCAGAATTTCTTTAAAGGTTTTTTGTGTTTTGTTTTGTTTTTAGAATACATTGTTTATGAAAGTGGAATTAGTTTTAAAAGGAATATTGAAAAACACTTATGTCATGTGTTACTTATCCTTTGATGTAATGTTGCTTTAGGACATTTTCCTTTAAGAAGCCCAGAAAGCTTTTATGGATCTTACTCAGTGGATACCCCTGGTATTAACCTCACAGGTCCCAATGCAACAAAAGTGGTCTCAATACACAAGAAATGCCATTGCTGGCATGTGTTGAAAGGCCATATGAAGTAATTAAGCATGTGGATTGCTAAAATTTTAAAGGATTAACATATATCTAATTCTGCCCCCCACTTCCCAATTTCACCATCTCAAAATGCCCCATTTTTAACGGTAGCATTTCCCTGGTTTCCCTTCTATTTTTTGCTTGCTTAGAAGGTTTTTTATTCTAACCCTCATTAAATAAGTTCTCAATTCAAAATTCTGCACTGCCTTACTAAATTAAAGCCAGAACCCCCTGTGGTTACATAAAGAAAGATTTGGAAAAATGATAATTTTTCTTGATACTGAGACATCCCAATGATCTGCCGTCATGGTTATTACTGCTATGGAAGAAGGGAGAGAGAGAAAGAAACCTGTTGGAGAATGCAGTGAAGTGAGATACTCATCAGCAGTATGTGTATGAGAGCTTTCCAAATAAATTGGAGAATTCCAAACAAAGATCTGCCTCCATCCCAAAGTCCAGCTAACCACGTAATCCTTTTTGAGAGTCTCCTTGACATAAATTGAATGACATATTTGAGTTTCACATAATTCTTTTTCTAAAACCTAATTAAAATCAATTCCTTGGCATTTTGCTGCTGTTAGAAAAGATGATGCTGTTAGATGTTTCAGTCATTAGCAATATGTTCACTGGATTAAAAACAAATTTCTGGTATAATATTGTAATGATTAGTGAATCTGTGATAATCTAAGCAATTATTAAGGAACAATGCCTACCCTGACTTGGTATCTTGATTATTTGTTGATGACATCTGAAAATGGGGATGTCAGGAGGCAATATTGTATTGTTTAACTGTGTTAATTTATTTTATTTATGTAAATTTCATGCTTCTCAGTACTTTACAGGCTTGAATACTGGTTAATTGTCTAACCAGTGAAGACAGAAAATTGAGAATAAAAAGTAAATGACAATATAAATACACTAAAGGTTTTCTTTAAAACCTCAGCTCTTAAGATTAGTATGGCTCTTAATTTTAATTAGACTTATTTTGATTTCTAAAATAAGAATAATTGTTAAATGTATCTAAAAGGTTGGCTGGGTTTGGGGGGTAATGATAGTTCATAATGAAAGGAAATCAAATTGCTAAATGTGAATTATGCTATCAAAAAAAGAAAATGCTTTGTGGGCTCAAACTTTTTCTCTAAAAGACTGAAAATGTATTTGTATTCAGGCTTATTTTCTTCTTATCTCTAGGGATGTATGAGTTTGAGATTATTTTAGTATTTTCTTTCCTGTACTTGCTGTTCACCTGATTGCTTCATAGGTTTTGCTAAAGAATGGGGAAATGAACATGCAATGTTGGGTTGTAAGAGAGTGCACTTTAAAACCATGGATAGAAATAGAGGTAACTTTGCTTACATCTTCATGTGCAATCAATATATCACTAAGCTATGCAGGGTGCAGGAATTTAAAAAAAAACTTGTACTGTAATGTTAATAGATTTTGAAACCTGAATTTCAGTTCCATAATGATGTAACACTCATTATTTGCTAATTTACAGATGTTTAAGACATACTTGCATTAGCAGAAATTGTCATCCCCATCATTTTTAGAAAACACCTTCAGATACTTAGTATTTTAAACAGACCTTCAGTGGAAAGCTATGTGGTTGAAAGTATTTTGTCTGTGGCTGGCGTCACAGAGAACCATGCCTCTGGGCCAGGCAAATGGGGCACAGAGAAGCCCAGAGTTGGGGATGGGGATGTTGAGTATGGCTTTGGGTCCCTTGATCTATGGCAGAATTGTTCAAAATATAGTGAGGAGCCAGCAATCCAAATGTCGGTGTCTTTTTGGGTGTGGCAAGCACTAGCTCAACCCTGGCTGGCTCATGTGGACAGGGGTGAGGTAAAGTAACTGGTGTAGTGAAGTAGGAAGTGTCTAGAAAGAGGAAGATGAGAGGCTGTTACCACTGCTATTCTGGGTGGTCTATACAATGAGGCCCGGGACCACAGTTTGTGTGTAGCTGAGGTTTCTAGAGACGCAGTCTGGCCTTTAGGAAGGTCTAGGCAGGATGTCAAGGTTTTAGCGAAGTAAGCTGTGGTTCAGCTGTAATCCCATTCAGGGACTTAGAATATGAAGTAGAAGCTGAGTCATGAGGGCTGAGTAAATGTGCTGCAGAAAGAGATAGGAGCAGCTTGACAAACTTACCCCAAATGTGACTCACATCTGCTCTGGGTCAGCAGGACTCATTCCAGACACCTCCTGCCGGTGGGACAGGCATTGCTGGAGGTTCCCAGTGCTCGAAGCTGAGCAACAGAGAGGACAGAATTTCAGATTTCCTCTTAAAGTTCAGTTCTGGTAGCTTTATTTATTTTGATACACCCTAATATTTGAAAAGGTCTATTTTTTTTTTTTTTTTTTGCCTAATGTTTTTCACAGCTTCATTCATTCACGTAACAAATGTTGATTCATCATTTATTATGTCCCTTAAAAAAACAACTAATTCATAAGACAGGGCTTATGAGTAGTTATAAATGAACTTTATAGGTTATCAATTACTTGTCTCTCTCTATAAAAATGTTTTGGAAGTGCAGTTGAGGTTAAAATATATCATTCTTTCATTTTTTGTTAATCCTCTATGTATCTTGATTATCCCCTTTTCATTAGATAGATGCACATTGCCATTGGGTAATCTGCTACAGGTTAGTGGGGAGAGAGAAAACAGTGTAATTAAATTCAAATGAGGGACTTCACAAGGCACAGCAGCGGCACACAGGAGAGTATGCTCCCCTCAGCCCAGCAGGCATCGGGGACTTGCCAGGGGAATTCTTTACTTGGTCTTCTGTTTGTTTTATACGGGATGCTCTCTGTGTTTGGCAAACTCCCACTCATCTTTTAAGGCTGAGATTAAAGTTTATCTCCTTAGTGAAACCTTCCCTGCTCCTGCAGGCAGACATCTTTGTACAGCCCTTGTAGGTGCTTACGCAGCCTCTCGCAGTATGCTGTTGTCTCTGCAAGTCTGTCTCCACCCCGGACTGTGGGACAGTAATGGCAGGGACTGCGGCTTGCTTCTTTTCATATTCCCGGGGCTGAGCACAGGACTGGGCAGAAGAGCAAAGGTAGATTGAAGCAAGTAATGGCTCTTAGTCTGTTCAGGCTGCTGTAACAAACTGCCATAGAGACTGGGCGACTTATAATTCACAGACATTTATTTATCCCAGTTCTGGAGACTGGGAAGTCACAATCAAGGTGCCAGTAGATTCAGTGTCTGGTGAGGGTCTGCTTTCTGGTTCACAGATGGCTCCCTCTAGCTGTGCTCTCCCAAGGTGGAAGGGCTGAGGGATCTCTCTTGAGATTCTTTTGTAAGAGCACTAGTCCCATTCATGAAGACTCCACTCACGACCTAATCACCTCTCAAACACTCCATCCTTTAATATTAATACCCTTACATTAGGGATAAGGATTTAACATTTGAATTTGGCTGGTGGCGGGGGGGCGCAAATATTCAGACTATATCAGAATGGAAAGAGCATTTCCAGTCACTGCTCACCTGAAAAAATCCGCTGTGTCACAGGCTGTCTCAGGTTCCTGGCCAGAATGAAGGTTCTGTTCATTATCCAAGTTGGTCAGTTCAGAAATCACAATTTGCTGGCTTTTTATATAGCTGAGAATGCCATTACCATTGAATCCATAATGATACCTGCTTGTGAACAGGCAATTTTTCCTGGAATTGGCACCATCAAGCTGAACTCATGAAACTGAAAATATATTGCACATGGAAACTCTTCTCCACTTAAAAAATATCCTGGGAATTTGATGGAATAAACCTGGCTGAAAGAAGAAGTCAAGTCACATTAGTACCAGGCTTTCTTTATAGACTATACAAGAATAAATGGGAAGAAATGTCCTCTCAAAAACTTGTAGTAGTGTAATATTGTGGTATAAGATGGATCTGAAGAAAAAGGCAACAATGTCAGCTCACCAACTTCCAGGGCTTTCCCTTTGTTTTCCAAAGATGCCTTAGGAAGGGGAATGGTACAGAGACTCATGGACATCTACTGAGAGCAAGGCTTTAGGAGAATTGTCTCCCTTAAGCTCATGAAAATTATAAATTTAGTACCGTGATTTCTATGATAGTGTTTTGGAGCTTACAGAGGTAAACAGGACCAAGGTACCAGAATTCGAGCTCAGGTCTCTCTGACACCAAAATCCACCATACCATGGTGCTTCTGATGTAAGGTGTAAAAAAGACAATAGCCACCTCTCCCAGTCTGCCTCCTTCCAACCTCCCACACAATTGATTACGATGGAATCAAACATTGTCAGCTGAGAGCTATAATAAGGTCAGAGTTACTTGTTGTAATTTATTTTGACTGAAATATGTACATATCTAGATATAGTTGGAAGGTATATGTGATTGCCAGAGTATATAAAGATCAACTTAGACTACCTAATGATTATGAATGGAGCACATACCCAAAGCTATGTGTGATGATATATTTTAGTGGATTAAATATATTAAAAGTTCTCTTTCTCTTCTTGGCCATCTTACTTGATTGTCTTTCTGCCTAGGGTTTCACACAGCAGTGATTCACCATAAGCCAGGCCAGATGCTTTGTCCATTGTTGGCCTCTTAAGGTGTTGTAAAAGTTAAGTTAGGTTATAGTTGTAAAATAGAGTACATGATTTAGGAAAAACATACCTGTATGGAATATCTTTAAAAGGCTAAGTGTGGTAGCACATGTAATTCTGACATTGTATCTTTTCTCTAGGCCAGG